>NC_000011.10:5211515-5514545 GCF_000001405.40 Homo sapiens | reverse complement strand
CATCTCATTTGCCTTTTGCACCTTTCCTGATGCTTCCAGCCAGGAGAAGTCCTGGAATAAGAGTTATCAACCAATGTGTCTTGTACTGAATAATAGATCATTGGTCGTGGCTGAAACATCTGTCAATAAAATGGCTACACTCACTTGCTGCGATCTGAGGTTTGGCTTTACTTCTTTTGCAAAAAAAAAAAGAAAAAACTAGCTGTGTGAGATTTTTGTCTCACCTACTATATGTACATTAACACACAAACCACATGCATATATTAATATAGAGATAAAAATAATGTTTTTATCTCTAAAACATGAGCATTTTGAGCATGGTATATGAAACTTGAGCATGGTATATGAAACTGATTATTTTGAGCATGTCACCTTGGACAGGTGTGTGTATGTACACAAGCTCACATAGTAAAAAATTCACATATACAGGCATATAGAGTCCACATATGAGTACACACAGCCATGTGCAAACACAGATGCAAATACCTAGAGACACATAAATAGACCCATATGTAGGGAAAACAATCATAACATGCTCAAACAGAAAGGGAAACATTTTACATAGATAGGCCCAGATATTTAGTCATAAAGACTGCCTGAATTTCTCAAACCCAAATTGTTCAAGTTTGAAAGTGGAACAGGAATAATATGAGGGCCAGAGTAGGGTGAATTCACATATTAACCAAGTCCGGATGAATAGTTATCATCATTGGAACCTCCTGCTCGTTGATTTTGCCACCATTATAAGATGGTGATGGGCTGTCTCTACTGTCTCTTTAGCACACAGAGATGCAGCTGCTGCCATCTCCACTGTATATCCCAGTCACCACAAATCCAGCCCTCCATGGGGCACAGCACCTTCCAAGAATATCACCTCCTTCAGTATATCTATCTTATGTTTGTAGTTTACATTTTCCATGGTTGCCAATGCCCCACCTTTTTCTCTTTCTGCCTCACCTAGAGTATCCCACCATGGCAGGATATGCAATTATTTGTGTTTTAATGATTCCATGATTAAATAATTTAAAACACTTTTACCATAATAATTCAATGTTGTTTTAGGCATTGAAAAAAATAGCAGTGAAAAAAACAAAGATCCTTTATTTATTGACTTTACTTTCTTTTGTGGAGATACAAGTTATGTTAAGTGGTAAGTGCTGTGAAGAAAAATGAATCAGAATAAGATATTCTACATAGGGTGATGAGGGAAGGCCTCTCTGAAAAGGTGACATTTGAGCAGAAGTCAGAAGTAACTACGAGAACTGAACATGCAATTCACTGGGAGAAGGAAGATCCAGGGGCTGTCTGAAAGTAAAAGGCCCAAGGTAGCAGTATTCCTGCTATGTTTTAAGAATAACAAGGAGGTGATGTAGCTGAAATGGACAAAAAGGAGCGGGGAATGGGGAGGAAGTCAGAGAGATTGTGAAAAGTTTTATAGGTCTGGTGAAAACTTTGGATTTTACTGTGAATGTAATAGTCACTGGTGAGTTTTGAGCAAATAAATCAAATAATTCAATTTATCAGTCTGGCTTCAGAGTGGAGAATGGACTGTGGTAGAGGAAAACCAGGGAAGCAGGGAAACCAGTTAGGAGGCTTTTATGATAGAGCAGTTGAGAAACAGTAGTTTCTTGCAGTAGGGTGGGAGCAGGGGAGGTGTTGAGGAGTAGATTCTGGACTCTAAAGGGGACCCATCCACAGAGATTTGTGTGCTCAACAGACCACCCCTTCTGAGCCCCAACATGGCCATCGGTAAGAGTGAAGGGCGGGCCTACAAACTTCCAAGTGTTTCTAGAAAGCTCACTGCCAAAGACCCCTACTTCATGTCTACACCTACCAAAAAGATAAGTCTCAATAAATAAATTACAGTGAAAATGGATTTTTTACCTCCCCATTTAATATGATTAAGCTTCATACCCTCTTTGCTACAGCTTGCATAAAAAGCTCAGGCTATCCAGGTCATCTTTTTTATTTTCATCACAATATGCTCTGAAAATTCCTCACTTGACTCATTTTTCTACTCGTCACCAGTTTTCCAGCCTCTTCATCCTACCATTTAGAAGTCATAATTTAGCAATAGAAAAGCCCACATATCTACAACCTTCTTCCTAAGGATGACTACACCTTTTTGCTATAATGGAGATCTGAATGTCTAGTGAAGACACTGCTTCTCCAGCAGTGGCTACATCTGTGTTTCCCTTGGACTTGGAAGTGGATAGATGTCACTCTTGCACCATCTTGCTGCTTCTCAGCCCAGTTTTCTGGCTCCAAGATTATTTCATGATGCATGAAGATAATAATTGTGGCATAATACTTGCCTAGTTAACTTATCATGGTGATACTCAACTCTTCACCTAGTCTCTGTTTAGGCAAAAAACGGCATACAGCTGTGCTGACTAGTTTCATTTAAACTTATTACCAAAAGATTTAATTACCGTCTTAGTAATTCTAACTGCATTTTCCCAGTCCAGTGATTCTCACCAGAATCTGCACCAGGATCACCTGGAGGGCGTGTTAAAACACAGATTTCTGCCCGACATTCCAAGGGTGTTAGATTCAGTAGGTCTACCGTTGGGTTAAAATCTCTAATTTCTAATAAGTTTCCAGGTGATGCTAATGCTGTCAGTTTGGAGATCATACCTGGAAATCCACTATCCTAGTTAATTCACTACCTTATTGTTAGTCCAAACTGCACCATTTTGTAAACTTCCCACTATTTTGCAGACCTTGGTCAAAGTGAAACATTTCACGGGGGTTCAGGCTGTGAGAAACATCCTGCCTAACCACCTGACCACAAGGCAGACAAAGGTCCAACTAAAGCAACATCCCTATCATATCTTGCTGCGCAAAGGTCCATTGAACACCACGATGACATCCTACAGAAACAAGGACCAAACTGCCTCATCATGAGCACATCTTATCAATATCCTGCCAGGCAGCAAGCCATACTGCCCAGACCCCTCCCTCCCATACCTATAAATTACCCCAGCCTGTAAGCAGTGGTGGGCTCTGGCATTAGGCTGGTCCCACACTTCTCTAGGTTTTATGCTAGACATAAACCCTGCATTTGCTGTGTGTGTGTCTTTCTTTAAGCCTTGCCTTCCTTTCAAAACCTAACACTTATTCTTTCAGATGATCAATTCATATCTTGTTTTCTCTTCTCAGATCTTCAATATCCATTTCTTATTCTAAATCTTAAAGTTGTGCTTATTTCAACAAGAAAGACAGTAATAATCAGAAGGGACTTCTACCTGTGTCTACCATGAAATCAACCAACTAGCTTACAACTGTCCCAATACACTCTGCCTCCCATTCATTCTGCTATCATGAATAAACTTCATATTCCTAAATCAAGCTCTCCACATAGGCACTTGCTCCCAATCTCTCTAACTTATCTATTCAAGAACTTAATAGTTTTCCCTTTCTCATGCATCAATTTTTTCTACTCACTGGATTGTTTCTATCAGAATATAAACATCATTACACTATTCTTAAGAAAAAAATCTAAAAAGCCTTTAACCCCACATCCCCACATAGCCGTCATCCCCTTTCTTGCATTTAAAATGCCCTAACTGGATCTACTTTTTCCCAAACCATTTGCTTTTAAACACACTCTGATTAGGCTTCCTGCCTCTACTATCCTTCCAAAGCTAGTCTCATCATGGTCTCCAATTCTTTATTTTTTCAAATCCAGTGGCCAATTCTCAATCCTCATCCTCCTGACCTAGCAGCATCATTTCACATGATTGGTTACTCTCTCCTTTTTGAAACTCTTCTTCCTTTGGCCTTTCTCTTTTCTCTCTCTTTTTTTCTACCTTACTCTTTTATTTTTTCTCCGTTTCCTTTGCCAAATTCTTCTGATCTTCCAGATTTCTAAATGTTATACAGCCACAAAACTCAGATTTTAAAATCTCTATCATTTTGCCTGTATGCACTAACTAGCTAATCTAAACCAGTCCATGATGTTAAGTACCCTTTGAATGCTAATAAACTCTGGACTTATAATATTAAACTACAATACTACATCTCCATTTGTATGTAAAATAGACATCTCAAATGTATGTAAAACTGTTTAACAACCTGCTAATTTAGACAAAGTGCTTATTCCCAATCTTTGTCTTAGTAAATATTCAATCCTTTGAGTTCCTTTGGGGATAACAATTTCTTTTAAAGTAAAAAAAAAGTTATCTCATGCTTGACTCCTCCCTTATACCCCAAATCCTATCCATCAGCGAATCAATACTTTGAAAATACGTAAAGAATTCATGGTTAATGTTGAATAAGACAGAAAACTGGGACATAGGATACCAGGAAGAAGACCCTGGACCAGGAAGTAGCTGAATGTGGGTCTGAATGGAGACAGAGAGGACTGAGAGATGTTTTATAACATTCCAATCCCAGTCTGAGCCTCCACAGAAGTCTCCACAGGAAGGCACTTGAGGTGGAGGAAGTAGAAGTGGTAAAAGATGGGAGAGCAAGAGTTCCCAGGGATCCCGAGCTCCTTAGAGAAGTCTCAAGAATCTTCTCTGTGTGAGGCTGTGACGTCAGCACTGAGGTCACAGAAGGGACCTGATAGTGCGGGTTCTGGCCCAGAAGGCCTCAGGGGTGGCTGTGTAGCAAGATGAGGGAGGTTTGGAGCCCTGCATAAAGAGAAGGACGGGACCACAGCTGACTGGTATGTACACCCCAGCTGGGCCCTTCCTTCTACCTTTGTCCCTGTATTCATCAACTACAGACCTCTTTCCCAGGGCCCTGCATTTCCCTCCCCTGATTCCAACATATCTCAATCCCGCAATCTTCCTAAAGCATCCTGCCCCAGAAACCTCATGGCCCCTTTCATGTAGACCCTGCAGATTTCCCTATCCTGATATTCAAGACCCTTTTCATACTCACCCTTCCTACTTTTGCCATTGCCTGAAAGGATGATCTTGGTCTCCAATCCCCATGCCCCTAGCTGTGTCCCCACAGATCTGGGCCTCCTGCTGCCACCATGGCCAAAGGTGGAGAAGCCCTGCCACAGGGCAGCCCAGCACCAGTCCAGGATCCCCACCTCATCAAGGTGACAGTGAAGACGCCCAAAGACAAGGAGGATTTCTCAGTTACAGACACATGCACTATCCAGCAGCTGAAGGAAGAGATATCTCAGCGCTTTAAGGCCCACCCCGATCAGCTTGTTCTAATCTTTGCTGGCAAAATCCTCAAGGATCCTGACTCACTGGCACAGTGTGGAGTGCGAGATGGCCTCACTGTCCACCTGGTCATCAAGAGGCAGCACCGTGCCATGGGCAATGAGTGCCCAGCTGCCTCTGTCCCTACCCAGGGCCCAAGTCCTGGATCACTCCCTCAGCCAAGCTCCATTTACCCAGCAGATGGGCCCCCTGCCTTTAGCTTAGGTCTCCTCACAGGCCTCAGTAGGCTGGGCTTGGCCTATCGTGGCTTCCCTGACCAGCCAAGCTCCCTGATGCGGCAGCATGTGTCTGTGCCTGAGTTTGTGACTCAGCTCATTGATGACCCCTTCATCCCGGGTCTGCTGTCCAACACAGGCCTAGTACGCCAGCTGGTTCTTGACAACCCCCATATGCAGCAGCTGATCCAGCACAACCCTGAGATTGGGCATATTCTTAACAACCCGGAAATTATGCGGCAGACACTGGAGTTTTTACGTAACCCTGCCATGATGCAGGAGATGATACGTAGCCAGGACCGGGTGCTCAGTAACTTGGAGAGCATTCCTGGTGGCTACAATGTGCTTTGCACTATGTACACAGATATTATGGACCCAATGCTTAACGCAGTCCAGGAGCAGTTTGGCGGCAATCCCTTTGCCACTGCCACTACTGATAATGCCACCACCACCACCAGCCAACCTTCAAGGATGGAGAATTGTGACCCTCTCCCCAACCCCTGGACTTCCACACATGGAGGCTCAGGTAGCAGGCAAGGAAGGCAGGATGGGGATCAGGATGCACCTGACATTAGAAATAGGTTTCCAAACTTTCTGGGTATTATAAGGCTCTATGACTATCTCCAGCAATTACACGAGAACCCCCAGTCCCTAGGAACTTATCTACAGGGGACTGCATCTGCCCTCAGCCAAAGCCAGGAACCACCACCATCAGTAAACAGAGTTCCCCCATCGTCACCCTCATCTCAGGAGCCTGGGTCAGGCCAGCCTCTCCCCGAGGAGTCAGTAGCAATCAAGGGAAGGTCCTCCTGCCCAGCTTTCCTGAGATACCCCACAGAGAACAGTACTGGACAAGGTGGAGACCAAGATGGTGCAGGGAAAAGCTCTACTGGACATAGCACAAACTTGCCTGATCTTGTCTCGGGGCTGGGAGATTCTGCCAACAGGGTTCCATTTGCTCCCTTATCTTTTTCCCCCACGGCAGCCATTCCTGGAATCCCTGAGCCTCCCTGGCTGCCATCCCCGGCTTATCCAAGATCTCTGAGGCCAGATGGCATGAATCCAGCTCCACAGTTACAGGATGAGATACAACCACAGCTGCCACTGCTGATGCACCTTCAGGCAGCCATGGCAAACCCCCGTGCCCTGCAAGCCCTGCGGCAGATTGAGCAGGGTCTACAGGTCCTAGCTACTGAAGCACCTCGCCTCCTACTCTGGTTCATGCCTTGCCTAGCAGGGACGGGTAGTGTGGCAGGAGGTATAGAGTCTAGAGAAGATCCCCTTATGTCTGAGGATCCTCTCCCAAATCCACCTCCTGAGGTGTTCCCAGCACTGGACTCTGCAGAGCTGGGCTTCCTTTCCCCTCCCTTTCTCCATATGCTGCAAGATTTAGTTAGTACAAATCCCCAGCAGCTGCAGCCTGAGGCTCACTTTCAGGTGCAGCTGGAGCAACTGCGGTCCATGGGCTTTCTGAATCGTGAAGCCAATCTTCAGGCCCTCATTGCTACGGGGGGCGACGTGGATGCTGCTGTGGAGAAGCTGAGACAGTCGTAGGAGCCTTATTCATTCAAACCATACGTTTTCCTCTGTGCCTTTTTCCCATATCCTAGTTCCCTAGCTCTCCCATTTTTGAATACAGCTGCATTATAAACCAAATTTACTATGAAGTCCTTTGCTGTGGAGGCAATGTTGTTCCAGAGTCAACGAGGAAGACTAATGGCCAAAACATAGTGGAGGTGCTGTGTGTGAGTCAACCACTTGTACCACTATACCACTGGGGGGCCCCAGTCTAAGCTCTGCTTATGCCTATCTTGAGATGCAATTACACCCAATTTCCAATGTGAACTCTTGCCTGAGTCTCATTCATGTGGGCTATGAGAAAAAGGATGGATATGGGAGAAGAAGTAGTGATAAGGGCTGTCTCTACATGGATGGAAGGACTTGGAGGGAAACTAAAAGGTCTGAAGTTAGAAGACTCACAGGTATGAAGAACAGAGGAGGAAATGTTGCTGCAACCTTTTGAAGGTCGAGGCCTGCAACTTTCCCAGTGTTCTTTCAGCGTTTCTTCAGATTTTGTGTCCTGTAGTAGCTGCTACCAGGTGCTCTGGTTTTCCGAGCTCCCTACCACTAGCCTGACTGAAAAGTGGTTATAGTTTCTTATTTTTATCTCCCCTGAAGACTATCCCCCAAGCAGCTTGCACTTCCAGGATTTGATGCTGATCTCTAAGCAGATAGAGATAGAGCAGCAAAGGAGTCAGGGTGACTTCTCAGATTCCTGAATCTTACCGACTTTATACAGTCCCTTGTAGCCAGATCCAGAGAGTTAATTTTTTGCAACTTCAAGCTCAAAACTGAAGACATACTTTGTGTATAGCATTTTGCTAGCTATTAGGAATTCAATATGAGCAAAAGAGTTTTACTCACTGCCCTGCCTCAATGAATTTATGATCTTATAGCAAGAATTGTGCAAATTGTGACTATATAATTCACATTATATATAATTACAAACTATGAGAAATGGTGTAAAGAAAAAGATGAGGAGCTGTGAAATAGCATGAACAGGGTCTTGATCTAGTCTGGGGAGAAAGGAAAGGCTTCTGTGAGTGTGTACTGCAAACTAGAATCCAAAAAGTGGTAAGAATTAAGTAGGTAAAGCTTTCAAGGCGGAGGGAAGAGCTTTCCTGCAGAAGAGCTATTATGTACAAAGGCACTGAGGTAGGAGGTGCATAACACATAGAAGATGCCCTTGGGATCTCAGACTAGATCCTTGTTTGCATTCAAGGATGCCTTCCATTAACCATGTACTTCTAGGGTAAAAGTGTTGCAATTCATAAATCAAGCCAGTAAATAATGCTTTCCAGTCCATATGCACACAAATGTGTCAGGTAAACCCACTGTAGAGAAACGCACAAACACACAATACACATCCACTTAAATATGTCTTCACATGGGTATATTCTATGTACATATGTACAAGCATACATACAAAACACAGTCTGTTAAATCAGAGTTTCATCGCAAAATGGAAGTGTAAACCTAAGAAACATTCACAGTATTTTCCTATCAAGGAAGTAAAGAGGTCTTGATGGGGGATACCTAAAAGTGGCTGTGGTGTGTGTTTAGATGTCAGAGACTCAGTACTGGGAGAGAGGGAACCTCTACTTGGAGCTCAGGATATTTTGATCAGCCTGTGTAACTTAGAGCTGCTAGCACACGGTTTAAAGGAGATAAAAGCAGCCTTTGGGAAAACATTTATTCTAGCGATTTAGGTTTCAATGTTTAGGTGGAGCACAAGGTTCCTGATATGATTTGGCTCTGTGGCCCCACCCAAATCTCATCTTGTAGCTCCCATAATTCCCACCTGTTGTGGGAGGGACCTGGTGTGAGATGATTGAATCATGGGGGTGGGTCTTTCCCATGCTGTTCTCGTGACAGTGAATGGGTCTCACGAGATCTGATGGTTTTAAAAACCGGAGTTGCTCTACACAAGCTCTCTTTTTGCCTGCTGCCATTCCAGTAGGATGTGACTTGCTTCTCCTGGCCATGGTTGTGAGGCCTCCCCAGCTATGTGGAACTGTAAGTCCGGTAAACCTCTTTCTTTTATAAATTGCCCAGTCTCGGGTATATCTTCATTAGCAGCGTGAAAACGGACAAATACAGCTTCAGTTTCCCCTCACTCCACTCCCCATTAGGGGATAGTTTTTGTCCAGATTAAAGAAAAACCTATTGTTTATGGTGGTGCTAGGGGAAATGAAGAGGAAAGTCTTGCCTCTCCATTTTCTTCCGTTCATGAGGTGAGTTCTCTGGGTCTGCCTCTGACTGGGGAAGATATACATTGAACCCCAAATTTCCATCCTTGGAAGTCCAGATAGGTCTGAGGAAAAAAACAAAAAACCTAATAGCAATGTTACTGCATTTATCTGCCTTCCATTTGAGCCAAAGAAAACCTGAGGGTCATATGAAGTGAAGTCCTGTTAATTGGAAGGCCAGGTGGGTCTGAGGAAAAAAGCAAAAACAAAACAAAACAAAAAAACACCTAATGGGAAGAAATGTTACTGTTTTTATCTGCCTTTCATCTGGGCCAAAGAAAACCTGAGGCTCCTTTGAAGTTAAGCCCTGCTCATCAGGGAAGACACCAGGTGAATTGGGTCTAAAAGTCTTAGCTAGGGAGAAGAGTGTTCATTTAGTGGATAATTCTCTTGCCATAACCTCTTAGAGCTCTTCACAATTGACTGGGTGCTTGGAATCCTTGCTCTAGCTTCATTAAAGAGTAAACTCATCAGCCTCATGCCTGGCTCCAAGGTGGTGAATCCAGGAGGAGGAGGCTTCTGGGGCAGGGAGGGTCACTGTCTTCTACCTAGCAGCTAAGGTAGGGCCTGGTACGTGGAAAGTGTGCAATCAGTGATTGAAGGAGTGTTAAACAATGAGTGACTAAGTTAGAAAACAAATGAGGAAGTGACTGGGGACACTGGATAGATACAAATCAAATTAAAGATGTCACAGGACCAAAGCTTGTGCTTGGGAAAATAAAGGCTATGAGAATTTTAGGGGGAGGAGGTCCCTGCAGGCTGATGTTGCTGAAAGAGCAGGCCTCCTAGGACTTCCCATCTGCTGTCCCTGTTCTTACACTCTATCAGCCATGGCCCAAGATCAAATCTGAGTTGTGGAAGGACATGACAAGGGGGTTACACAGGTGGCGAAGAGAAGATAGAGTCACAGAGTTTTGGTCATGCTGGGCCTACTGCATGGCCCTTTCCAAAGAAATTGTACTCTTTCTTCAGACCAAGAGATTTGCTAGAAAGCAGAAAAACAAGCCGTGTTAAAGTCTGCAATACTGAGAGCTGATGTGGATAACAATTAGCTAGGAAAGTAGACGGCAGTTAAGGAGAAAGTTATCCAAACCATAAAAAGTGCTTTTAAGCATCAGTGTTATTTCTTTTTTTTCTTTAAAAAAACAAAACTAATATCTTCATCATAAACACATGCCCATATTTTTTTTCTATATGTTTTAGGGCTTCATTACTTGTATTTATTTAATATTAATTTTAGCTAACACTTATTGAGGCTTTACTATATGTCAGGCTCTGTTCCAAGCTTTTACCATCGGATTCCACACAATAGTCCTTTAGCGCAGATATTAGTAGTATCCCTAGTTTATGGATGAGGGCAGCTGAGGCAAATGAAGAGGGGAAGTACATCACTTAAAGCTATAAAGCACTTCATATTACAGCCAGGATTAGACAGTCTAATTCCAGAGCCCATACTCTTAATCACTGCAATAAATCAAGTTAATTTAATTTATGCTTTAATCCTTACCCCTCAAAAAGTAGAGCAGGGCAGAATTTGTGATATTGAAATTTTTACCCCCGAGTCCTGCGAGTATCTACACTAGACTGAAATGTCGTCATTACCATAGCCTACATATGCATAGATGTTTTTGTTTCTTTGCTTTTTATTTTATCTAATACTACACTTCCTCAATTATTTTAACTTTGAAATATTTAATGACAAAAAGAATAATGCCTGACATTGCAAGATACCATTGGCTAATTTTGTCTATTTTTCCAAGTACACTTTATAGCAGATGTCAAATTTCAGAAAAGGCCAAATGAGATTTTGATTGGCTTTTTATTATAAATTGGAACATGTTGAGGAATTTGCAATAGGCAGTCTTTCCTTTTAAAATAGGGAATATTTCTATTTAAACTTTATTTCTTTGTAAAAAAAAGTGTAGTTTCTTCAAATAAGCTTTACGCATTTGGGTTTATTTACACGTGACATTTTTTGATTGTTATTTTGAATGACAGTTTTTTTCATTATATTTTCTGGGTGAATTAGACTGTGATGAAACTGTGCTATTACCAGTTGCTGTGTTATTACTTCAGATCTTTGTTAATAGATGCTCATGCAATCGAGTGTATGCATCTTTGATAAATAGTTGCAAAGCCTCTACTCTTCTAATAATTTGTATGTATGTAAGTTGTACATAAGATAGGTAAAATAAGAATATAGAAAAATTCACTACACAGATAGCACTACCAATACTATGATGTTTGTACTTTTATATATTTTAATACAACTATGATTGTACTGTGCATAGTTTCATAACCTACCTTTTTAACTTGGTAATATATCATGAATTTTTCCAAGTTATTACCCTTTGACACTCACAGTTCAATAAATATTTCCTGCACATATTGTATGTAAGAAATGATGTTTGGTGCTAGGAATACAATGGCGAACAAGATTAGATATGTTTCCTACCCTAAGGAGTTTAAAATATAGTGGCAATGACATATTTCAGTTAACTCTTAAAGAGATCTCACGGAAAACTAGGCACTGTTCTATAGCCTTTGCATATATTCATTTATTTCTTACAGAAACCCTGTAAGGTAGGCTCTATAATTACACCTATTTTTACAGGTAAGTAAACTAAGGCATAAGAAGGTAAAGTGTCTAGTCCAAGATTAGGTAGCATGTGAAGGAATGGTTGAGCTGGAGTTGGAATTTGAACCGGTCTTTCTAGAGACCACATTCTTCTCTCACTTCTATTACACAAATGATTATTGGTTTATAATTACAACAAATTTCATGCAGGAAATTGCTAGTGCATATGGCAGGAGGAGGGATGTATTTTTAGAATGATAGAATCTCTGTGGAGGAAGTATTTATACAGAGATTTGAAAGGTGAAAGGAAGCCAGACATTCAAAGAGCTAGGGGAAAAATGTCTCATGCAAAGGAGAAAGGATAAAAGAGAATCCTGATTTTGACTGGAGCTCGATACATTCATGGAAAAATTTAAACAAGGCCAGTGGGTCTGGAGTACAGAGAATGAGAGGGAGAGTGCTTCAAGGTGATGTGGGAAAGACAGGTGAGTGCAAGGTCAGGAAGGCTTTGTCACCCATGTAGAGACATTGATTCTCAACTTACACAGAGAATGAATGAGAGAGTGACAAGCGGAGAAGCAGAGCCAATCTGAAGACCCCTGTAGTCATTCAAGTGAGAGATGGTACTGGCTTAGAATAGGGTTCCTGACGTGTGTATGACAAGAAGTGGACAAATGAGAACATATTTTGGAGATAGAATTTACAAAGCTTTCTGATGAGATTAAATGTGCAAGATTAAAGAAAGGGAGAAATTCACTCACAGGTGGGAGTTGAACAATGAGAACACATGGACACAGGGCGGGGAACATCACACACCGGGCCTGTCGGGGGTTGGGGGCGCTGGGGGAGGGATAGCAGTAGAAGAAATACCTAATGTAAATGACCAGTTCATGGGTGCAGCAAACCAACATGGAACATGTATACCTATGTAACAAACCTGCACGTTGTGCACATGTACCCTAGAACTTAAAGTATAATAATAAACAGGGAGAAATTAATAAGCAAAGAAGAAAATATCACACAATGGTAAATTCTGTGCATATAATCAAAATATAGTGATAGGATAGTGAATTAGTGAGAACGTGATCTGAATAATTAAAAGGGACAATCTTGTTATAAAGTCTTAGGAAACAGCTACTGTGGCAGCTTTAAGGGTAAGTTGGGCGCTTGGTGTGTTCTAGAAGGAGAAGAGAAGCCAGTGTGGTCAAGCTTCTTAGACAAGAGGAAAATTATCAGCAAGAGGAAGTCAAGGAAACAGGCAGGAGTGCAACTATGGGAGGCTTTAGAGCTAGTCAAGGAACTTGGATTTTATCCTGAGTATAATAAGAAGGTAACTTTTGCTACTCCCATCAGGATTTTATTTGATTTATTTAAATAAACTTTTAAGACTATCGTAAGCCACATTTAGCCCGAATCTACTCGAAGGACACAGGAAACAAAGCAAAAATCACCAGTAGGGCAGAATCAGGCATTCCTCTTTTGGTGGGAGTTCTTATTGTAGCCCAGGCATAGGTTAGTATAGCCACCCAGAAGTCATTTTCTCCCAGGTGTAAGGAGTCAAAATCTGTATCAGGCAAGTCAGAGAGAGGCTGCAGGTTAAGTCCTGGTGCCCCATAGTAGCTAACAGGCTTTTCAGCCCTCCATACACCTATGTTCTAGACTCTGCAAGAAATGCCTTATTATAATTTCCCCAAACTCAGGGCTGCCCAAACTATGGAATCTCCAACAGGTATTTATGATTCATTATAACTTCTTCCCATTCAGACAAGTTTGCCAATCAAGGGTCATTTCTATCACAGGCAATGCTGCCTAGTGTCAACCTAAAATAATGGCAGAGAGACAAGCTTCCCAAATAAATTACTTTGTTCAGGAATAAACAGGACTATAACCTGGGATATGCATGCTATGACAGATCATAGGCATATTCAGGGAGGTGGAGGCAAGGGAAACTTTTAAAGGCAAAAAGGAGAAGTATATGAAGGTCGTTTTGAAACAAAAGTTCATTGGTCATAGGGGCTTCCCACAGTTGGTGACATGTGCACTGACCATAGTTAGGAGTGGGTCTTCATAGAAGTGACATGACTACAGGGTTGTGGTTTAGTAAAGCTACTTGCAAGGCCGCAATTAGGACTATTACTGGAAAGATGTCCTCGTCGAAGCGGCTTAATTGCAAGGTGTGGTTTTGGCAGAGTCTCTTATGACAGTTCTTGTTATCAGGCAAATATACATGAGGACCCTCCTTTTATGAAGGTCCCAAACTAAATGGATCTTCTGGCTCCATTTAGTTTGATTTTGACATGAATGACTCCATTTTGGTACCGACAGTTTTCACACTAGCAATATAATTGGTATTTTACAGTTGTCTGTTTTTCAGGGAAACAGAGCCAGTAAGTTTAACTGAAAATCAGATTCTCATGCAACAGAGGAGTTTTGTTAATCCTTTTACTTATATACTTCAGATCACATAGGGCACTATGGTCTGAGATAGATATTAGTGAGCATGGTGATTTAGAACGGTTTCAAGTAGCTTTCAGTTGGGTTTACTACTGCAAGAGCAAAGAAGCAGGGCAAAAGTTATGTGAAATTAAATACACAGAAGAGTAGGTGGGCGTAGATCCCCATTGCTTCCATAATTCTCACAAAGGTGCACATAATTTGGTCACTGTGTCCTTTGCAAAATGGTCTAGCAGGTCAAAGGGCCGGGATTGTGAGCTCACTGTCTCTTATACCCCTAGGCTAGGCAGGGATCACATCAGCACTCTAGAGCCTATTTGCCAAAATAAAAGGCAATTCTTTGCAGAGTAGATTACATATTCCATGTTCTCATTACTGTATTATCAGGACCACGGGAGTCCTAGTCACAGATGGGAATTTAATTAAGATAGTGAAATGAACTCATTTCCCTTGGCTGTTAAGTTGGCAGTGGGTGGTGAGGGCAAGAGTGGAAGCTGACAAGCTAGTACTTGGATCTGCAGAAGTCCAGGGAAGAGATTGTTTAGACTTGTGTCATAACAGTACTGATAGGGTGATAGATTCAGGACATATTTTTAAGGCTTGGTAGAAAGGGCTTGCTGATGGAATTAACATGGGACAGAAGGCTTTTTGACTTGTGCAGTTAAGAGGATAGTGGCCTTTAAGAAGGAGAATAACTGGAGGAAGACGCTTTTCAGAGGAATATAAAAAATACTGTTTTGACCCTGCTAGTTGAGGTCCCTGTTAGACTTCAAGTGGAGATGACAAGTTTAAGTTCTGGGCATATTCAGAGGAATATAAAAAATACTGGATTATTTGTCTAACCCAGTGATGTAGAGTTGCTGTTCCTAAGTATCTGTGGGTGTTGCTGAAAGCCATGAATGGTATCATCCAGGTCTACTGTGCAGACAGAAACAAGAGTGGGGCCCAGAGCTGATCCAAATTTATAAATCCTGTTTTCATAAATTCACAGAGATAGAATTATTCACAGAAATAGGTCAAAGAGTAACCAAAGGCTTGAGCTTAACAATTTAAATGCTATTTTGAATGGCTGTACTATCATATCTCCACATTAAAACAGGATAGGGAGGCACTGGGGCCAATTTTTCATAGACATCATTTAAGAAAACCTAGGTCAGAAGGTCAAGCAGTTGAACTTTGTGCCCTGTCATCCCCTAATTTCCCTGTCAACTTGAACTTCATTCTAGAAGTTCAGTCCCTGCCTTTGCAGCCTTGTACTTTCTTGGAAAGTTTTATGTTCAAATGTGTCCCATGTCGGAATAATAGCTCCCTGACCTGTGGGACAATCTATGATTAATGCATCCCAGGAGAGTACATGCCCTTCATCTGGCCTCCAGCCCTTATTGAATGGGGGTAAGATTGAAAATTTATAAAGATAGGATAAGGCCTGTGGCAAAACAGAAACTCATTTAGAGGCTTATTGGTCAGACTGGAATTTAAAGAGGAGATTTTTCAGGAGGTCATCATGTTTGTCTATTAAATCTGTTACCTGGGACCTGTCAGGAACACGAAAGTTCTATTGAATGCCTTTCCCAAGGACCCAGCATGCATGGTGTATCTTAAGAAGTAAAGGGTGTATCTTGGTTACAATTAGTAATGTCTGTAACTCTGAAGGGAATGAGGGTTTTGGCAAGGCCTTGTATTGTGACCTTGGTATATAAGGAGACATACTGAAACTAATATCGTTTTGACTTACATTTTGGGTATATTCGTGAGCAAGAGATTCTAATATGTTGATTTTTTTTTACCTTGAAGAAGACAATTTGTAGGTAATGGCCCAATAATTTATAATACATATGAAGACAGGACCATTTGTTGGCCAGGGCATCCAGTGTTAAGGTGACTGCCTTAAGATTAAGATTAAGTGTGATGTTTCTTGGGTCCTGTCCTTTGTTAGGGACATCCTGGCTAATGGATGGAAAGCAGCAACATTCCACTAAGCTCTATCACCTGTCATGGTTAGCAGTGCCATTGGCATAGTCCAGGAACTACCACTGCTGTTCACTCAGCTAATCCCAAGGATCGCCAAAGATAGCTAAGGGGTTTAGGGAAGGGTGACCTCCTCCAGCACCATGGCATTTGGCAAGGAACTGAGAACAGGGGAAGCTACCTCTTCTGCTGGTGGAATATCCTATAGGGCTCAAGTTTGGTTCCATACTGTCTTAGGGAGGCCTCACTAGCTGTGCCAAGGTTGTGAAGGTTAGTTTTTAAAACCCAAAACATAATGGGCAGGTGGGAGTGGAAGACCACATGCTAAGAGTTTGTAAGAGCCCCTATTTCCTGGAGAGTCCAGTAGGTAACCAGTCATTAGTTGTTTCATGCCATTAATAAACGTGTCAAATGCATTTCCTTGGAAGAGGATACTATGAATGTGATGTCATACCTATGCTCCTGGAGAAAGGTGTGTATAGTTAAGAGCCTCTCTGCTAAGACTGTGTGTGATGGCAAAGCTGCTGAGAAACTCCATGGGTAGCTGGCAAAAGGTGTATTGAGTTCTTTTGAAGGTGGAGGCAAACGTGGTGAGAGATTGTTAAAATAGGAGTTTAGCCACCTGTAGTTGTCTTTATGTTCTGTCTTTGACTGACAAGAGAAAAAGGAAGGGACCCAGTGTCTCTAGGCAGCAACCTTAACCACAGGATACTCAGTCCTTCTACCCCTCAACTTGTTTTTTATTTTTAATCTCTGTTTTCTTTGAATGCTTACCTGAGGAGATCCTGGTAGTCCCAAGTGTTCTGATGGATACCCTCTCTAGAGTGTCCCAATCAACCTTAGAGAGCCTGGGGGTCTACATCACCAATAGTGGACTCAATTTTGTCTTTTAAATTATTTATTGTTTGACAATTTATTTATTTTGAGACGGAGTCTTGCTCTGTTGCCCAGGCTGGAGTGCAATGGAGCGATCTCAGCTCACTGCAACCTCTGCCTCCCAGGTGCAAGCGATTCTCCTGCCTCAGCCTCTGGAGTAGCTGGGATTACAGGCCTGCACTAATTTTTGTATTTTTAGTAGAGACGGGCTTTTACCATGTTGGTCAGGCTTTAAGGAAGAGATTATTAACATGTCAATATGTACCAGCACTTAAAAGTACTCAACGCATTTACCAGGTGAAGTGTAATTTACAATGAGCTGAGAAACATCTTCAAGTGTCTTAGGAGAAACAAGATCAAAGAATTCCTTCTCCTCTCTTTCCTTTCCTCTCTCTTTTTTTTTTTTTTTTTTTTTTTAAACATTGATTCACCATCTTCTGTGGATGGGATCTGTGATAGCCCATGGGGTTGGAGACCAATGAGCAATGGCTACAAGGATGCAGCAGAGAAGGTGCCACTGGTCCCAGCAGCATTGACTCTAATGAAGTGCTGTCTAGGACTATCCTCGGGAGGAGGACCATTTGACTCTTGGAGGGAGGAGAGTGAATTATCTTCTTCTCCCAAGTGCTATTGAGAGCAGGCAGCATCACGTACGTCTACTGCAGCCTACTGGCTCCCTCAGCTTTCCAGCTAGCATTCAGCAATATATACACCCATGACCCTATGATGGGGGAAACTCCACTTCTAGTGTCAGGGGATATTCCTCAAATTATAATCACTCAAAGGTGCACTGAAAAACAGCCAAGTCACATGGCCAATTCAAAAGAGGCTCCCCCTCTTGCTGGGATCAAGTTGGAATGCAGTATCCTGGAGTGTGTTATCGGGATTGGGACAGGATCTAGACTTTAGGAAGGGGATTCTTGGCAGTATTCAGAAGAGGTAATACAAAGCCATGCAAGGCAGTACACAAGAATGTCATCGGAGTAGAAAGGCCTCCAAAACAGTAGAGCCCTATGTAGTTAGGCAATTAAACCATGAGCGGTGAAAGGGCATCTCTGAGGGACATTTCACTGGAGTTTGGAATGATCGCATTTTTGTTGCCAATTCAAATCATTACAACAAGGCATGGAAATCACACTCAGAAATGCATAAGAGATAAAAATTTATAATCACAGTTTCTAGAGGGAACCAGAGGCATGCCATGCAAGGGGCCCTATGAGAAGAACTCCTAGGGAACAGGCTCCATCAAGCAGGAGAGCCAAGAGAGAATGTGAACCCATGGGCAGGTACCTCCATTGAGAGTCAACGTGGACTACACAAGCAAGAAGCATGAGGGGATTTTACTGGTACATTTGAATATCACTAGGTCACAATCAGGGAAGGCAAGAAGAGGAACTTGTGGCAGGAACCAGACTTATCACACCGGTGTACCTGGTAACTTGGTGAGGGGTGGGTTGCTCAGAGTCTGTTCATGGAGAGGTTAAGGTATCAGGAACATATGAAGTTAAAAAAAATTGCAATATGCCACCCTGCTACGCTGTATTTTGCTTACAAATTTTATGGAGAATAACTTTTCTATCTCTTCACTTTCAGCCTATGCGTGTCCTTAAAGCTAAAGTGAGTCTTTTGCAGGCGGTATATAGTTGGATCTTGTTTTATCCATTCAGTCACTCTATATGTTTTGATTGGAGAATGTAATCTATTTAATTTAAAGTGATTATTGATAGGCAAGGACTTACTATCATTATTTTGTTAATTGTTTTCTGACTGTGTTGTAGCTCCTGGTTCTTCCTCTCTTCTTGTTTTCCTTTTTGATTTGATGATTTCTTTTGTAGTGATATGCATTGATCTCTTTATTTTTGTCTTCTGTGTATCTACTACAGATTTTTAGTTTGTAATTACCATAAAGCTTGCATAAAACATGAGTCTATTTTAAGCTGATAACCTAAGTTAAATTGCATACAAAAACTCTACATTTACTTACTTCTCCTCACCTACACATTTTGTGTTACTAATGTCACAATTTATAACTTAATACACTGTGTATCCCTTAGCAAATTATCATATAGATATTTTTAAAATTTGTTTTTTTAACTTTTATACTAAGATTAAAAGTGAGTTACACATTACCATTACACCATTATTCTGATGTTGACTTTATACTTACCTTTACCAGTGAGTTTCATGCTTTCATACATTTTTATGTTGCTAATTATAGTCCTGTCATTTCAACTTGAAGAACTGTTTTCAGCATTTCTTGTATGGCTGGTCTAGTGGTGATGAACTCGTTCAGTGCATCCACTCTTGAATATTTTTCTCCACTGTAGTGCTAGAACCTCTCATCTGGACTCCAGGGCTCCCACAAAGGTATTCTTGTTTATGGGTAGTTGGCAAAATTGGTGTTTCTCTAGGGGGATAGCAGCTGGAAACTTCTACTTCATTATGTTGCTAATGTCCCTTCTGACAGAAGGTTTTTCTGGATACCATACTTTCTCCAGTGGTATGTTTGGAGTTGTCCATATCACCTGCTGTTAAAAATGTCCCTGAACCTTTGGTCAGCCCTGACAGACCTATCTGTTCTCTGTTTCTCAATCCAGTTACCAACCTGACCACAAGATGTACCAAAGATTTTTTGTATTGAAATAATAATATTTAATAAACATCTGCTCTGTGCCAAGCATTTTGGCCTATACTTTATAGGAATAAACTCCTTAATCTTCAAAATAAATCTTTGAGAAAATATCATTTCATACATGATGAAACACAGTCTTAAAAAGGGAAAATGACTTGTTGAAGGTTATGAAGTGATGGCAGCGGGATTTAAACCAGGCTTGTTTCACTCCAGAAAGTCCAGAATCCTTTTTTATATTCCTTAAATAGTTTATTGGCAAGTTGATTATTGTTACTTTATTTTATAACTCTAAAAGGAATATATACACGACGTAAAATATTCAGAAGATGTCAGCTCCTCCAGAAAGATAAAGTATGGTTCCTGTGCTGAATGAAGAACTCAGTGGGTAATGTGGACGGAGCTCCTGCCTTAAGAGAGACAAGTATGTAAGTGGACTGGGAAAGGCCGTCATGTGATGCTTGGGAAGGAGACATTCAGGTACTGACAATAAAGTCCACAGAGGAAGAGACAAAGAAATGGTTCACCTCAAAGTCTATGAGGGGGAAAATAATGCCTGGAACCATGAGACATGCAAACGTGGTTCTGAATAATTGTTACCTGGAATAATGTTATTTCTTGCCACACATTAATGCATTTGCTAAAACAAAGCCAGAAACTTTAATTTGGATATCTGATTCCACTGGGGATGACCCAATGGGAATTTTCAGATGAATTGGTTTTGCTAGCAATACTTGTATGGTAGAAGTTATGCTGAGTCTGGCTGGCTGACAGCCAGCTATGAGGCTCAGTCTGTGAAGTATCCGCTGGCTGGGAAGTTCTTTCAAACTCAGAAATTACAAAGTATCAAGTCTTAATATTGGTTGTATCCTAGATATACTGGTTAAAACAAATTACAATGTAAAAATATATATGAATATATGATAAACAAGGTAATTGCAGAGGGATCTAAATGTTCATGTCACTTATGTCTAACATCATCTTCTGGAGGTGTCATTCTAGGCAGCCAAATCCTAATTTTTTAGTCATTGAAAATTCTAGAATCAGAAAAGTTAAGTATATGGTAGCAATTAATGGTTTAAACCTAAGATAGTCTGATGCATCCACCACCATAAAAATAATTGCTGCAGAGATATGACTTTACCCTAGGGCTCCTCTGGCCTGGAGTGGTCAACACAGTTCTTTGGAGACTTACTATTTTCTGCTTTTACAGTTGAAATATATTTTCTCCTAAGTGACAAGTTTCCTTGTCAGGTATATTAATACCTTAAATCTAATAGTTGTTAAGTTTAACCGACCTAGACTCAAACTGTTACCTTCTTATGATTTCTCATGTCTCAGCTCTGATTCTCGGAGTTGAGATAATTCTTTATTTATCTGAGAGAAACTTTATAAGTTCTTGGGGAAAATAATGTCTTTTTAGAATGGTATAGATAGATTTCTCAAACTTGAGAGGGGAACATGATGATGACTTTTTAGAAAAAGGCAGATCGATTTCTCAACCTTGATATGGGGAACATGATGATGTCTCTTTAGAATCAGGTAGATCGATTTCTCAAGCTTGAGGTCTCAGAAGTGCAAGCTGCCTTCAGACCCCAGTGAGATGGGGTGGACTAATTATACATATCTTCATTCTGTTCCTATATGAACAAGGACTCGAGGCCTTGGCTGGGCCATGGCCAGTGTACAGCAATTTAGTGGAAGATAGGTGACTGAAATCAATATTTCCTAAGCTAGCTCTTAGGATCAATGTCTTTTCCATTCAGCCATATTCCTTTATCAAACTCAAACGGTAGGATTTTTCAACGGTGGATCAGACTGATGTTAAACATGTTTCCAGATAAAGACATTAATTTTGTTTCTGTTGCTGTTTAAAGCAAATAACAAAGAGAGTCTGGCTGGGTGTGGTGGCTCATGCCTGTAATCTCAGCACTTTGGGAGGCTGAGGTGGGTGGATCACTTGAGGTCAGGAGTTCGAGATCAGCCTGGTCAACATGGTGAAACTCTGTCTCTACCAAAAATACAAAAATTAGCCATGTAGTGGGATGCACCTGTAATCCCAGTTACTCAGGAAGCTGAGGCAGGAGAATGGCTTGAACCTGGGAGGCAGAGGTTGCAGTAAGTCGAGATTGTGCCACTGTACTCCCGCCTGATTAACAAAGATGTAGGAACCAGAGCTCTTGGATTCCAGAGTTGGTAATCTTGGCTCTATGCTGCTCTGTAGTCAGAATCAATCAATTCCCTTGGAACAGGTGAACAGAAAGTGTGTCTTGTCTTGCCTTTACACAGAGAAAGGGACCAATTAAGTTCCAACTCTTTGGGAATTTAGAGTCTCAGAGAGAAAAATTAAGAGAATAATCTAAATCACAATGAAGAAATTATCTATTAATATATTTATAATAAGAGCAAATTGAGTGTCTCTCTGCTGCTGAGAACCATTGTTAGCACATCACAATAAAGTCAAATAACATGGAGTGAGATGGAAGAAAGAGAAAACAGGGTGAGTTTCTTCAGAGCTCAGAGGGAAGAATTTATTTTTTGTTTTTTTGAATTCTACATATACAAGAAAATGTGTGTGAGTGAGTGTGTGTGTGTGTTTATTTTGTGAGAGAGACAGACTTGGTGGGGTGAGGTGAATTCTGGTTCTGGAGATGTGCTATGGAATTGGGGAGAACTTGGCAGGGTAGTTCTTCAGGGCCTTACCAGTGCTGAATTACTTAAAATTGAATTAAGAGAGTCTCCCTCAGCACAAATTGAAACAGCTAGACTTGGGGATAAAGGAACAAATTTACCTAATAGGTCAAGATTCTGAGGTTAAGTCTTCTTTGCAATTTGGCAGTTGCACTGATTTATGTGCCAAACTGTGAACTCATTTCTCAAAGTGGTCCAGGAGAAGGACTGTTTAAGGCTCTAGCAGGATCAGGTTCATGCAGCAGTCTAAATGATTTGCACATGCTCTAGGGCTGGTGACATCTATCTATACTCAAAAGCTGAATTTCTTTTTAGTGCATAGGTAAAACCATATTTCATGCCTTTTTAGGGAAAGATGATGCTGTACACTGGGATTGGTAATCAGGGAAGTTTCACTTTGGGAAATTCTGCCTTTCTGTGTTAGTCATTTGCATTGCTTTACTTCAAACTTCAGTAACAATTGATTGAGATTGATCCATCACTATTTCAGTGGAGCCTGACTTATTTGTAAGGGCTGCCCGTGTCTTCTTATCTGGGCCTGGCTTTTGAGGCCCCCTCGAAATGTAATCACCCCCAGCTTCCTCAAGCTCTTTCAGTAATCCTCTTTGCTGTCTCCTTCCTGCACCATTGCCTGGTACCTCCTCCTCTTCCAATCTGTTCCACCCCTCTGATCATTCTCCTCTGAGCTTCTCTGGGCCAAGACATGACTGTCCCTGACCTGTGACAGCTCCTTGTGCATGAATTTACCTCCACAACTGAACTAGGAGCTCTCCATGGCCACAGCTGACACTTACCCTGTTGTCTTACCCATGAACTTGTGATACTTTTTCTTGTAATTGCTTTTCTAGGTAAAAATACTCTTCGTCATGATTCTTGTGGATGTGACTGTATCTGAACAGCCTCAGTGTAATATGAATAAACAAGAATCAAATTACTGAGTACCTACTGTGTGCCAGACACTGTGTAGACATATATTTTCATTACCCTACACATTAGCATAATGAAGACAGTATTTATTCATTAAATCAACTAAGACTATGATACATACCAGTATAATCTCTAACACTTTTCCCATAATATTTTGAGTGCTTATTAATTATGTGCAAGGCACAGATGAAATGCCTAGTCTGATGAAGTATTAAAATGGTTATCAATTCAAAAGCAAATAAATGAACACTGCAGATTAAGCCATGCAGCTATAAAATCTAGCATACCTTTATAAATTTAAAAATTATTAGCTGAATACTACCAACTGCCAGCAGTCAGAATTGAATGCTTGCTTTGTTCCTGAGATTATAATAAACACTTCACTAATGCTGAGGGCAGTAAAGTGGGATGCCCTAATTCTTGCAGCTAGTAGATAAGGAAGTCCATGGTCATCTGCACACAGATCTCATAATCTTCCCATAATAAAATACTGGACAGTGTATGAGATATTGTCAATAAATGCCATAACCTTAGGCTATTAGTCTCCCTGAATGACAGGCTTTTAATTTATAATGCAAATAACAACAATCATCTCTTTGAACAGTTGGAAGGAGATGGCTGGACTTATTTATTTCAGAACTGAGATTACTAAAGCATTATTATTAAAAAAGGAACTTGGATTTGGGGCTGGCTCCCCTGAATTCTTAATAAGGGATAACCTTATAACTAAAAGGAAAGAGACCTCAAAATGGATGAGTGTGGGAGGAGTGAAAGAATATACAGTTGTATTAAGTACCAGTCATATCTCTAGCACTTTAAAAATATTATAGAATTGTTATCACAATAACCCTGTGATGTGAGGTAATGTAAAAAAAGTTTTATATAAGTGTCTTTACTAGTAACGTTTAGAGAGGTTACATAACTTCCTCATTTTATATTCATTTATTGAGTACATGTTAGTCACTGTCTTAATTTTTCTAACTTATTTATTTCTCACTACAACATTCAAAGTTAGATGTTATTTTTATCCCCATTTAACAGTTGGCCAAACTGAGGCACAGAAACATTTCAAACATGCTCAAGGTCACAAGTAGAGGAGCCAGGATTCAAACGCAGGCACTCTGACTTTATACTTTGTGCTTTTAACCAATACGTCAATATTCAAAGTGGTGGAATTCAGACTCAAATTCATTCCAAACCTTTTCTTTGTTTTTCACTTGGAGTCACAGGAGAATATTCCTACTCTTAAATCCAGATGCCTCTGAAGACCAGGAATTGACTTTCTCCTTAGTAAGTCACAGACACTTTTAAGACAAGTGTGAGAATATTATCACCTTTCTGGGGTATTCAGAGTTCCCCAAGGAGCCTCAGGAAAATAGTATGTTCAGTGTGATAATTGATAGCTCTGATTCATCTGGCTATTCCTCTTCCTTCCAGAGCTTCCTGCCATGTCATACCATTCCTTTCACATCATCACTGTGTGTCCATGTAAATGTATCTAGACAGCCATCCTACACTTTTTTTTAAATCTCCAACTTCTGCTCAGCATTCATATTGAAGTCTTCCCCAGGTGAAGCAGTTTTAGAAGTCGACTCCGAATCTCCTTGGTTCTAGCTCCATAGAGAATAGGATTGAGTACAGGAGGCACCAGCACATAGAGATTAGCCAGAAAGATGTGCACATGCTTGGGGACTTCGTGGTGACCAAAGCGGTGGGTGAGGAAGGAGAAGAAGGCAGGGATGTAGAAAACCAGGATGATGCCAATGTGGGAGCCACAGGTACTCAGAGCTTTGTGCTGGGCATCATGAGATGGAAGATGAAAGACTGCATGGAGGATAAAGCCATAGGAAATGGCAATGAGAATGGAATCCAGTCCCATGGCCAGCAGAGCCACAGTTAGCCCATAGACAATATTGACAGTGATGTTGGCACAGGCCAGTCGGGCAATGCCCATATGCTCACAGTATGTGTGTGTCATGACACGGTGACCACAGTAGGGGAGTCGCCTCAGCAAGAAGATGAAGGGGGAGACAATAGCCACACTACGGAATAGCCCAACAAAGCCAATTCTGCCTATGACAGCATGGTTGAGAATGGTTGTGTACCTTAATGGGTTACAGATAGCCACATACCTATCAAAGGCCATGGCAAGTAGAATTGAGGACTCCAGAGCATAGATAGAATGGACACAAAACATCTGGGCCAGGCATCCACCAAAGGAAATCTCACCAGCATGGAGCCACAAAATGGCCAGCATCTTGGGCACAGTGGTAGAACTGAGAGCCAGGTCTGTGAGTGAGAGAAGGCAGAGGAAGAGGTACATAGGTGCATGAAGAGCATTGTCCATGGCAATGACCAGGATGAGGGCAGCATTTCCAACCAGTGCTACAAGATACATGGCACAGAAAGGGATGGCAATCCAGAAGTGGGCAGCCTCCAGCCCTGGGATCCCTGTTAAGAAGAAGGTGTCTGGAAGATGGTTATCACTGAGGTTGGAATCTGACATTCTTCCTGGCAAATGAAGGGCTCTTTCTGAATAGTATTGTTATGCTTGCCCTGTAACATCAGATATTTGGTTGATTTATGTAAAACAAAGATCTTTCTGTGAAATAATCTTTTTTAGACTAAAAAAATTTGTTTTTCACTTGTACAAACATCTGAAATGACTACCACATATAATTCATTTTAAAACCTTCTGCTAATTTCTATATTGAACAATGATGTTTTGAGTTCTATATCCAAAGCACCAAGCTAAGTATTTATTAGTCTTCTCAAACTGACCTTTCCAGACTTATCTCCCTCCATATCCTGCACATCATTTATTGACCTCTAGTCCATCCACATCATGGGATATTTCTTACCTCTCATTCATGCCTTTTCTCTTACCTAGGGAGTCTCATTCCTTTATTTTCCTCCTCTCTATTAAGTTTTAATACAAGTTTCCCTGCTTCCCAGAGGCCTTCCCTTTCTAAACTGGTCTTGGTAATCTCTAATTTTGTATTTTTCCTACTTCCACTATCTTACAAAATTCTGCTGGGTTAGAACTATGTCTTTATGCAACCGTAACCTCTACACTGCCCATGACTGTATTTGTACCTAGACATTTTGACAACTTCAATAAAGACTAAATTCTGATCATTCTTAGTAACATGGCATTGATGTTTTAAATTAATGATATAATGATGCATTAACTTTTTTTCTGCATTTGTTATGTGCCAAATATACACCAAATCACTTTTGTATATATATATCATCTGAAGTGCCTATGAAGAGGCTAGGCAACCTGAATATGCTTTCATATCATGATTGAATATATACAGCAATTTGAGCATTCACATGGGTATACCAGAAGGAAGTGTGAGGTAAATCAGATATGCTTGTTGAGGATACTGCACTCAACCATGACAAAGCCAGCGTATAGTCCTCCAATCCACCACTATAATGGCTGGCTGTGAGGTCAGATCAGAATGGCAAGTGCTATTAGAGACAGATATAAAAAGTGAGGTATTCTGGATTTACCACCCATAAAGGGACTGGAAGGGGATTCTGTTCTTGCTGTAGAGGGATAGCTAGTATTATACACATTGTCTCAGTAACATGTATCCCTAAAAGAATTCTGAGTAGAAATGCCAGGAAATCTGAATTTTAGCCCCGATTCTGTAACATTATTGATTTGTGACTTTGAACAAATCTCTTACTTATCTGGACAGTCTCAATTTAGAAAGGGCAATGAATGTAGTCATTCTCTGATTTTCTGTCTGCTCACTATGTGGCATTGAAAAAAATTCCAAAGCCTTTTTGTGGCTTAGTTTTTATCTTTAAATTGGGAATGACACCATCTGACCTAACTTCACAAAATTTTGTGGTTGACAAAAGATGACTATTCATGGAATTAAACATTTGTATACCCAGAATAATTCCCCTATTTTTTCCTAAAAAAATAAGATATTTATATTTTAACAACATATACTCTCGATAAAAGAGAGTACAGTTATCATTTACATCCCTAACCAATGAAAAGACCAATCCCAGAGAAGTGAACTGATATAATTTAGATCACGAGGCATTTTATTTGCAGAACTATGATTAGGTCTCATGTCCCTTGATTCAGAGTTTGGCGTTTTTGCCTCACCCTACTGTCCATTAATAAGTCCAATACTTGAATTCCTATCTCTTTCAAATGAGGCTAATATCTTTTTTGTCTAATATCAATTCCTAGTGCTGAAGTATCTTTACTCATTATCTTAGCTCCAAAGAGGTGGAATTAGGAAGTCCCCTTTATTTGCATTGAGATTTTTTTTTTTGTAAGAACAGGAGGCATCTTATTGATTCCTACCATAACAGAGCACCTAGGACTGTAATACAAAGAAACACGATTTTACTGCAGTAAAGATAACTGATGACCGATGGTGTTTAGGAAGTTATGAGACAAAAGATACAGAGCAAACAAAAAGTCATGGGCATCAGCCAGTGCAGGGCTGTGCTAGAGGTTCCTATCTAGCCCAGACACTTAGCTCATCTGCCTTCCTACCCTCTGCTTTGGTTTAAAATGCAGAGGAGAGACTGGAAACAATGATGAATGCAGGGGCGGGGATGCCCATTGTGTGCTCTGTAGATGTCTTAGGCAAACTTAGAAGCTAAAGAGCTGCTTGTGGCTGCTCAATCTCAGAAGTGAGTCAAGAAGTTTCCAGAGAAGCTCTCCCAAAGCAGAGTCTTACATTTTCGTGTCACATGCCCCCACATTTCTTCCCTCTCCTCCTCCTCAGGTCTCCAGTAACCCAACAGTATTTAGCGGCACATACCATGGACCAGTCACTGTGTGGAACTGGGGTAACAGCAATGAACAATCAGACAAAAATCCCTGCCGTGAAAGAGCTTAGATTTTAGCAAAGGCAGATAAATAGCAAACAAAATGCAGAAGTAAAATATATGTTAGATAATGATAAGGACTTTGAAAAAATAAAACAGAAAGAAAAAGAGGTAGTGGGAGTGGGGTAAATTCTAATTAGGGCATTGTATTAGTTTGCTAGGGCTGTCACCACAAAGCACCACAGACTGAGAGGTTTAATAACAGAAACATATTCTCTCACAGTTGTGGAGGCTGGAAGTCTGATATCGCGATGTTGGCAGGTTTGGTTCTTTGTGAGTCCTTTCTCCTTGCCTTGTAGATGACCCCCCTTTGTGTCTTCAGTTGGTCTTCCCTCTCTGCCTGTGCCCTCATCTCCCCTTGTTAAAAGGTCAACAGCCATATCGGATTAGGGCACATCCTAGTGACCACATTTTTTAAAAAAACTATCACATCTTTAAAGATCTTATCATTAAATACAGTCACATTCTGAGATGCTGAGGGTTAATTAAGACCTTGACATATGAATTTGGGGGTGTGGAGACCAACACAATTCAGCCTGTAACAGACATCCAGGGAAATCTTTGCTGGGAAGGTAGTATTTGAGCAAAGCCTTGAGTCAAAAGAGCTAGCCATGCAGATCTCAGAAGGAAGAACATTTCAGACAGGGGGACAGCAAGTGCAAAGGCTTTGAGACATAGGCCTGCCTGATGGGTTTGGAAGCAGCAAAGAGGCTTTTGTGCTGGAGGACTAGAAGTGGGGGTGCAAGGAGCATAGGCAAGATAGGCTAGATCCTTAGGCCACAGAAGGGACTTTGACTTTCACTCTGAGTTGGAGGGGGATCCTTAAGGGAGAAATCACATTGCTGGTGATCTGCAAGTTCAGGCTCAAATTCATTGCTCAGCCCAAGCAGAGTCCATCAGGTGCTTATGCTGACGGCACCAGGGATGCAAGGCTGAATAGCTGGAGAAACAATTAACACATTTTTTGTGGGAAAGATACATCTATTTCTAGAGCTCTCACTATTATAACTTCTGAACGTTGCCTCAATTCTTGATATTATTACTGTTAACCTTCTTTTTGATGCACTTAGAAAACGTGAGAGGAAGGTTATTTTTATGTCATATGTGCTTTGGTAAAATTTTGCAGGATTTGTGTACTGTGTATTCTTTTATCCTTTTTCTTTTGCTGGGCTAAGAGTGAAGGGGAGAACAGCAGAGATCTACCTTCCATCACCTTTGGTGGAGGGGTGCTATGATGGGAAATCTGCTTCTGACTTATTCTTTTGAAATCATAGTTAGGGTACCATATTCTTTGCAGGTTATGTAGATGATGTACTTTTCATTGCCAGAGAAAGAGTAGCCAATCTGTATAATGCCAGTTTGTCAAATCTGAAAGTGCTAAAATCAACCAAAACCTATAAAGCTATGAAGAATATTGATACTGTATAACATGTATTGGAGCATAAAAACTTTTTTAAAAGGCAGGTTTATTCTCACATTGCCCATAATAATATTTTGAAATAATACATATGTAATGTTTGTTTATTTAGCCAGAGGCAAGTTGGTACTGTGGTAATACCGTCGGGTTTGTTGTTCAAAGACAAGGGCCAAGGCCCAGGTTTGCTACTTCCTGGCTTTGTGTCCTTGGGCAGGTCATTTAACCTCTCCCATTGGTAAACCGAAGAAGACAAGTCCTCCTCTACTTCTGACAGAAGTATTGGGAAGATCAAGTGAACACATGTCTTTGTGGAGTACTATATAAAATTAGATATTATCATAATGCATTGCACTGATATTTTTTAGTGATGACACTAGATGGTTTTGGGCTCAGCATTGGCACTGACCTGTGTTAATAGGGGAAACAAGCTTGGACGACAGAGTCTAGAGAGCTGGAATCACTACCATCTTCTTTTCTCCTTTCTTTCTGGCCTATTCTTGCCCTCTAAGAAAGCTTTAAAATAACTGTTGTAAGGTAACTGCTACTCTGTGATTATCTAAGGATGTGTGGACCAGAAAGATTGAGGCAGGAGCAGGTCCCATTTATTTCCCTTTAGAAAACAGTGGGAAAACGATATTGAACTTGAGTATCATTTAGGTTCACAATACAGGCACCCTTCCTAACTTGTTGCAGGATCCTGTGTCTGGGTCCCCATCTTACACCTAGATGTCAGTAACTTAGCTGTGAGTTCATTGACTGAACATATTGCTGAGGAATCTGATTTCAAGAACTTACCTGCACAAGAGACATGAGTTTGCAGGTGGAGCATGCAGAAGTTGGACCTCGGTGTAAAGGTGTGTGTATGAGGGTGAAACTGTGTGGGAGAAAGAGTGTGGTGGTGCAGTGGCTTTGGCAGGAGGTGTGTGTCTGGATGCAAAGTTTTGTTTAGGGAAGTGAAGGCTGTGTTTCTCTGCAGGTTCAAGGGAGTATGGTATGAGAGAGTGGAGGGTCTGAATGTGTAATTCGTGTTGAAATGTCTTGTCCTTTCTCAGTTTTCTGGGCTAATGTCTTCAGTTCAGCTCTGTATTTCTGCCTCCTCTAGTCAAGGGGATTGGTAAACGGGGTTATTTATTGACTTTCTGTGATGTGCAGGTGGGAAAACCCAGGTGGCATCCCCTAAGGATTTGATCTGTGGTCCATCTATTGAGGGAAAGATAAGAAGCAGTTGATAATTGAGAAAAAAATGAGCAAGGGAAATTTTCCAGTGAGTTTTCAAGGGAATTTGAAATTAAACAGCTAGCCTGTCTTTTCCTCTATTCTGATCTCTTTTTCACTTCTTTCCTTGTCTTCCTTTTCTCTTCTTTTTTTTTTTAGCTGTACTTTCTACTCTTTCTTTTCTTTTCTTTTCTTTTTTTTTTAATTATACTTTAAGTTTTAGGGTACATGTGCACGTTGTGCAGGTTAGTTACACATGTATACATGTGCCATGCTGGTGCGCTGCACCCACTAACTCGTCATCTAGCGTTAGGTATATCTCCCAATGCTATCCCTCCCCCCTCCCCCCACCCCATCACAGTCCCCAGAGTGTGATATTCCCCTTCCTGTGTCCATGTGATCTCATTGTTCAGTTCCCACCTATGAGTGAGAATATGCGGTGTTTGGTTTTTTGTTCTTGCAATAGTTTACTGAGAATGATGATTTCCAATTTCATCCATGTCTCTACAAAGGACATGAACTCATCATTTTTTATGGCTGCATAGTATTCCATGGTGTATATGTGCCACATTTTCTTAATCCAGTCTATCATTGATGGACATTTGGGTTGGTTCCAAGTCTTTGCTATTGTGCATAATGCCGCAATAAACATACGTGTGCATGTGTCTTTATAGCAGCATGATTTATAGTCCTTTGGGTATATACCCAGTAATGGGATGGCTGGGTCAAATGGTATTTCTAGTTCTAGATCCCTGAGGAATCGCCACACTGACTTCCACAATGGTTGAACTAGTTTACAGTCCCACCAACAGTGTAAAAGTGTTCCTATTTCTCCACATCCTCTCCAGCACCTGTTGTTTCCTGACTTTTTAATGATTGCCATTCTAACTGGTGTGAGATGGTATCTCATTGTGGTTTTGATTTGCATTTCTCTGATGGCCAGTGATGATGAGCATTTTTTCATGTGTTTTTTGGCTGCATAAATGTCTTCTTTTGAGAAGTGTCTGTTCATGTCCTTCGCCCACTTTTTGATGGGGTTGTTTGTTTTTTTCCTGTAAATTTGTTTGAGTTCATTGTAGATTCTGGATATTAGCCCTTTGTCAGATGAGTAGGTTGTGAAAATTTTCTCCCATTTTGTAGGTTGTCTGTTCACTCTGATGGTAGTTTCTTTTGCTGTGCAGAAGCTCTTTAGTTTAATTAGATCCCATTTGTCAATTTTGTCTTTTGTTGCCATTGCTTTTGGTGTTTTGGACATGAAGTCCTTGCCCATGCCTATGTCCTGAATGGTAATGCCTAGGTTTTCTTCTAGGGTTTTTATGGTTTTAGGTCTAACGTTTAAGTCTTTAATCCATCTTGAATTGATTTTTGTATAAGGTGTAAGGAAGGGATCCAGTTTCAGCTTTCTACATATGGCTAGCCAGTTTTCCCAGCACCATTTATTAAATAGGGAATCCTTTCCCCATTGCTTGTTTTTGTCAGGTTTGTCAAAGATCAGATAGTTGTAGATATGCGGCATTATTTCTGAGGGCTCTGTTCTGTTCCATTGATCTATATCTCTGTTTTGGTACCAGTACCATGCTGTTTTGGTTATTGTAGCCTTGTAGTATAGTTTGAAGTCAGGTAGTGTGATGCCTCCAGCTTTGTTCTTTTGGCTTAGGATTGCCTTGGTGATGCAGGCTCTTTTTTGGTTCCATATGAACTTTAAAGTAGTTTTTTCCAATTCTGTGAAGAAAGTCATTGGTAGCTTGATGGGAATGGCATTGAATCTGTAAATTACCTTGGGCAGTATGGCCATTTTCATGATATTGATTCTTCCTACCCGTGAGCATGGAATGTTCTTTCATTTGTTTGTATCCTCTTTTATTTCCTTGAGCAGTGGTTTGTAGTTCTCCTTGAAGAGGTCCTTCACATCCCTTGTAAGTTGGATTCCTAGGTATTTTATTCTCTTTGAAGCAATTGTGAATGGGAGTTCACTCATGATTTGGCTCTCTGTCTGTTGTTGGTGTATAAGAATGCTTGTGATTTTTGTACATTGATTTTGTATCCTGAGACTTTGCTGAAGTTGCTTATCAGCTTAAGGAGATTTTGGGCTGAGACAGTGGGGTTTTCTAGATACACATTCATGTCATCTGCAAACAGGGACAATTTGACTTCCTCTTTTCCTGCTTGAATACCCTTTATTTCCTTCTCCTGCCTAATTGCCCTGGCCAGAACTTCCAACACTATGTTGAATAGGAGTGGTGAGAGAGGGCATCCCTGTCTTGTGCCAGTTTTCAAAGGGAATGCTTCCAGTTTTTGCCCATTCAGTATGATATTGGCTGTGGGTTTGTCATAGATAGCTCTTATTATTTTGAAATACGTCCCATCAATACCTAATTTATTGAGAGGTTTTAGCATGAAGGGTTGTTGAATTTTGTCAAAGGCTTTTTCTGCATCTATTGAGATAATCATGTGGTTTTTGTCTTTGGCTCTGTTTATATGCTGGATTACATTTATTGATTTGCGTATATTGAACCAGCCTTGCATCCCAGGGATGAAGCCCACTTGATCATGGTGGATAAGCTTTTTGATGTGCTGCTGGATTCGTTTTGCCAGTATTTTATGGAGGATTTTTGCATCAATGTTCATCAAGGATATTGGTCTAAAATTCTCTTTTTTGGTTGTGTCTCTGCCTGGCTTTGGTATCAGAATGATGCTGGCCTCATAAAATGAGTTAGGGAGGATTCCCTCTTTTTCTATTGATTGGAATAGTTTCAGAAGGAATGGTACCAGTTCCTCCTTGTACCTCTGTTAGAATTTGGCTGTTAATCCATCTGGTCCTGGACTCTTTTAGGTTGGTAAGCTATTGATTATTGCCACAATTTCAGCTCCTGTTATTGGTCTATTCAGAGATTCAACTTCTTCCTGGTTTAGTCTTGGGAGAGTGTATGTGTCAAGGAATTTATCCACTTCTTCTAGATTTTCTAGTTTATTTCCATAGAGGTGTTTGTAGTATTCTCTGATGGTAGTTTGTATTTCTGTGGGATCGGTGGTGATATCCCCTTTATCATTTTTTATTGCATCTATTTGATTCTTCTGTCTTTTTTTCTTTATTAGTCTTGCTAGCGGTCTATCAATTTTATTGATCCTTTCAAAAAACCAGCTCCTGGATTCATTGATTTTTTGAAGGGTTTTTTGTGTCTCTATTTCCTTCAGTTCTGCTCTGATTTTAGTTATTTCTTGCCTTCTGCTAGCTTTTGAATGTGTTTGCTCTTGCTTTTCTAGTTCTTTTAATTGTGATGTTAGGGTGTCAATTTTGGATCTTTCCTGCTTTCTCTTGTGGGCCTTTAGTGCTATAAGTTTCCCTCTACACACTGCTTTGAATGCGTCCCAGAGATTCTGGTATGTTGTGTCTTTGTTCTCGTTGGTTTCAAAGAACATCTTTATTTCTGCCTTCATTTCGTTATGTATCCAGTAGTCATTCAGGAGCAGGTTGTTCAGTTTCCATGTAGTTGAGTGGTTTTGAGTGAGATTCTTAATCCTGAGTTCTAGTTTGATTGCACTGTGGTCTGAGAGATAGTTTGTTATAATCTCTGTTCTTTTACATTTGATGAGGAGAGCTTTACTTCCAAGTACGTGGTCAATTTTGGAATAGGTGTGGTGCTGAAAAAAATGTATATTCTGTTGATTTGGGGTGGAGAGTTCTGTAGATGTCTATTAGGTCTGCTTGGTGCAGAGCTGAGTTCAATTCCTGGGTATCCTTGTTGACTTTCTGTCTCGTTGATCTGTCTAATGTTGACAGTGGGGTGTTAAAGTCTCCCATTATTAATGTGTGGGAGTCTAAGTCTCTTTGTAGGTCACTCAGGACTTGCTTTATGAATCTGGGTGCTCCTGTATTGGGTGCATATATATTTAGGATAGTTAGCTCTTCTTGTTGAATTGATCCCTTTACCATTATGTAATGGCCTTCTTTGTCTCTTTTGATCTTTGTTGGTTTAAAGTCTATTTTATCAGAGACTAGGATTGCAACCCCTGCCTTTTTTTGTTTTCCATTTGCTTGGTAGATCTTCCTCCATCCTTTTATTTTGAGCCTACGTGTGTCTCTGCACATGAGATGGATTTCCTGAATACAGCACACTGATGGGTCTTGACTCTTTATCCAATTTGCCAGTCTGTGTCTTTTAATTGGAGCATTTAGTCCATTTACATTTAAAGTTAATATTGTTATGTGTGAATTTGATCCTGTCATTATGATGTTAGCTGGTGATTTTGCTCGTTAGTTGATGCAGTTTCTTCCTAGTCTGAATGGTCTTTACATTTTGGCATGATTTTGCAGCAGCTGGTACCGGTTGTTCCTTTCCATGTTTAGTGCTTCCTTCAGGAGCTCTTTTAGGGCAGACCTGGTGGTGACAAAATCTCTCAGCATTTGCTTGTCTGTAAAGTATTTTATTTCTCCTTCACTTATGAAGCTTAGTTTGGCTGGATATGAAATTCTGGGTTGAAAATTCTTTTCTTTAAGAATGTTGAATATTGGCCCCCACTCTCTTCTGGCTTGTAGGGTTTCTGCCGAGAGATCCGCTGTTAGTCTGATGGGCTTCCCTTTGAGGGTAACCCGACCTTTCTCTCTGGCTGCCCTTAACATTTTTTCCTTCATTTCAACTTTGGTGAATCTGATAATTATGTGTCTTGGAGTTGCTCTTCTCGAGGAGTATCTTTATGGTGTTCTCTGTATTTCCTGAATCTGAACGTTGACCTGCCTTGCTAGATTGGGGAAGTTCTCCCGGATAATATCCTGCAGAGTGTTTTCCAACTTGGTTCCATTCTCCTCATCACTTTCAGGTCCACCAATCAGACGTAGATTTGGTCTTTTCACATAGTCCCATATTTCTTGGAGGCTTTGCTCATTTCTTTTTATTCTTTTTTCTCTAAACTTCCCTTCACGCTTCATTTCATTCATTTCATCTTCCATTGCTCATACCCTTTCTTCCAGTTGATCGCATCGGCTCCTGAGGCTTCTGCATTCTTCACGTAGTTCTTGAGCCTTGGTTTTCAGCTCCATCAGCTCCTTTAAGCACTTCTCTGTATTGGTTATTCTAGTTATACATTCTTCTAAATTTTTTTCAAAGTTTTCCACTTCTTTGCCTTTGGTTTGAATGTCCTCCCGTAGCTCAGAGTAATTTGATCGTCTGAAGCCTTCTTCTCTCAGCTCGTCAAAGTCATTCTCCATCCAGCTTTGTTCCGTTGCTGGTGAGGAACTGCATTCCTTTGGAGGAGGAGAGGTGCTCTGCTTTTTAGAGTTTCCAGTTTTTCTGTTCTGTTTTTTCCCCATCTTTGTGGTTTTATCTACTTTTGGTCTTTGATGATGGTGATGTACAGATGGGTTTTTGGTGTGGATGTCCTTTCTGTTTGTTAGTTTTCCTTCTAACAGACAGGACCCTCAGCTGCAAGTCTGTTGGAATACCCTGCCGTGTGAGGTGTCAGTATGCCCCTGCTGGGGGGTGCCTCCCAGTTAGGCTGCTCGGGGTTCAGGGGTCAGGGACCCACTTGAGGAGGCAGTCTACCCGTTCTCAGATCTCCAGCTGCTTGCTGGGAGAACCACTGCTCTCTTCAAAGCTGTCAGACAGGGACATTGAAGTCTGCAGAGGTTACTGCTGTCTTTTTGTTTGTCTGTGCCCTGCCCCCAGAGGTGGAGCCTACAGAGGCAGGCAGGCCTCCTTGAGCTGTGGTGGGCTCCACCCAGTTGGAGCTTCCCGGCTGCTTTGTTTACCTAAGCAAGCCTGGGCAATGGCGGGCGCCCCTCCCCAGCCTCCCTGCTGCCTTGCAGTTTGATCCCAGACTGCTGTGCTAGCAATCAGGGAGACTCCGTGGGCGTAGGACCCTCCGAGCCAGGTGCGGGATATAATCTCATGGTGCGCCGTTTTTTAAGCCAGTCCGAAAAGCGCAATATTCAGGTGGGAGTGACCCGATTTTCCAGGTGCGTCCGTCACCCCTTTCTTTGACTCGGAAAGGGAACTCCCTGACCCCTTGTGCTTCCCAAGTGAGGCAATGCCTCACCCTGCTTCGGCTCGCGCACGGTGCGCGCACCCACTGACCTGCGCCGACTGTCTGGCACTCCCTAGTGATATGAACCCGGTACCTCAGATGGAAATGCAGAAATCACCCGTCTTCTGCGTTGCTCATGCTGGGAGCTGTAGACCGGAGCTGTTCCTATTTGGCCATCTTGGCTCCTCCCCCAATACATATAAATTAGGTTTGTAATAAACTGAGACAGAAAGAGGATAGATTTTGAGATGAATGCAGGCAGGAATGCTCCCAGGAATGAACCTGGGAGCTTCAAGGAGGTGAGCCTCAAGGTGACCGGTAGGATTGTGGTGCCCACTGGTTCCCCACTGAGGTGCTCTCCAAGTGCACCTCTGTGCTCATCTCAAGGGATAAGTGTTTCTCTTTCCTGTCAGAGCCATTTTCTCCAGATGTGGTTATTGGCTGCAAAGGGCCCACCATCACTACTCATGGGGCCCCCAAGAGACTCATCTCCCCTGGCGCTCACGAAATTCAGTTGATGAGTTTGGATATAAGTATACAGCCATGAAACCATCACTACAATCCATATCATAAACATATACATCACCTCTAAAAGTTCCTTCCCACTCTATTTATTTATGATGATGAAAACACTTAAGATCTACCCTCTCGGCACATTTTAAAATATACAAAACAGTATTGTTAACTATAGGCATTATTTTGTACAGTAGATCTTTAGGACTTATTCATCTTGTATAACGGAAACTTTGTACCTTTTGACCAATATCTTCCTGTTTTTCGATGGCCTGTTAATGTGCTAGGTAAACTTCAGAGGATATTTTACTTTACCTAGCTAGTTAGCTATCTAACTCTGTAACATATCAGCAAGCTAATGATATAGGTAAAATATTATTCTTGTTTTACAGCTGAAGACACTGAAGTGTAAAGAACAGATTAAGTAACTTGTCTAGGATAACACAACTAGTAAGTCAAAGAACAGAAGATGAAACTCACATAGTCTGAATCCCAAATCCAAGACTGGTATTATTTTGGGTTGGTGACATCACTGTGAAAAGTCTTACAGTTCTTGTCCTTCCTCTTATCGGCTTGTTCAGTGTAAATACATGAAATACTGATGGTCTCAGTTTAGGCTGGAGACCTAAGAGATACCAAGTCACAAAGGAGGCTCATTCTTTCATCCAGTGACTATTTTTTGGGCACCTAAACATGTCAGACCCCTTCAGCATGGAAGGGAATCCTTGGAGTATGATACAAACAGGCATTTACCCTCTGAGTGCCCCCTTGTGGCCATACAGCATAACAGCTAAGAGTACCTAGGTTCAAATGCTGGTGTTGTCACTTGTGTGATTTGTGACTATAGATAAGTTATTTAACTCACAGTGGCTCCATTTTGATATGCAAAATATGAATCTGTTTCATAATGTTTTCAAATTTAAACGAGTTTATAGAATTAGTCAACACATAAAGCTCTCAATAAGTATACATGAATGTTATTACTGGGGGGAAATAGTTATAATCCACTGAGATGTCATGATTACTGTCTGTGGTATCCAAGAAAAGGATTCTCTAACACAGCCTATAGAGCTAAAGATTTCTCTACTGCGCATGGACTTGGATTAATTAAGGTAGAAAAGTGAGTAAATCACTTTATGAGGATTTTATGTGAGGCATGAAGAGAGGGTTTGGACTGGAATTCAGTTTCATCTAAAAAGAATCAAGCCTCCAGTGTGGTCCATGCTACAAGATGGTACTGTGAGGCTGCTATGGATCTAGATACAATGGCAAAGAAACATAGGTTGAATAGGTGTATGCTAGTCACATGTACCCTACCATGTGTGTCATCCAATTTTGCAAAAGCTTGTGGAAGGAATGCTGATGCTGTTATGCTGATGGTTTTGGTTATGGCAAAAATATTAGTTGTATGCCTAATATTTGCTAAACATCATGCTGGGTGCCTTGAATATATTAAAGAATAGGAGAGATGGTCATGTTTCATGGAATTTACATAATAACATAGAAGAAAGGCAATAAATGCATACTTTTCCATTTATGTTAGATCATTTAATCATAACTCTGCAAGATGTTAGACAAGATCACTAGAGAATGTTATGTAAGTATTAGTAGATCCTCATTCAGGCTAAGGGGTTAGGGGGATCCATAAGGCAGTAATATTTAAATAATATTTAATATCCACCAAGAGTTGGTGGATAAATAACTAGCCCAGTGAAGGGAAAGTGCATGGGGAAAAGCTTCCAGGACATGTGAAACAGCATTTGTTAAGGCCTTGAGGTTGGAGTGATCCTTGCATCTTCGAGGAACTGAAAGGAGGTCATTTTGGTTGGAACAGAACAAGAGAACAATGATTGAATATATTCAATGTAAAGTTGAAAATGAAGATCATATTACACAGTGTTTTACAGGCAATATGAGTGTTCGGATTTTATCATCATGAAAATAGCATGATGAAAGTTGACTTAATATTGATGTAATATGGAGAATGAATTAGAAGAGGGCTGAATAATGTGGGGAAGTCCATTAAGATGTTATTGAAATGTTGATATTTGGGTCTAGAGAGTGACTGTAGGACTGGTAAGACGTCAGTAAAGCAGAAAAATATTCAGGATTTGGATCCAAAAGGATATAATATTTTTGCAAGTAGAGTTCATAAGTCAAACACCTATTTATTGAGCTTACTCCTCCTTTTATCTGGCCATTTCTAGTTTATCTTTCTGGTCTCAATTAAACTAATTTTCCAGATTATTTTAGTTCTTCTCCATTAAAGTGGTTCCTATTCCTACCACCCCAAACTTACTCTCTAAAGCAAATTAATGCATGTAATTATTTGTTTAGCCTGTTGTCCTGATCACTGTGAGATTTGAGAAAATGCTTATCCTGTTCACTGTCATACCTGAGCACCTCCTTCAGCGTGGTTTTTTCTCTCAAAGATGAGTTTACACTAACCAACACATTGAAATGTATGTGTGATGTTATTAATTTCCAATGAGAAATAGAATTATTGCATTGGCACAAATTATCTTGTCAACTTGAATAGTAAACACTACCTGGGGAGAAACATATCATGATTATATTTCTGGGTAAACAACAAACAAGAGGAAAAGGCTTAACTACAAAATTCAAAAATTTCGTGTCTTAAGTTTGGATAGATAAATATCAATCTCCAAAAACAATTTATTAATTGGTTAAATTATTAATTTGTTAAAAAACAGTTCATTAAATCATGGTACTTAGCAGGCTAGTAGGGTCTTCTCTATAGACCTGCTTGATTATTGTTGTCCTTCAAGTCTCTTGTGTTGTTCGCCTTTATCTCCTCCTGTAAGTGGTGATTTTATGTGTGTGTGTTGGGGGGAGTACATCTGTTTATAATCATGAATTTTAATCCTGGATTGAAATGAAATCTTTTCTCAACCAATAATTTTATGATATGGCAAGTTGTGTAATCTCTTTGAATTTCAGATATTTCATCTACAAAAGGTGAATAAAAATACTCATAGGTGCTTTGAATATTAAATAATGCATATGAAGATTGTTGTAAGTTTATGGTATGTGCTTGGTCATCAATAAATAGTAATTATTTTCCATGGCTTATATTTGTAATTAGGTTAAATCAGTCAAATCTCAAATGTTTGGGAATCATTGTTTCCTATAAGGGTGTCTTTTTATGTCCCTCTTCTGATGTCTTGTGATGGAATTACTGATGAATTCTAAGAAGGCAGACTTATTTTTCTCATTTCCTAGTAACTACAGGTACTTTCCCGTGCACACTCTCTCCCCATTCTCATGCACACATTTACACACACACACACACACACACACACTCATTTTGTAATTTAAAACAATTAAATTTTTTGTCCTATAATTTAAAACAGTTGTAAAATTTCCAATGAAGTTCTAGTTTTTCATGAGGAAGTCTTTGATGTGTTTTAAGGCATCAAATATTACACACATATATTTATAAAGAATTTGAATACTCTTCTGATGCTCTAAATGTGTATGCTTATTTTTCCATTAAATAATTCCATATTGCTTTCAAGTATGATAAAATGTATTCATAAGGTTTTCACTGATAACTAAATGAGCTAACTGTGTCAAAAAACCTAGCAGAATCACAGATACTTAGTAAATAAATATTGTTCTCACATTAACTCTTCAGCCAAGATAAATGCAGATAATTTGGGTCTGCATCAGGATAATTATAATTATCTAACACTGTTTGAACTCTGTACAATTTCTAACTCTTTAAATAATTTGTCTGTGCATATCAGCAAGCTTCTTACCCCTTAAAGCCTTCATTTCTTCATTATGAAAGGTTGAATGTGATACAAGATGGCCCCGACATCCTTTTACAAAATTTAAGACCCTTACATTAGTTTCTTAAAAGTCAAACACCCCTCAGACTCCTCCAAAACTCCAGAGTCAACAGGCATTTGCACCCCTTATTCAAGATTTTTTTTCTGGCATATAAAAAATTGGCAAGTCTTTATGATAGTTCTTGTTTAATAAGTGTTTACAATGTGATACTGTTTCAAATATGCCAAGATGTGTAGGAATTTGTGTATCATTTTACAAATAAGGAATTTGAAACATGAACATATCAACTAATTTTCTTAATGACATTCATTTAGACAGGGAAGGAGCTTGTTTTGAATCCAGGTCTGGCAGTAGGGTGGCAAGTTGTTATCAGCTTGCCAAAACTGAGGAGTTTCTCCTAATGCGGGACTTTCAGTGTTAAAACCAGTACAGGATGGGGCAAACAAGGATGGTCACCTTATTTGATGACTCTAAATAATTAGGCTCCTCTCCGTTGTGCCCTTTGACTTCTTGAAATGCATTTAAGTTGTGGTATGCTTACTGGAAAGAACCCTAATCTGAGAATCAGTGAGAATCAGTGGTCTAGGATTCAGTTCAGCTCTGTTATTGGCTTACTGAATGGATTCTTCCTGGGCGTCAGCTCTCCTACAAAATGAGGAGCTGAAAATGTTGATCACTTCAGGACAAGCCAGTCTTCATTCTCAATTCCTTTGAAACTTCTAAGTGGGAGAAATGGCAGAGCACAGAGGAGTCCTTCACTCAAGATTTTTTAGAATCCCTGCTGCCCAGCTACCTCTTGGAGCCCTTGGACTTAGCAGAACCAGGGGACTCTGAAGACGCAGCTTTATAGAGCTCAGAGCAGGGAGTGGGTGGAGGCTGGCAGTGGGGCTGTGTGCAGTGTGTGCAGTACTTGGTATTTCTCCCTTCAGTGGACACTTCACCAGCCTCTCTCCTCCCACCCACCAGAGCTACCCTGAGGAGGTAAGTGGGGACCTCATCTCTTCCCCCACAGAGGCCCTCAGGCACCTCCTTCATAGCTTCGAAATCCTTTAGTGATTAGGGTACAGGGATTTGAAGGAGAGACAGTCTGTGATTTAAGGTAATTTTTATTTTCCTACACTCCATTTCTCTCCCCACATGCACATCCCCCATCTAGTTGGTGCCTGAACTGCCACTATGCTGGCTTCGTGCTTGGAGCTTCACTGTGTGGTTCTGAGCGTGTACAGCTCTGGCTCAGAGGTGCATCTTCTGAAGCCTTTGTTTGGTGTGAATGCCTCAGTGCGATTAACTCATATGCCAATATTCTCATAGATGGTGGATAAAATGGTGAAACAAAAGAAGGGAACCTTTGATTGGGAAACTGAATGTGGGAAGACAGTTTGGAGATGGGATCCGGAACTTTCAGCCCCTCAATGTCCCTCTTTATCACAACTTTCCTAGTTGCCATTTATTCAGTACATCTTGTGCCGGGAGTCTGAATAAGCACCTTCAATGTTTACTTTGCATTACTCTTTCTATTCTAGAGATGTGAAAATAAGACGTGAGGAAGCTAAGTAAATTCACAGCTTGTATGTAGCAAAAGTGAAATAAAAACTCAGTTATTAGATGCTAGGGGAGCTATTTTTACTTACCTAAACAATTTTACAGTAAAAACATGTAGCTCTTATGTTAATACATTCTTCCTGTTAATAAAATGTTTTATTTGATCAATTTTTTTTTTTTTTTTGAGACAGAGTCTTGCTCTGTCACCCAGGCTGGAGTGCAATGGTGCGATCTCAGCTCACTGCAACCTCCACTTCCCGAGTTCAAGGGATTCTACTGCCTCAGACTCCCGAGTAACTGGGATTACAGTCATGTGTGACCACGCCTGGGTAGTTTTTATATTTTTAGTAGAGACGGGGTTTCACCATGTTGTCCAGGCTGGTCTCAAACTCCTGACCTCGTGATCCACCTGCCTCGGCCTCCCAAAGTGCTGGGATTACAGGTATGAGCCACTGTACCTGGCCTATTTGATCAATATTTTAACCATTAAAACTAGAACTGGTAATCTCTGAGTCCTAGTCTAGGGCTCTCTATGCCCTGTCACTTGCCTAAGCATTGAGAATAAAATGAGAAGAAACACAGACAGTTACAGGGAGTTATAAATTTTTGGGGAAACAAAGATACTAATCAAATAACTAAACAAGTACATAATAAATGCACTAAAATTTAAGCTGTGATAAGAAAAGTCACAAAGAAGAATATGTGTGAGTATGTACAGCAGCCAAAATTATGAGAAGAAATGAAATGAATGATCAGAATTATTGGAAGACGACAAGTTCTTATGTGGTCTTGCAGCTTCTATGATCCATGGTAAGGACTTGAATTTTTATTTCTTATTTCATAAGGTAAGTGAAGCCATTGATAGGTTTCTAGTAAAAGAGTAACATCACTTTATATTAAAAACAAATAATTTGGTTGCTTTGTGTCGAATGAATTAGACAGAGGCATGATACTAAGCTGGGTGATCCTCAGGAAGGTTCTGCAGATATTTTGGTTGAAGATGTTGAGGGATGAGTGACAGTTGGAAGTGAGATGGAGAGAGGAAACCAGCGTTTACGATGGATTAATAGACTTGTAAATAGGAGAGGGTGAGAAATATTAAGAATGACTTCCAGGGTTTTCTGGCATGACCACGTGAATAGATGGTGACTGGTGATGAGATGATAACTTTGAAGAGGATAAAACATGATAATTGACATAAAGTTCAATTTTGCACATTATGTTTAAGATGACAATGAACTCTTACATTTGGAAGTCCAGTTGGAAATTGGCTGCGTGAATACATATTGAGAAGAGAAGCCTGGGCAGCAGACATATATTTGGGATAATTGAGGCACAGAGCAGAGACATGGAGGACATTATGGGTAGACAATAATTTCCAAGGTATTAGTTGTGAAAGTGAGTGGAAAATGGGTGATTACTCAGAAGAAATGAGGGGGCAATTAAGAGGTTTGCTGAAGTTTGTGATTGTTTGTTTTCTACGATAGTAACTCCCAAAATTGATCCTCGGGGGGAAGAAGTGATAATGGGTGGGACATATTTGAATGCTGATAGGAGTGACCTAAATTCCTGATACTCACACTTGGCTGCACACGGGAATTGCCTATGAGTTTAAACACATGCTGATTTGTGAGTTCTACTTGCACAGTGTCAAATTTAATTGGTATAGGTTTCTTCTGAGGAAAGGAATATTTTAATGCTTCTTAAAATAATCTAGCATACAGCACAATTTGAGAATCTGTGGTCTAAACAGAGATTAAAACAAAATCCATGTTAAAATATAGAAAGGCAAAACCAAGAGAGTCAGGTGTGGAGGAATGTGACATTCTGGACCCTTGGTGAATAAGTGAGGGGTTCAAGCCACAAGGAAAAGGCAGAGAACTGAAATAATGCTTGAGTATAGGCAAGAGAGGAGAGACAGCTTAGAATATACACAAAAGATGTCATCACTTGCACAAGACAGAATCAATCAGTGGGTGGGAATATTAAGGAAAGACTTCATGGAGGACATGGTGCACCTCACTTATGGAAGAAACTGATGGCTATGACCCAGTAGAGAGAAAGGGGAAATCATTTTTCACCATTAGAGAAAGACGTCAACCAATGTAAAAAACTATATAGACACAAGAAAAATAAAGGATAATATCTAAAAATTAGTCAAAGGTTTCTATGGGGAAGAACCTGGAGCTCATGACAGATCTAAGGGTGCTGCCAGGCTATAGAAGGTCTGAAATGTAATCTGGTTTTTTTTGAACTTTCCAAATCTTTGGCACTGGAATCTAAGCATCATTGTCTCTCCTAGTTTTAGATATCAACCACTCCTAGTCTTCACTTCTCCCACCATCTCACCTCAATTCACCCAGGTTGCGTTTGCCTAAAAGTCACTCAGAAACCCTGATGGGGGGCTTTGGGACTAACATCTCAAGTACTACCAGCTTCACTCTAACAGGCTTCCCTGAGATGAAGGGTCTGGAGCACTGGCTGGCTGCCCTTCTGCTGCTGCTTTGTGCTATTTCCTTCCTGGGCAACATCCTCATCCTCTTTATCATAAAGGAAGAGCAGAGCTTGCACCAGCCAATGTACTACTTCCTGTCTCTTTTTTCTGTTAATGACCTGGGTGTGTCCTTTTCTACATTGCCCACTGTACTGGCTGCTGTGTGTTTTCATGCCCCAGAGACAACTTTTGATGCCTGCCTGGCCCAGACGTTCTTCATCCACTTTTCCTCCTGGACAGAGTTTGGCATCCTACTGGCCATGAGTTTTGACCACTATGTGGCCATCTGTAACCCGCTGCGCTATGCCACAGTGCTCACTGATGTCCGTGTGGCCCACAATGGCATATCCATTGTCATCCGCAGCTTCTGCATGGTATTCCCACTTCCCTTCCTCCTGAAGAGACTGCCTTTCTGTAAGGCCAGTGTGGTACTGGCCCATTCCTACTGTCTGCATGCAGACCTGATTCGGCTGCCCTGTGGAGACACTACCATCAACAGCATGTATGGCCTGTTCATTGTCATCTCTGCCTTTGGTGTAGATTCACTGCTCATCCTCCTCTCCTATGTGCTCATTCTACATTCTGTGCTGGCCATTGCCTCCAGGGGTGAGAGGCTTAAGACACTCAACACATGTGTGTCACATATCTATGCAGTGCTGATCTTCTATGTGCCTATGGTTAGTGTGTCCATGGTTCATCGATTTGGGAGGCATGCTCCTGAATATGTGCACAAGTTCATGTCTCTTTGTACCTCCAATGCTCTACCCAATTATCTATTCCATCAAGACTAAGGAGATTCGCAGGAGACTACACAAGATGTTATTGGGAGCTAAGTTCTGATCAAGGAAAACTGTCCTGGAAAGGCTTAGAGTTTCTTTGTTGTTGCTGATGTTTGGGTGTACCAGGTTAGTCCTTCGGAGCCTTTCAATCTCCCTCCAGACGTACACCTATAATTGTGTACCTGCCAGAAGTTATATGGGTTAGCCAGGCTACAACTTGTAACGCAAAACATCAGGCTGCCCTATGTTGTAATTAACTGTCACAGGTTGCCACAAGTGACTTCTCTCAGACCCAACAAGAAAGAGAGTCTTGAACTGAATCCTTTTTGTCCCAATGTACTAATAACATCTATGCTTTCAAGTAATTCTCAGAAACAGACAAAAACTAATGCATACATTCGTTATATAATGTTATAATGTAGATTATGTTACCTGAGATCATATCAACCCAGAATATTTAATCATTCTGAATATCTTTAAACTCAAAAACTAAAGATATGTAATAGCTGTGACCATGTTTACACTTCTGAAATAAATAAGAATAATCCAGAGTTCTGTAAAATGGAACAAAAATAGAAACCATACAACACATGGAATTCAGAAGTTTAGTACAAAGAAAAATGTTTTATAGAAAAGTCACATGCTGTCATCATTGGGCATGACTACAGAGAGGATTGAATGACTAGAGGCAGCTAATCAACACTCCAAATCGAAGCCTAACAGAGGTTGTTGATTGATGGGCTGGCAAGTCCACTTCAGTGGCAGTGGTTGCTTGGCAGCATAGTTGGCTGAAATATGGGCTCGTGTCCTGCAGTGAGCAACCCAGACAACAAGCTTAAGCACATGCCTGAGCAGAAGAGGGATAGCTGAAGGCTGTCAGCAAATTCACAGAGAAAGCCACAAAGAAAGAAATCCTCTGAAAAACCATGCCAAGAAGACACAACCCAGGCCACACAGGCAGGTGCACACTTAACAGATTTAAAAAGAATGATATGTGGACTTTAACTGGAGAGTAAACAGTTAGTGGACAGGCCATGGCATAACTCAACTCCAATGGATGATTAGGGAATGAAGACATGTAAGAAGAAAATTACTTTTTAAAAAGCAATAGCTAATAATTTTTTTTCCTCATAGGATCATGGAATAACTTTTTTAAAATAAAGCCATAGGGATCAAATAACATGATCATTTACTAAACATAGTTGCAGTATAGACTTGAATTTCTCCCAAACACCCCCTGAACGTCTCATTAAGCAACGAGGAGAGAAAAGCAAAACAAAATTAAAACTTACAGATGACATCTTTGGCAAAATCACATGACAGAAAAATCTTGCCCCCAATTGGAGAGGACTGTATACTAAGCAAAAATCTGGGCATATGGTTTTGAGATTGACTGGTGAAACTGGGAACAATACTTGCAGGCTCTAAGTGCTCATAAACATAAGAGGATAAAGAAGTGCTGTGGTGGTCCTCAGCATTTGAAAATCTCAAAAATGTCCAGCAAATGAGCTCTTCCAAAAGGATATAGCCTCAGCCCAAAGGAAAGTACATTAAGCAAATAAAGATCCACTTGCATAAGAGAGAAAGAAGGCTCTGATCGTAGAGGAAAGGGCTTAGAGAAAGCAGACACAAGAAAGTGATGCAACAGCTAAATACAGCTTCCCAAAACCTGTGGCGTTCTGGGGCTGGAACAGAAGGAAGCAGAATGTCCTCCTGGACCAGACTTCGCTCTGACACACAGAAGTGGCCTCAAAGAAAGTGCTACTTTGAGCCATTTGAACAGCAACAGAGGGACCCCTAGAGCTGCAAAGCTATAAAAGCTACTCTGCCATTGCCTCTCCCTTCAGAGGATCCCACAAGTCATCCCAGAAAGCTATACTTACTTATATAGAGAGACAAAAAAGAGATATGTGCTAATTCTATACACAGTTATGAGCAAAAATAAAAGACATCAATGACAAAGATGAATCCATGGCGCTCAGGGCCATGCTGATGATAGCAATCTCCCTCCTTTTTGTTTCAAGTCTTTTTTTTATTAATGCTAACATTTCAGTGTCTGCATCTAAATATCAGAAACCACATTACTGACTTCAATATTTTTTAGGCTTTTAAAAAATGCGTCCTTTCATTTCCACAGTAAAATTGGGAATTCTCATAATAAGGCATATGAATGGGAAGAGCGAGTACTTCTGCAACACTAAAAAGTATTCCTATCATTTATATCATCACATATATGTAAATATAGATATAGTTTTACTATTGTCTAATGAGTATTGCCTAATTCCCTAATTAACAGACTTATGAAAAAAGCCTCATCTTTATGAAATAAAATATATTTGTTCAAACTGGTAATATAAATATTTTACAGTGTATTGTCGTCTACGTAAATGATAAATTATCAACCTTCGCCCACTTTTTGATGGGGTTGTTTGTTTTTGTAAATTTGTTTGAGTTCATTGTAGATTCTGGATATTAGCCCTTTGTCAGATGAGTAGGTTGCAAAAATTTTCTCCCATTTTGTAGGTTGCCTGTTCACTCTGATGATAGTTTCTTTTGCTGTGCAGAAGCTCTTTAGTTTAATGAGATCCCATTTCTCAATTTTGTCTTTTGTTGCCATTGCTTTTGGTGTTTTGGACATGAAGTCCTTGCCCATGCCTGTGTCCTGAATGGTGATGCCTAGGTTTTCTTCTAGGGTTTTTATGGTTTTAGGTCTAACGTTTAAGTCTTTAATCCATCTTGAATTGATTTTTGTATAAGGTGTAAGGAAGGGATCCAGTTTCAGCTTTCTACATATGGCTAGCCAGTTTTCCCAGCACCATTTATTAAATAGGGAATCCTTTCTCCATTGCTTGTTTTTCTCAGGTTTGTCAAAGATCAGATAGTTGTAGATATGCGTCGTTATTTCTGAGGGCTCTGTTCTGTTCCATTGATCTATATCTCTGTTTTGGTACCAGTACCATGCTGTTTTGGTTACTGTAGCCTTGTAGTATAGTTTGAAGTCAGGTAGTGTGATGCCTCCAGCTTTGTTCTTTTGGCTTAGGATTGCCTTGGTGATGGGGGCTCTTTTTTGGTTCCATATGAACTTTAAAGTAGTTTTTTCCAATTCTGTGAAGAAAGTCATTGGTAGCTTGACACTTCTCAAAAGAAGACATTTATGCAGCCAAAAAACACATGAAAAAATGCTCACCATCACTGGCCATCAGAGAAATGCAAATCAAAACCACAATGAGATATCATCTCACACCAGTTAGAATGGCAATCATTAAAAAGTCAGGAAACAACAGGTGCTGGAGAGGATGTGGAGAAATAGGAACACTTTTTTTTTTTTTTTTTTTTTTTTTGAGACGGAGTCTCGCTCTGTCGCCCAGGCTGGAGTGCAGTGGCGGGATCTCGGCTCACTGCAAGCTCCGCCTCCCGGGTTCACGCCATTCTCCTGCCTCAGCCTCCCAAGTAGCTGGGACTACAGGCGCCCGCCACTACGCCCGGACAATTTTCTGTATTTTTAGTAGAGACGGGGTTTCACCGTTTTAGCCGGGATGGTCTCGATCTCCTGACCTCGCGATCCGCCCGCCTCGGCCTCCCAAAGTGCTGGGATTACAGGCGTGAGCCACCGCGCCCAGCCAATAGGAACACTTTTACACTGTTGGTGGGACTGTAAACTAGTTCAACCATTGTGGAAGTCAGTGTGGTGATTCCTCAGGGATCTAGAACTAGAAATACCATTTGACCCAGCCATCCCATTACTGGGTATATACCCAAAGGAATATAAATCTTGCTGCTGTAAAGACACATGCACACGTATGTTTATTGTGGCATTATTCACAATAGCAAAGACTTGGAACCAACCCAAATGTCCAACAATGATAGACTGAATTAAGAAAATGTGGCACATATACACCATGGAATACTATGCAGCCATAAAAAATGATGAGTTCATGTCCTTTGTAGGGACATGGATGAAATTGGAAATCATCATTCTCAGTAAACTATCGCAAGAACAAAAAACCAAACACCACATATTCTCACTCATAGGTGGGAACTGAACAATGAGATCACATGGACACAGGAAGGGGAATATCACACTCTGGGGACTATGGTGGGGTGGGTGGGGGGGAGGGATAGCATTGGGAGATATACCTAACGCTAGATGACGAGTTAGTGGGTGCAGCGCACCAGCATGGCACATGTATACATATGTAACTAACCTGCACAACGTGCACATGTACCCTAAAACTTAAAGTATAATTAAAAAATTATCAACCTTAACTTTCTAATTCTCAGATTTTTGTGTTAAAATCACCCAATGCATTTTGTGTTCACAATATATTTGCTTTTTCAAATATAGAAAAACCCACTTGGCAAATGATTAAGTTCTACTCTGTTTAAAATTCACTGAATAATTTGTCCCAGTCAGAGACATTAGGTTTAGCTATTAAGACTAATTAAAAACTGACTGCCAGTCATAGTTGCTTATTGTCTGTTTTCCATCATAAAAAAGCAATTTCCCCAGCTTGTAGTTCTGGGGTATTTGCCTTAAATACATAGCACTGTGGTTGGTTCTAAGCTGTTGTTCTGTCCTCATACAGTTGACATGAACATTAACACGTCCACCAGTAACACACTGCCCTCACAGTGCAGCCATTCAAATCATGGTGAGGCTTTGTGAGAAGGAATTTAAAAGCATTTTAAAAGGAATATTTGGTTAGCAAACAAATCTCAGGATATGTTGACATATCCCTCCTGTATCTCTTTAGACAGGTTTCTCCCATAAAACCTAATGACTAAATCCCAGGGTCACTGAGTCCTTCAAATGTAACACTGGGATTGGCAAATAGTAGGTTTCAATAAATATTGTCTTGTGAACAAAATAAATGAATGAGCTGTTATATTCCTTATAAACAAACAAACAAAAACCTAAACAAAGCTGGGAGGAAAAATACATAACCACCAGAATTATATCCACTCCCCAAAATATCTTCAGTGTTTTAAAACTGGGATTGAGTAAAAGATAGTGACGAAATATCTCTGCTAGGAAGAATGAAGGTTGAGAAACACTTTAGGGAGAGTATCTTGATTAACATGGCTGGCAGTAAATGATATATCAAGGTGGTCCGATAGCCAGTACTGCTGTTTGCATTTCTATTAGTTGAGATCAGTATGTCATCCATACCTTTAATAAAGCCTATCACACACCAATGCCTTGGATAAGTTACACATGCCTCCAGAAATCTGTAGAAAGTTTGGCTGGCAATTATACTTTACACTTGAAGAGTACTGGAGGCTTGTGCAACTATTTATTTGTGCAAATATTTATTGTCAACTGACGCCTGAATTGTACATGTACAAATCAAATGAACTAATTAATTGCCTATTCAATGGATAATTTATTCTATTTCATACATATTTTTGGCGGAGAAGTCTTCCATGCATAATGGAAACAAAGAAAAATCCTTTATACATATGAATGAAACCACACCCACCTACCCCTAATACGACAAAACAATGAGACCAAATCTTGATTTCTGACATAAGTGTCGAGTTACTATTTGCTTAATAGTCCTCCTATTCCCTGCAGAGGGTAATTTTTTGGAACAGATTCTTGATTAGTTTTTTGATGTTAGGAAGATGAGAATTCACAAAGTAACTGATGACTTCATACACTGTATGCTGTTTCTAGGAATCCTGAAAGCATTTACGAGCAAATGCTCTCCTCAGTTGTCTGGAGGGCATCTGGTTGCCTGTGTTCAAATGTACAAGCACCTACAAGTAGATTACTTCTTATCTGAGAATGAAATTAAACAACAGAGGGTCCTGAGTCCAAAGTAGTGCATCAGCCCAGGTAGAAAAGTGTCCAGTTGATAATGGAATATTGGATATCCTCCTGATGAGGAAGTGCCCTTGCTGCACATTACTCAACTCAGAGGATAAACTCTGTGCCTCTGCTGCCATTTGTCGTTTTTTAAAACACTATCTGGGTGAAGAGAACTTCTCATCCAACTGAACTATAACCACAAGAGCAAAGAAGTTCTTGCCATAGTAGAGCCCATCAGGTCTGTAGGTGGCTTAATTGAGGTAGGTCAGGACCTCTTTGTGGTAATCAGAAAATGAGGCTGATGGTCAGCCATCCTAGGGACATACACTCTTCTACCAAGTTCTCCTTTCGCCTTTCCCCTCTTCCCTGAGTTCACACAGAAATTAATTCCATAAAACTCTGAGCAACATGGATTTGTATTTTTTTCATTCTGCATTAGATTCTAGTTCTCTTAACCCTTCTGTTGGTCTTGCCCATGAAACAGAGAGAGCAAGAATTTCATCCTACTATAATTATTCTGAGTGTCTCCTCCCTCTCTCCTCACCAACCTACCCAGCACTGGCCCTGGAGGACGAGAAACATACCCATGACAGGGCAAGACAAAAGCATTACTTTATTATTCACATATTTTTTCCACACACCTTAAACCTATGTTCAGTATTTGATTTTCTTGTGTTGTTAGAGGAAGGCCTAACGAGCCTAAAAAATAGAAGTACAAATTTTCTTTGATTGGGGAGAGAGCCATGATGGTTAACTAGCCACAGCCAGGAGGAGCTTCTCCCATGAAGAGACCAGATCATCAAGAGACCAACACACACTGAACAGATCTTCGGAAAGAAGGCATCCAGAGTGGATACAGGAGGATGCTGAAACAGGCAGAAGCTGGAAAGCCTGTATGGGGTAGTCGAGCACCAGGACTCCTTTCTGGCCCTGAGTGCTGGTAGGGACGGGATGAGAAACATAGGCATGTAGTGACCCACTCTTGCCACAGACCTTCAGGATCCTACCTGCAGGAGAACCCACAATCCCCATGGGCATTTTAATTGGCAGGGAGAACTGCCCAGAGAGTTGACAGAGACAGAACTCCAGTCTGTGCAAGGCCCAAGGGGTTTGGCATGGGAAAGGCTGCAGTGGAGTATGGCCATGGATGCCCATTACCCCAAAGCTTGCCACACTCCTGTAGGTGACTTTAGCCTTAGTTAGCAGGGAGACCTGGAGAGAGCAGAGCTCTCTTGCCCACGGGACAGGGCAAGTCTGATCTGAATGAGCCCCAGTCTGCCAGCCTCTCCCAGGGTCTCCACCTGGCCTTACCAGCTTGCAGTGCAGTCTCAGCTGTCCTGCCAAAATGCTTGCCAGTGGCTGCTGCCATAGCTCTTTTGCTAGCAACCCCCGCCCTCGGAACACTTTTGCAGATAGATCCTTGCAGGTGTGCACCTGCCTGCAGCCTTCCCCGCCGGCGCGCCTCGCCTCCACCCCCTGGCCTGCAGCCTCTCAACATGAATAGGAAGACCCACCATCGCCCGAGCAGTGCACATGAGCACTGGGGACCCCAGTCATCCCATTGGCATGCACTCACCAGGGCCCTCACTTGCCACCCCATCAGTGGGTGATCCGCTTGTGCACCCTCACACGCAGCCCCCCAGCTGCAGCCAGCACACACGTGCCCCCATGCCACCATGCCGTAGGGCAATCTCCCCCTCAACTACTGCCTGGCCACAGCTCTTTTGCTGGCAGCCCCTGTCAGAGTGTTGTTGCCAGTGAGCTGGGAGCACCTTGGCCCCTCCAGTGCAACAGGTGCTTGACCTCGAAAGGCCAGAAAACAAAGCCAGAGGCTTGGTCCCAGACCCCCAGGGTTACAGCATGTAGGCCAAGAGTGCTGAGCTGAACCTTGGCCCTTTGAAAGCATCTACCAACAAAGGCAATCAACTAAACCAAACTTATATCACATTTAAATCATCAAAGGCATCAAAGAATATGAAAGCAAAAGCCCTGTTGAAAGGATAGCAACTTCAAAGATTAAGGGAACATCAGCCAACGCAGAGAAAGAACCAGGGAAAGAATTCTGGTAACTCTAAAGGCCAGAGTGTCGTCTTACCTACCAGTGACTGAACCAGCTCCCCCAGCAATGGTTCTTAACCTGATTGAAATGGCTAAAATGACAGATAAAGAATTCAGAATCTGATGGCAAGGAAGCTCAATGAGATACTGAAGAAGGTTGAAACACAGTTCAAGGAAAGCAGTAAAATGACTCGAGTTGAAAGATGACACAGCCATTTTAAGAACAAACCAAACTGAACTTCTAGAAATAAAAAATTCAGTAGAAGAATTTCTTTTTTCAAAACTTTTACGTTCAAGGGTACATGTGCAGGTTTGTTATATAGGTAAACTTGAGTCATGGGAATTTATTCTACAAATTATTTTGTCACCAAGGTACTATGCCTAGTACCCAATAGTTAATTCTTTTTGATCCTCTCCCTCTTCACATCCTTCACCCTCCAGTAGGCCCCAGTATCTGTTGTTCCCTTCTCTGTGTCCATGTGTTTTCATCATTTAGCTCCCACTTATAGGTGAGAACATGTGGTTTTCTGTTTCTGCATTAGTTTGCTAAGAATAATGGCCTTTAGCTCCATTCATGTTTCTGAAAAGGACATGATCTCATGATCTTATTTTTTATGGCTTTATTTTTTATTGCTGTGTAGAATTCCATGGTGTATATGTTTGATATTTTCATTATCCAGTATACCATTGATGGGCATTTGGGTTGATTCCATGTCTTTGCTATTGGGAATAGTGCTGCAGTGAACATACACATGTGTTTTTATGGTAGAACAATTTATATACCTTTGGGTATATACCCAGTAGTAGGATTAATGGGTTGAATGGTTGTCCTGTTTTTAGCTCTTTGAGGAATCACCACACTGCTTTCCACAATGGTTGAACTAATTTACACTCCCACCAACAGTGCATAAGCATTCCCTTTTCTCCACAACCTCGCCAGCATCTGTTCTTTTTTGACTTTTTAATACTAGCCATTTAGACTGATGGGAGATGGCATCCCATTGTGGTTTTGACTTGCATTTCCCTAAAGATCAGTGATACTGGGCTTTTATTTCACATGCTTCTTGGCCACCTGTATATCTTCTTTTGAGAAGTGTCTGTTCATGTCTTTTGCCCACTTTTTAATGGTTTTTATTTTCTTGTAGATTTGTTTAGCACAGAAGAAAATATCTGCAAAGCATACATCTGACAAAAGTCATTCTATGAGGCCAGTGTCATCCTGATAACAAAACCTGGCAGAGATACAATATATTCCTGATGAAACTAGCAGGCCAATATTCCTGATAAAAATAGATGAAAAAAATCCTCAACAAAATGCTAGCAAACTTAATCCAGCAGCACATCAAAGAGCTAATCCCCTATAAGCAAGTTCGCTTTATGTTCCTGGGATGCAAGGCTGGTTCAACCTACACAGATCAATAAATGTGATTCATCTCTTTAACAGAACTAAAAGCAAAGACCATGTAACCATCTCAATAGAGACAGAAAAGGCTTTTGACATAATTCAGCATCCTTTTATACTAAAAACACTCAATAAACTAGGTATTGAAGGATTATACCTCAAAATAATAAGAACTGTCTATGAGAAACTAACAGCCAACATCATACTAAATGGGCAAAAGCTAGAAGCATTCCTTTTGAGAACTGAAACAAAGCAAGGCTGTCCACTTTTACCACTCTTACTCTGCATAGTATTGGAAGTCCTAGCCAGAGCGTCAAGCAAGAGAAAGAAATAAAAGGCATCCAAATGGGCAGAGAGGAAGTTAAACTATCCCTATTTTCAAATGACATGTTTCTATACCTAGAAAATCCCATAGTCTTTGCCTATAGGCTCCTAGATCTGATAAACAATTTCAGCGAAAATTTAAGACAAATTGATATACAAAAATCAGTAGCATTTCTACATATCAATAACATCCAAGTTGAGAGCCACATCAAGAAGTCAGTCCCAATCAAAATAGTTACAAAAAGAATAAAATACCTAGGATTACAGTTAACGGTGCAGGTGAATGATCTCTACAATGAGAATTACAAAGCACTGTTGAAAGAAATCAGAGAGGACACAAACAAATGGGAAAACATTTCATGCCCGTGGATAGGAAGAATCAATTTTGTTAAAATAACCACACTGCCCAAAGCAATTCAGAGATTCAACATTATTCCTATCAAACTACCAACATCTTCTCAGAATTAGGGAAACTATTCTAAAATTCATATAAAACAAACAAAAAAGAATGCAAAGAGCCAAAGCGTTCCTAAACAAAAATAACAAAACCAGAGGCATCACATCACCTGATTTCAAACTATACTATAAGGCTACTGTAAGCAAAGCAGCATTTTACTGGTACAAATAGACAAATGGAACAGGTTAGAGAAACCAGAAACAAAGCCACACACCTACAACCATCTGATCTTTGACAAAGTCAACAATAACAAGGAGTGGGCAAAAGACTCCTTATTCAATACACAGTGCTGGGCTAACTGGCTAACCATACCCAGTAGATTGAAACTGGACCTCTTCCTTTCATCATACACAAAAATCAATTCAAAATAAATTAAAAACTTAAGCATAATATTATAACTAAAACTATAAAAATCCTAGAATAAAACCTAGGAAATACCATTCTGGACAAAGGCCTTGGGAAATATTTCATGATGAAATCTCCAAAAGCCGTTGCAACAAAACAAAAATATACAAGTAGGAACTCATTAAACTAAAGACCTTTGGCACAGCAAAAGAAGCTATCAATAGACTGAATAGACAACATACAGAATGGGAGTGAATACTTCCAAACTATGGACCTGACAAATGTCTAATATCCAGAATCTATAAACAGTTTAAATCAACATGTAAAACACATAACTCCATTAAAAATGGGCAAAGGACATAAAGATATCCTTCTCAAAAGAAGACATATACGTGGCCAACAAGCATATAAAGGAATGCTCAGCATTATTAATCATTAGAGAAATGCAAATGAAAACCTCAATGAGATATCATCTCATACCAGTGAGAAATGACTATTACTAAAAAGTAAAAAAATTACAGATGCTGGTGAGGTTGCAGAGAAAATGGAACACTTATACTCTGTTGGTGGGAATGTAAATTAGTTCAGCCACTGTGGAAAGAAGTTTGGATATTTCTCACATAACTTAGAGCTACCCATTGACCCCAAAATCCTATTACTATATACCCAAAGGAGTATAAATCATTCTACCAAAAAGACACATACGCTTGTATGTTCATTGCAGCAGTATTCACAATAGCAAAGACATGAAATCAAGGTGCCCTTCAGCAGTGGACTGGTTAAAGAAAATGTGGTACATATATACCATGGAATACTATGTAGCCATAAAAAGAACAAAATCATGTCCTTTGCAGCTACATGGATGCGGCTTGAGGCCATTATCCTAGGTGAATTAATGCATGAACAGAAAACCAAAACCACCTCTTTTCACATATAAGGGGGAGTAAAACTTTGAATACACATGGACACAAAGATAGGAACAGCAGACACTCAGGCCTACTTGAAGGGGCATTGTGGGAAGAGTATGGGGTTCAAAAAACTACCTTTGGGGTACTATGCTGTATTAATTCATTTTCACATTGCTGTAAAGAAATAATGGTTCTGCAGGCTTACGGGAAGCATGATGCTGGCATAGGCTCGGCTTCTGGGAAGGCCTCAGGAAACTTAAAATCACTGTGGAAGGTGAAGATGGAGCAGGCACATCTGATGTCCAGAGGAGGACTAATAGAGAAGTAGGCAGTGCCATACATTTTTAAACAACCAGACTTCATGAGAACTCACTCACTATCATGAGAACAACATCAAGAAGATGGTTCTAAACTATGCATGAGAAATCTGTCCCCATGATCCAGTCACCTCCCACCAAGCCCCACCTTCAGCAATGGGGATTATATTTCAACCTGAGATTTGGGCAGGAAATGTCATATGCTCACTACCTGGGTGATGAAATAATTTGTCCACCAAACCCCGGTGACATGCAATTTACTCATGTAACAAACCTGCACATGTACTGCCTGAAATTAAAAGTTGAGCAAAGAAAAAGTAACCAAAGAATTCAAAAACAAAGTTTGATTTTTACCTTTATTTTAGACCAAAATTCAAGTATTTTTGCTGTTTCAATAGCGGAAAATGTTGAGTTCAAAAAAGATTATGTTAAATAAAAAGAAGTTAAAGAGTTTTTAACCCAAGGTCAAAAAAACAAAAACAGGGCTTAGCTTAGACCTTTTTAGGATTAGAGCTGCAGGAGTGGCCCTACATTTTTCTTATGGCATCTGTCTCATGAGGGAGGGAAAAATATAAATGTGCATTTTCCATTAGAACCTGAAAATCAGTAGCTCTTTTAATTAATGCTGAAAAAAGGAAGGTGAAATTAAGGTACAAAGGAGCCAGAGGCTTTTTGGGAGGCTCATATTTTCTTGTTCCTTGCCCTTTCTATGTTACACCATTGGGTTTCTAAGTAAGGCCTATGGTCAAAAGAATGTATCCCTCGCTGCTTCTGAGGTAGGAATCAGTGAGAGTTTACTTTCATTTGGCGGCTTCCCTAAGCCTTGCCTTTGCATTTATGTATTTGTTGTATATATTTGAAACTAAAATATCAAAGCATTAAAATTATTATTTCATGTTGAAATAGGAGCTTCTAATATGAATCAGAAAAGTTATTATTTAAATTGACTGAAGACCATACTTTAAACCACTAAATATTCTAATAATTTTCCATTGGAAATCATACTAAGTTATGCTATCCAAACATTCTTCTAAAAGCAATCTATTTAGTGGGCCAGGACACATATATTATTGGTGTCTTATTGTACCTGTAGACATTTTTGAAAAAAATCTGAATCCCAAGTACTTACATTATCTCATTTTTAAAATAGCTCCCTCTTTCTGACTCTCTCTCTTGTTGGTATTTCCTCAATACAAAGAGAAAAAACCTCTAGATAACAATATGCTTTGCTACTACGTGGTTTCTGGATGAGTTTCCATGGTGAGTTAAGTTAGACTACCTAGTGCATCTCTCTCTCTCTCTTTCTCTCTTTCTCTTTCTCTTTTTCTCTTTCTCTCTTTCTCTTTCTCTCTCTCTCTCCCCCCTTCTTTCTCCCCCAATCCCTCGCTCTCTTTTGATCTACAAGTAGATCTAAACTTAGTATGACAGCACCAAAATTAGCACCAAGGAATTTCTTACTATATCCTACCTCTGGTATCAAGGGAAGCGTATGAGAAGGTCTGAAAGAATTATTTTCTGGTATCTAAACCATAAGTGCTCTAGTCTGTCTATCCTAGGCTTTTTTTTTTTGCAACTGGAAATCCTAGACTGACTTAATTTCTAACATCTCTTAACATGTCATTTTGTGGAAGACAGTTAAAATCTCAAGAAGGAAAGAGAAATAGAAATTGTGCCCCTACCACAATTCCCCCTTTCCCCCAAAATTCTATGAGTCAGATATTTCAGATATTGAACATTGTTTTCTGTTGGTAAGGATTGAGTGGTGGGCAGATAAAAGAAGTAAAGAAGAATCTGGAGATTTTCCTAAATGGCAATATCTATCAGTTTACCTGGATCACATTTGTTCATACATTTTATGGTGAGTTCTAATAGTTAAGCTGATTTCACTTTGTGAAGTTAAAGCAATGTATGAGTGTTTGAGAATGACAGTGGTGGGGAAAGCAAAGGCAGCAATGGTAATGTTAAATGATGCCAATTTGACCGTCAGGCCATATTTATACCGGTTGGGTGCTGCACTGACACTAGAGAGAGATTAGTGTTGAATGTCAACTGGACCACATATTATCTGTGTTAGGCTGAAGAATTAACTTAATTCTCTGTGTCTTAGAGGATTTGTATGAATATTAAGTGAATTAATACACACAAATAATTTATAATAGTACTTGATACATTTTAGGACTAAGTTTGTTAATTATTATATTAGTAATATTCATTATTATAGAAAATAATTCCTAGCTTAAATTAGTCTTCCTCTGTAAAACTTGTCTAATTACTCAATTGCCCCCAATATTTATCTTTCTAAGAATACTGTTGGTATTTAGTGAATGTACTATTCATTTGGAACTCCTTGTTTTGTGTTATAAGTTTTGCATCACCATCTCCTGGCCTACTTTTCCCGCAGCACACAATCTATCTTATACTTTGATGATGATGATGACGATGCTACTGATGAGAGCCTATGGCCAAAATAACAGATTCTAAAGCCAAGTGTGAAAGTCATATTTTGATGTGGTGAAACATGCGGAAAATGGCTCGGCGGATTTCCTTTGTCTTGGCGCTATAAATGAGAGGGTTGAGCACAGGAGGCACAAATAGGTACACATTTGACATGAGGACATGTATGTAGCATGGGACATGCTTCCCAAAGCGGTGCACTGTGGAGACCCCAATCATTGGCACATAAAATGCAAGTACAGCCAGGATATGTGACACACATGTGTTGAGAGCTTTGAGGCGTTCCTCACGGGAAGCAGTGGCCATGACAGAACGCAGAATGAGCACATAGGAGAGGAAGATAAAAAACAGGTCCATGCCAAAGGTGGATACAAGAACAAAGAGTCCATAGATGCTGTTGATACTGATATCAGCACAGGCAAGCCTCATCATGTCTGGGTGCAGGCAGTAGGAGTGAGAAAGAACATTGGATCTGCAGATAGGCAGCCTCTTAATAAGAAAGGGAAGAGGGAAAAGGGTGATGAAGCTTCGAGCAGCTGCACCTAAACCCATTGCAGCAATGACTTCAGTGGTGAGCACAGTTGCATAGCGCAAGGGGTCACAAATGGCCACATAGCGGTCAAAACTCATGGCCAGCAGAATACCTGATTCCATCATGGAGAAGAAGTGAATAAGAAACATCTGAATTAGACAGGCATCAAAAGTGATGTTGCGGGCATTGAGGCAGAAGGTTCGGAGTACAGTGGGCAGTGTGGCCATGGATATGGCCACATCACTGAAGGACAACATGGACAGGAAGTAGTACATGGGCTCATGGAGGCTGGGCTCCACTCGCACAGCCTGCAGGATCACTGTATTTCCCCCAAGGGCCACAGCATACATCACGCAGAGGGGCCCTGACAGCCAGGAGTGAGAGCTCTCCAGACCAGGGATACCAGTCAGGAGGAAGAATGCAGGGTGAGTGACATTGAACAACCCCATAGCAAAACAAACTTAGGGTACTTTTCAGAGTCAGATCTTCTGACTTGGAGAATTCTAACAGTTGCACTTGCTGGAGGACAAGAAATCAGGAGATAAGAGACAAAGCGATGATGTTGACATAAATGGAAACTGACGCATTCATGAAATCACTGCTTTTGAGATGATGCAGGCAAACTCCTTTTCTTCATATTTTATGATGATCAGCCTGCAGGCTGAGCTAATATTTCCCTCTATTTTATGAACAAGGAAGACATTGACAAATACTTCAATAATAGAAATTAGTTAAAAGGAAAATGTTTAAACTACATTTCTACAACTTGCATATATTTTGGAGGCATGATTCAATAGAAATATGCTAACTACAATTCATAGCCACAAGAGAAGAAAGTCAGGAGTTTGTGTTATCAGTAGCACTTGGAAATATTTAAATATTTTCTTGAAAATGTTGCTTAATTCATATGTATCACAAATTAATGAGAGACTTTCCCAGAGCAAGTTTTGTATCATGTTGTGTGCTTGGATGGAGAGGGAAAAGGACAGTGGGCTGTGGAGGTAATTGACTGCCTCCAGAGGCAGTCATGAGCTTTTCATTGGCAGAATTACTGCAAAAAAGCAACAACAGAAATAACATATTTTTGTGCAAAGGCACAAGGCTGTATCTGTTTCTGGAAAAATTATGTATTTGTCCCTAAATATTCTATAGGTACACTAGCATTCGGTGTGGGAGAGCATTGTTCCAAATACAAACTTACATACCATCACATGGTTAGATGTACTCTCAAAATACCCATTAGTCACAAGGACACATTAATGTACCTTCACAACAGGTAGTAAGAAAGCTCATTCATAGTCTAAGAAGACGCTCATTCACATACTCTCTCCATATCTCCATATCTCGTAAAGTCGCTCTTGTTGTGCAAATATATTCAAACAGTCCCTGTTGATTTTTTTTTTTTTTTTTTTTTTTTTTTTTTTTTTTTTTTTGAGACAGAGTCTCTCTCTTTTGCCCAGGCTGGAGTGCAGTGGTGCAATCTCGGCTCACTGCAACTCCACCTCCCGGGTTCACGCCATTCTTCTGCCTCAGCCTCCCGAGTAGTTGGGACTACAGGCTCCCGCCACCATGCCCGGCTAATTTTTTTTGTAGTTTTAGTAGAGACGGGGTTTCACCGTGTTAGCCAGGATGATCTCGATCTCCTGACCTCGTGATCCGCCTGCCTTGGCCTCCCAAAGTGCTGGGATTACAGGCGTGAGCCACCGTGCCCGGCCCCTCTTGATCTTTATACCATTTAACATGTAGATCTTGTCCTCATACTCTCAGTCTGCACTGACATATATGCAGGATTTATACATGTATACACACTCATAGACACATAGATTTGTATACTCACACAACACTTCTATCTACATGCTTGGGGACTGCCCACTGATATTAATCTACTAACCCACACAGGCACTTTTTAAACCCTTAATGGCTTGTATTTATTTACCATTTTTCTTATGCTGGCATTCACATATTATTTCTTACAGCCATTTCTCTGTCACAGTGATTGTATTGTTTATTCTGTTTTTGACACACTTTTGTGTTCATTGCCTCATCGTGGATGAGGATACAGAAGGCTAGAAGGCTTTTCACTAAGCAGACATTTCAAGCTAATAGGTCACCCTCATTTTAGAGAAGGACCCCAGAATTACATACCGCTGTTTTTCCTTTCTCTTTCCTCTCCAACCTCTAACAAAGCAAGACCGGACCATGCTCTCAGAGTTCTTTCTGATGGGAATGAAGGAGAAAGGGGACCCAGGAACATATGAGGTATCTAAAAGTAACAGAGGTTGTGGAATGGGGTGCAATGAAGCATTGTCACCCCAGGAAGCATTTTTAAAATATCCCCAGCAATACATAACTCACAGGTACTATGGTTTCCAGCAAGGCAGTGGCTGTCCCTCCGTGTTGTACTGAATATGTCCCTTCTGGTCTTAGAGCTCAGTCTGCATATGCTTGTGTCTCTTCAAGAACTCTGATTACTTGGGATCCAGAACTGATGTTTGTCTCTTATTTCTCCCATTTGACTACACTCTCATTCTTCATATAAAGTCTTGTAGAAAGTAATCACAGTACATAGAAGAGAACCAAGCCAATGTAAAAGTAACAGAAAGAGAAGGGAGAAGAAAACAGGCTGAAAGCAGGATTTTGTTCAGGGCAAGGCCAAAGCCATTCTGGGTCTGGGGACTTATGCTTTAGTATTTGTAGAAGAAAGACTGCCTGACTGTTCCAGAATTATATCCCTTCCCTTACCTTGGGGATTGCTAATTTTGTGGGTTGTCTGGACAGATAGGAATAAAGTAATACTGAGAAAGAAAATGAATACTTATTGAACGCATGTGATATGTCAGCTGCTCTGCAAGGAACTTTACATTTATTTTCTCGTTTAATACTTAACAGATATGGACACTGAGAGCCAGTGAGATGAGCTTTCCTCACAGTTTATGGAGACCAGGTGATAAAACATTAATTTAAAGACTTTTAAGACTCTCTTCTCTCTTTTTCTTTTTTTTTTACTTTAAGTTCTGGGATACATGTGCAGAGCATGCAGGTCATGTCCTTTGCAGGGACATGGATGAGGCTGGAAGCCATCATCCTCAGCAAATTAACACAGGAACAGAAAACCAAACACCGCATGCTCTCACTCATAAGCGGGAGTTGAACAGTGACTCTCTTCTCTCTTACCAAGGTCTTCGAAGTATCATTAAGGCATTGGAGAGTAAGTTTAAAAGGAAAATAGAGGAATGCATTTCTGAACAAAGATTTCACAGGTACCCCTAAACAAAGTGAGTGGTTAAAGGCAGATACATAAGAAAAAATTACACAAAAGTACCTGTCTCCAAGGCTGAACACAAATTCTCCTATTCCTGGAACTAGAACCTTGAGATTTCTGAAACCATATAGGAACCAGGTGGTTTAGAAGAAAGGACCCCGAGGGTGTCAGGAGTCCTGACCCTGGCTCTGGAAGGTACTGGCTATATAAGCGTAGAAATATCTATTTCTTTTTTTAGACCTATGTCTTATTTTTATTCATTAATTAATTAATTCATTTATTTATTTGAGACTGAGTCTTGCTCCATCATCCAGGGTGGAGTGCAGTGGTGCAATCTTGGCTCACTGCAACCTCTGTCTCCCAGGTTCAGGTGATTCTTGTGCCCCAGCCTCCCCAGTAGCTGGAATTACAGGCGCCTGCCACCACGCCTGGCTAATTTTTGTATTTTTAATAGAGACAGGGTTTCACCATATTGGCCAGGCTGGTCTCGAACACCTGACCTCAGGTGATCTGACCACCTCAGCCTCCCAAAGTGCTGGGATTACAGGTATGAGCCACCACGCCTGGTGTATGTCTTATTTTTAAGGACATTCTCTGAGATCCTTTATGGCTTTGATGTTCTTTTACTTAATTTTACTTTTTAATCAAGCAAAGAATGCCTGTGAGAGTTTGCTATGGTGCTGTTATGGGGGCAGAAAGAAGGTAGAGGCTGGAGGAATGTACAGAAAGGCTGTCTAAAGACCACAGTTTTCAATCTGTATCATGGATAATAAAGAATGAAAATTATCAGCTATTCATTGTTCATCTACAGTTTAGCTGATTTCTCCTTTTAATATCCTGGAGATTTTTACGTATTTTGTTATCACTGAATTCATAAGGGAAGAGCAAAATTAAACCACATGTGCTTCAGCTGTTTGTCATGGGATAGGTTGTGACCACTTCCCTTCTAGATTCCCGAACCGTTCCTGTATCCTGAGTCCTGCTTCCCTCTCTGAATTTGCAGCAATGTTAATGAGCCACAGAAACTTTGACCTTTGAAACTTGGAGTCACAGAGAAATTGATTATGGCAAGTAAGGACTCAATGAATCGCTTGGGGTTATACAATCAGTACATGGCAGTGCCAGAACAAGAACCCCAAGTCCAGAGATCTTTCCTGCTCCTTTGCTCATTCTACTAAGATGCTTCTATCAGATACCCTCCACCAGTCTCTTCCACTTCCCCTCACCATACCCCTTGCCCAGTCTAATGCTTTCATGGAGCAGGCTTCAGGAGAATCAGCTGGCTTATTCCTATAGAGTTTCAGAACTCACCAGAAGAGAGACTGATGAGACACCCACAGAACAAGTTCTTCCCTGTCTCTGCTGAAGTGAATTCATCCTTGCCACTTTTATGTCTCATGACAGGCCCTGCGGTAGAGGGCAGTGATGCTGACTTTGTGTCTGAAAATTCTTCAGGGAGGTTTTAGTCTCCTGAGGTCCATAATAACTACTGAGAATAAAGCCTGTGCTCTTTTAGCTGAAAAAGAACTTAGCAATCTGTCAGACCAATTCTCTGCTCCACTCAAAACATCTTCTAGTGATAGACAGGCAATCGCTGTAAGAGAGGAGCTCATTACCTCCTAAGAGATTCTGGCTTTATGTGATGATGACCAAGCCCATCAATTGAGGTGCAATCAGAAAGTGACTATTTTTACTCTTCTTGTCTCTTTAAATATATTGAGTGGGGCTGGTTCTTCTTTGTTATTCCTGGATGAAAACTCTGTTCTTTAAATTTTCTGGTCACATTCAGATAATAAAATATCTTCTGGTGAATAACTAGAAGGTTTAATCTAGAATAATAGTCAAACTTTCCAGCATTCAGAGCTACATCCTTTCTTCTTCTTTCATCCTTCATGTGCTAACTCTGGTTTTTGGCTTCTCCTCCCAGAAACAGACAGATGGGGGAATGGAAAGTTCACAATTAATTGGTGCTGCAGTTAGTTGTTGTCATGTTAACTGGGTCTCTTAAATGTATAAAGCTGACTCTTTCTTACAGTTACTTTCATAGGTTATTCTTAGAAGCTTCTTCTCATTTTTTACTTGTTCTCCACTTGGTTTAAGCTAATATATCATTATTCTGTGTGGTTGCTTATAACTCCTTCCACAACCTAGATTGCTCTTGTGGAATCTTGCAGTCTTTTGGATAGGACATAAGACAACACCGTGCCATCTCTCTCTAGCTTGTACCCCATTCAAGAAATGGTCAGGCTTTTACAACAAATGCCCTACCTCAATGCAACAATAGTCTCTCCTTAAATGTTGCTATCAGAGCAGAAAGGTACGTTTATCAGTGTTAATTTATTCATTTAGATTAACATCTACTGGGTGTGGATCATATTAAGTGACTCTGTTGGCTTCACATGGATCAGTCACAATCTAACCTAGGAACAAAAATTAGGGTTCAGTTATGGTCTGGTCAGAATATAAGAAACACACCAGCTCTTTTAATTGAGAAAAATTAATGAATTGTTAACCAAATATTGGCGAACACACAAGACAAAAAGGGAATATGAAGGTATCATTGTAGGCAGCAACTTGAGGACATAGCTTCTAAGCCTAGGACTAGAGGAACAAAGGTAGGAATTTGGCATAATTAAACCTTACAAATTTGAAACAGGAGTGCTGCAAAGCTGAAACTCAGACTTTGAGGAGTGGTCACTGTTTAGGTGATTCTGGGGTCTCAAGAATTCAGAAGAGAGGTTCCCTATGACTAGGACTTACTCTTCTGAGATGGGGGTTGAGGGGAGACTTATCTGGCTAATTCTGAGGTCTTTAAGAGGGCATGGTAAGGCTGGTTCTAGAAGTGTTGGAAAGCTTCAAAATATAACCAACCAAGGCCACTGGAATTGAACCACTAGTACTTGGGTGAAGAAGTGCCACTGGGGAAAGAGCCACAGAAAGGAAGTAGGGTACAAGTTCCTTCTTCCTGCCCCAGCTTCCTAATGCCCCATATTTGTAGATCTTGGGAGCTGGTTGGCAAAGGAGGAATGCAGTTTGCAGAGGCTCAATCCCAATATCACAAAAAATGGTATAGAAGATATGGGATTGAGACTGAGCGGTGATAACATAATAATAAGTACAAAAAAACTGAATATATTTAATCCTGGAAATTATTTATACAGATTTCAAAAGAAATGAGGAACTGACCAGCAGATAGTAACATAGTCCAGAGATTTGTAACAGCAGGAAGCTACTACCACCTATAGACTGGAAAGCCAAAGGTGGGGTTACTAGAACTACAGCCAAAGTGAGCCCAACCAGTGGAAGCTGGAACCATAGAAGAGATGCAGCTCACACTAGAGACTCTGTCTGAGGCAGGGGAGTGGAGTGAGAGATACCTTGCATCTGTCAATGCTTCCCAACCAGCTGTATCCATCATATTCTTCAAGTAATGATTGGATAGGTGTGATATAAAGAGTCACAAAAGAGTCAGGAGTGGACTTGAGGGTAAACAGGCTTAGCCTTGGTACAGAACAGAAGCACATTTTGTTAGCCTCATTCTTATTGTATTATTATCATTGTGAGATACATGATCTCCTAGGGGCTTTCATTTTCATGGTCAGCACCATGCAAAGCATCAACTTGTTGTAGTCCATGAAAGATGAAAGTAATTGATGTTTTAGAGTTCTAGGGAGTAGAGATTCTGTTGTACAAAATGATCTTCTCCCTTAAAGCCAGATGCCCAGATTTCTCTGGGAACTACTTCTGGCAGGTACACTATCAAACACGATTTATATCCCCATATCCCTAAAACCTTACGCACTGAAGTAGGATCAATGCCTCTTTTCTTCACAACACTGTTCAGTTCTGCCATGAAGGCAGTGATCACACTCTATTATAGTTGGCTCTGCATGTTTCTGTGGCATCCACTGGACAGAGAGTCCTGTGGGGGAAGAAATAGATGTCCCTAGAATGGGATATAGGCATGGCAGGGAATGTTTATTTGTTGAACATAAGTAGTTAATCTTTGGCAAAATAGCTTCAACTGAAAAATTTGATTCTTTTCTTTAGTCATATAAAAATATCAATTATGTCAAATACGTAAAATTTATCCCATAACATGCTAAATACTGAGTTGATATAAAAGATGCTTGGGGTTAGTTTAAAGGACATTGATATCACTTGTATTAGTTTGAATTTTCACTGGTGTTTTGAACATGGCATAATAGACTATGTCTTGCTTCATCCTTTTTTCATTAAAAATTTCCCAACATTTTATTATGAAAAATTTCAAACACAGAAAACTTGAAAGAATTTCACAGTGAATACCAGTATACTTATGACCTAAATTCTACCATGAATATTTTATTATCCTTGATTTCTTTTTTTTTTGGGTTACCTCATGAGAGTTATTCTACTTTCTTTTTTTATGTATGTATTTTTATTATACTTTAAGTTCTAGGGTACATGTGCACAAAGTGCAGGTTTGTTACATATGTATACATGTGCCATGTTGGTGTGCTGCACCCATTAACTCATCATTTACATTAGGTGTATCTCCTAATGCTATCCCTCCACTCTCCCCCACCCCACAACAAGCCCCAGTGGCTGATGTTCCCCTTCTTGTGTCCAAATGTTCTCATTGTTCAATTCCCACCTATGAGTGAGAACATGCGGTGTTTGGTTTTTTGTCCTTGGGATAGTTTGCTGAGAATGATGGTTTCCAGCTTCATCCATGTCCCTACAAAGGACATGAACTCAGCATTTTTTATGGCTGCATTTGATTTCTTATTTATCTTCTGATGTATCCATCTTTCTACTAGTTTATCAATACAGCTCACCTTTTGGATGCATTTCAAAGTAAGTTGTAACAACAACACACTTCTCCATAAATAGTTCAGCAGTTATATTATTATTTGTAGTTCAATACATTGTATAGTTCTTTGATTTCTTTCAGACATATACTGCACAAGTCTTACATGCACACTAGATAAGTTTTGATAAATGCATTGGCTTTGTTGTGAAATATGTTTATAACATATTTCTAGATAGGGCTTGGAGGTACATTTAGCCTGTTAGGTGGATTAGTTTTTAAATATTTATGTTCTTTGCAAGGGTAGGTGCTGCGTCTTTATTGGTCTGTATACTATAAGTGCTGATAATAATATCTAGACTAAAATGTTGCTCAAAAATCTGTTTTTATCTGTTTGGTTGGTGGAATAAACTGATTATAATTTTTAGGTTCCATATAGTAATGGAGTAAAAGGAGTGCTTGCATAAGGAATTTGTTACATGGATGCTAGCATGCATTTGTACAAAAAATACATAACACACTTAAATTCCACATATGAATCTGAATAAATATGGAGATCTGAATTTGTTGGATATTTTATTGACTTGTTAATGAGAATGTGAATATGTATCTGCAATATATATTTTTAGCTATTTAAGCAGGGAAATGTATTTAAAACATATTTGATCATTTCTTTAAGTCTCTATTTCATAGTCTTTTTCTAAGTTTTGTCTATAATTTAAATTGGTCTATATAATCAATGTACGAATACATAGATTATAGTGTGTGTTTGATGTGACAATACATACAATTAGTGACTAGAGCACTGGGCAATTGCCTGAGTATATTTGTATTTATCTGTTTGTATGTATGTAAATTTGAATGAGGCAATGTGAATGTTAGTAAATAAATAGTTAAATAGGTCTAAGGGGGTATCTGTGAAGGTCTCAGGAGAGCTATGGCTATTTATGTTTCTGTGCATACATGTATGCAGTGTGTTTACATTCCCTGATCAAAGAAGGATTAACACACTAATAGATATGGATGATTACATCAGGGATAATTGTGCCAAGAAAGATATTCTCCTGGGAGCAATTCTCTTATGGCCCAACTCACTCTTCACTGATACCACCTTCCCAGTTATTTCCATGGTCCCTCCTCCCACCACACACAAGCAAGACTTGGTGTTCTGGAGGGCTCATAAATTTATAAGTCTTAGGAGAATGAGCTGATGCCACTGCCAGCTGTACCCACAGCATAGTATATCCAGCTACAAGGAAAGCATCTTCCATCCAGTGAGTGCTCCCTGCTTCACACTGCCCACCTGACCTCTTTATCTAGATTTTATTCTAAATTTTAACACTTTTGCCAAAATTCCAGGCAGCCTTTAACCCTTATATCTCCCCTTCTAAATGTGAGCCAAATCTGACCCCTTCCAAACTCCAGGATCACAGACACCTGATGCCAGGTTTCCATCTAAATCAAAACCATAATACCAAACCACATATCACTGAGTTAAGGTACTGCTGCATCATTTATAGATTTTTGTCTCAAGGATATTTTATACTTCTTATTTAAAAGCCTACGATTTGAATGTTTGCCTTTGATACCTGACTTTTGTGTGTACAGCTGGAGAAAAGTTACAGAACCAAATGACTGAAGTCATTTAACAATGTAGTTGTCAATCTTAGCTGGATTTTCAGTATTGTGTATGTCAGCATATATGTATGTATATGGGAAAATAATTGGTGGAGATATTATTGTGGTTTTGTTAATGCTGATGCATTTGTGACACTGTGTGTGTATAAACATTTATTCAGGAGAGCTTAAAAATAAGAGAATATTTGAAATATATTGCATAATACCAATGAGTCTTCCTAAGTTGTTGCATGATAGTATTTTGTGTGAGTAGGGGAGTGTTTGATAGTTTGTGTGTATGTGTGGGTATGAGATAGTGCCTATAAATACCGGGTGTGTAAGTATAAGAGTGTAAAAATGTATATTTTTCTGGTACCTTTGAGTGACTGTGTGTGTGTGTGTGCTCATGATATTCTGTGCATTGCTTGTGTCTCTCCACCTTCTTGACCTTCCTTCCAAGATAGGTCACATTTAGGAAGTTTTCATGGACACTCCTGTGGACAAAGCAAAGAAAAAATGTTTTGGGGGTGGTGGTGGGGAATTTTCTCCATGGAGGAAAAGTTTTCAAAGTTGCTTTGTAGACTGATGAAAATCTGGAAAATAGATAAAATATTACTTTCTAGACTACCTCAATTTGCATGCCAGTGGTTACAGACGGGGGTAAACCTATCTTGTGGATGAATTCTTAGAAGAGTCTTTTTATTTCTTCATGACTCAGAGAAAATCTTGCAGCAAAGGTAAAGAAAAAAAAAAAACAGATCTGAACAGGCTAGATCTAAAAAGACCTCTTAGAGACATGGACTTTAAATGTGGGTTTAGGGGAAGAGAGGTTTAGCAAGGAGAGTAGCCCATAAGGAGAAAACACTACTCATTAAATGGATGCTTTGCCTTTTCATTGGGAGGAGAGAGAAACCAAAGGAATAGATGAATCTCTTCTCACTACCTATATATATTTGGGATTATGACTGATATCTCGATATGATCCAGCACCTTGTCACCATCTAATTTCACTCTGTTTATGAGGAGTGGTAGGAATAAAATGGGAACTCTAAAATGAGAAAAATAATAAAAGAGACATTATGCTGAAATTCCAGAATGGAGGTTTAATTTTGAGATATCAAATACCATGAAAATATAGTAGAAGAGCTATTTTAAATAAAGGTTGAGATGAAGTCTCTTATGGTGTGACTTCTCAGTTTGCATCATTCTGACTATTGTTTATTTTGCCTGAAGTTAGGCTGAGGCTGCTTAAAAAAAAGACAGAAAAGATAATTCAGTAAAGAAGGCAGAGAAGGAGAAGCCAAGGAAGAAATACAATTGTGGACAAATAGTACCCTTGAATGGAGAAGGTGGTTCTAAACAGGTGAGTTAAAGACAGTGTTAACTGTAGCAAGAAGATCAAGTGAATTAGGAGAGAGAATGTTTTCATTAGATTCAGAGACAAAGAGGTCACTAGGTGACCATAGAGAAATTTGTTTCAACTCAGAGGAGGGGAGTGTGGAAGCCACGATATAATGAATTGAGCAGTGATAGAAGGTAATGTAAGTAAGATTGAATCCCGACATCGAAGATCTCAGAAACAAGCTGGAGAAGCAGGCAAATAACTAAAAAATAATAATGATAAAATACAAGCTTCTATTTTCAGGTACCTGGAGAGACAATTTTTCAAGAAATTTGGTTAAGAATTGGGAAAGGGTCATAGAGTGGTGGGTAGAGAAGAATGTTATCGCATCTTTATGATGGAATAGTCTTGCACATACTTATTGTCTGAAGGAAAAGAGGCAGAAAGGGAGAGAATGAATATCCACTGGATTAGTGAAAAAGGCTCTGAAGGAGTGACAAGAAATGAAATCCTGAAGGTGGAGAGCCTGTCCTTGGAGAAGGAGAGAAATCTCTTTCTCAGAAAATAGAGGTTAAGAATGAATAAAGGTGTGTATAAGTTTAAAATTTTGGTAATGGTTAAGTAATAATTTTCTCTTTTTTTATTCCCATAAAATACTTTCTTCTTTGGTTTTATCCAGCTGCATACCTGGTTTGATTGTAGAATTTATTAAAGGTTGCAGTTTACTATATGAAGGTGAAAGAGAGATAAAGAGGAGATGAAAATACCAGTTTTAGTGTGGGTGAGTAGTTCAGGAGAAAAGTGAGGAAGAAGAGTTCATAGACCAGAGGAAAATGGGGGAATCATGGAGACTCAAGAGCAAGTGCACGGGCATGAGAAGGTTGGAAGGTAGAAGCCTAGAGTAAGGATATGAAAACAGTAAATTTAGGATTTCAGGGATAGAAAAGTTTTTGGCTATGACAAGTTCAGGGGCAGCCATTGGGATTGGGAGGCTGGGGTGAAGTCTGAGCTACAGGTTATTGAATCTGTAAATTTATAGTAGTAGATGTTCCATCTATGCTATCTACCAAAGACTTTCCAAAGCCTAGGATGCATTTCCTCTTTCTGGTCTACCAGAAGCAATTGTTAATGTTGTCTCCTATTATGCCTTGCTATGTTATGGGCACTCATTTGATCATCAAACCACAGAGTTTCTACTATGGCCTAGATAGTGAGCAGGGCCCTGGTGGTACACAAACGATTAGAACCCGGTTGCTTCCTTAAAGAGATGAGTGTCTTACTGGGAAGGCAGGAATACAGGCAATCATTTTCAATCTATGACCTTTTGTTGGAGACAGGATATCTGAAAGAAAGTGAAGAAGTTTCCCAACACACCCTCTTGGGTCCATTCCCTATCTATATTCTCCCACCATGCTGGGTCTCAATGGCACCCCCTTCCAGCCAGCAACACTCCAGCTGACAGGCATTCCTGGGATACAAACAGGCCTCACCTGGGTTGCCCTGATTTTCTGCATCCTCTACATGATCTCCATTGTAGGTAACCTCAGCATTCTCACTCTGGTGTTTTGGGAGCCTGCTCTGCATCAGCCCATGTACTACTTCCTCTCTATGCTCGCTCTCAATGATCTGGGAGTGTCCTTTTCTACACTTCCCACTGTGATTTCTACTTTCTGCTTCAACTACAACCATGTTGCGTTTAATGCTTGCCTGGTCCAGATGTTCTTCATCCACACTTTCTCCTTCATGGAGTCAGGCATACTGCTGGCCATGAGCTTGGATCGCTTTGTGGCTATTTGTTATCCATTACGCTATGTCACTGTGCTCACTCACAACCGTATATTGGCTATGGGTCTGGGCATCCTTACCAAGAGTTTCACCACTCTCTTCCCTTTCCCTTTTGTGGTGAAACGACTGCCCTTCTGCAAAGGCAATGTTTTGCATCACTCCTACTGTCTCCATCCAGATCTCATGAAAGTAGCATGTGGAGACATCCATGTTAACAACATTTATGGGCTCTTGGTGATCATTTTTACCTATGGTATGGACTCAACTTTCATCCTGCTTTCCTACGCATTGATCCTGAGAGCCATGCTGGTCATCATATCCCAGGAACAGCGGCTCAAGGCACTCAACACCTGCATGTCACACATCTGTGCAGTGCTGGCCTTTTATGTGCCCATAATTGCTGTCTCCATGATTCACCGCTTCTGGAAAAGTGCTCCACCTGTTGTTCATGTCATGATGTCCAATGTCTACCTGTTTGTACCACCCATGCTCAACCCTATCATCTACAGTGTGAAAACCAAGGAGATCCGCAAAGGGATTCTCAAGTTCTTCCATAAATCCCAGGCCTGAGGAAGGCTGAAGGCCCCAAAAGCTCCTTTGGAGGAAGGATTGGGACATGTTAACAACTTAAGGAATGCTAAAGTAAGGATGAAGAGGACCCAGGATCTTGATAGTAGTGAATGTATCACTAATAAAATAATATTTGACTATAAAATGGCATACATATTTATTCAATACTTATGTGAAAATTATTGTGCTAGTTGCTACTAGGCATGTTATAATGGTGAGTATGAAATATTGTCAAGTAACCAGATAGACATGTGAAGAGAAAATATAAAAAAGAGCCATCGGTATCCTGAAAAATTCTTGTTTGACATATACGGGAATAATGAAGTTCAGCAGGGCAAACAGAATTTATCAAAAATAATTCTGCTCCTGCCCAGAGTGAAGGAGATAATAAATATTAAAGAGAGACAAAATATATGGAGGCTTTGTATTTAATGCAAGAGAGAAGATCTACTTTGTTTGTGGTAATAAAAACAGGCTATGTTGAGTGGTTATGAAGTAGCTTGTGAAGGATGAGAGAAGTTAGAATTCTTGATTCAGGATGGCAGGAAGAAAGAAGGGTACTGATTTTGGCAGAGATAATTGCCTGAGAAGAAACACTTAGGCAGAAACGTTTAGAACAGTACTATTCCAAGTATGGTCTACTAAACAATATCATTGACATTTCTGGTAGCTTTATAGAGAAACAGATTCTTAGGCCCCACATAAGTCCTACTGAATGAGAACTGCTTTTGATAAGAACCTTGGGTGATTATACCTTGAGAAGGACAATGTTTCTCTTTTCTGACAGCACTCAGGTATTAGATTGATGCCCATCTGCTGTGCAACAAGAGTAACAAAACTCATGATTAACAAGAGTTTGGAAAAGTGGTTCTCGATATATGATTTCCAGATCAATATCATCAGCTTTGCATCGAAACTTGTTAGAGATGCAAATTCTGAGGACTTTCTTTAGACATCTGAACAAAAAACTATCAGGAGTGAGACCAAGAAGTTTGTGTTTTAATACATTCTGCAAGTTATTTCCATATCTATTAAAGGTTGAGAACTTTTAACCTAGAATATTGGTTACAGATAACTGTTTAGACAAACGGGGAGTTTCCAACTGGGACACTGGGGCACAAGGTCTTGAGAGATTGCTGAAGTAAACTTGTGAATGACTTTTAAAGTGGGAAACTCAGTGTATCACAATTAAGCATATGGTATTGTTGGTGAAGGGAAGTAGAGTAGATTTATAACCTTAATATCTCCATGAGACAGTGCAGGTGGAAGACAGAAATAGCTTCAGAGGAGAATTTGATACACAATTTCCAGCCACCCCACAGTCATAATCCCATATTGTGCTTTCCTTCTTTTCCCTCAATTCCTACCTCCTGTCATGCCAAACTACTTGACATTGAAAATTCAGGCAAACTCCAACTTTAGGGCTCCCATTCAGGCAAATAGAACTGGAAGAGAGAGAGAGAGAGAGAGGACGAGAGAGAGAGAAAGAACAGTTGATTGTCATACTGAGATGGTTAGGCAAGAGAAATTTGTCAATGGAACTTCACTGTACACAAGTCTCCTGATCAGGAAGTCTTCGGAGACTTTTCTGCAAATCTATTAACTCTTTTTCTTTTCTGCAGTCTATTAACTTCTTCCCTCTTTAGATGGGATATGTTTAATCTGGTTGTATTTTTGTTTACCAAGCGTTTACCTGCAGATTGCGTCTATCTCTGCTTTGCTCCATTGTTAAAAGTTTAACTTCCACTCCACAGGATATATTTATTTCTCTATTTAAGCTTTGTTGTGGGGAGGAAAGCTTCAAAATTTCCCCACAAATGACGTTTAATACAATAAGCCCTCGTCTTGAGATTTGCATGGATGTTTTGTTTAGTATTACCATTATCAGAGTGAACAAATATTTAGAGTTTTTCTTGACTTATGCCCTCATTTAATGGAGGCAGAAACTGAGTTTGGAAAAAGACATTTTAAATATCTAAAAAAGAGCAATAGATAATGGCAGTCCAAGCTAAAACTCTGCACTCAGCACAGAGTTGGTCACACCAGTACATGTGAATTAAGGGAATAACCAAACAACTATTTAAATGAATGAAAAAACTGGATCCAGTCTGATGTTTAGATCCAGATCTGAGTTTTAAGCTCGGAATTCAGAGATCTAGACTCTGGGTTCTGAGCACAGAGTTGCACTTTTGAGACTGGATAACTGGGGGGGGGTGTTGCTATGAAGTTTGGAGAATTTGTCTCCAACTTCTTCATTATAAGGAAGGAGTTGAAATTTCATTTTCTCAGTGGAGAGAGAGGGCAGTATCTCCAGGTTTGTTCCCCTTCATGCTGCCTCTAATAACATAGCTAGAGTCATTTTACATCATGACTTCTCAAAGCCCTGCCTCTCCTTGCCAGAGATTTATGCCCAATATGAGGCATCATTTGTTTCCTTCTTTGTCCATGATTCTGTGACCTAACTTACAAGGTCATGATTCATGATTACTCCTGAATTTCATCTCCTGGTTCCCAACGCATAATTTTTGATCCAACCAATCCTATAACAATAATGAAAAGTAGAAGGTGTTCTTCTGCCACTGTTCCTCTGTTCCTTTGATATTTCAGTGCTCCACATGGGGAAGAGAACATTACATCTTCTATTTCCCTCCCTGAACCATCGCACCACTTGATAGAAAAGGGAGAGAGCCTTCCTGCTGTTCCTTCTCTCAATACACCCTCACTCTAAAACTGAGATGAACAAGAAGTAAAATGGATTATTTAATGGGAAGTTCAGGTGTTGGGAAAAAGAATCTGTTTGGGAGACCTGAAATCAAAACCCGCAAGAGAACTTAACGATAACTAGCATGTGTGATAAATTCAATAAAAAGAAACAAACCTATGACTTCCTTCTTCTCATTTGAATCTCAATCCCTTGTAGTTAGGTGCTATCCTTTTTTATAAATCAGGTTCAAAACTAAAGGAATGTTAATCTTCTAAAATCAGGTGGCAAGGCCAGGACTTAAAATTAGGTCTGTATGATTTTGAACCCATGGTCCTTCAGTATCCTGGAATGTTTCTTTTGGAGGAGACCCTTAACTTGTAGTAACTTGGCAGACCATGGGAGTGGGAGTTCAGGAGGGAAGTGTAGGACTAAGTGGATTGAGGCAGTCAGGTCATATCCTCTCTGGCTTAAATCCTGGGGTTGTCTCTGGCCTTCAAGCTCCAGTCTCTGAGATGTGAGCTCTGGAATTTTCCCGTTGGAATCTAAGCTTTAGGTTTTGCCTGAGATCTGAGTTTTAAGCTCAGAATTCAGGGATCTAGACTGTGGGTTCTGAGCACAGAGTTGCACTTTTGAGACTGGATAACTGTGGGGGGTGTTGCTATGAAGTTTGGAGAATTTGTCTCCAACTTCATCATTATAAGGAAGGAGTTGAAATTTCATTTTATCAGTGGAGAGAGGGCAGTATCTCCAGGTGAAGTAGTTTCTTGTTTGCTTTTTCTTATCTTTTTATTCCCAAGGTAAGATCTAACCCTCCTCCTTTCCCCAATACCAGCACAGCATCACACTCAGGCAAAGCAGGACCCCAGGGGCTCTGGCATCTGGGAACAATTCCGCAGAGGCATAAAGGCAGCCTCCTCTCTTGGCTGGTGCCCACCTGAGGTCCATTCTAGAGCCATTGTGAGTTCTGGTCCTCTGCCTCTCAGTCCAACTCACACTTCACAAAGCTCCCTCAAGGTGATCAAGACACTTTGATCAGTCTGTGTCTTTGAGGTATGTATACAATAAGTGTGTTTCTAGCTACAATTCTGCTTGTGCTTCTGTATGTTTCTCTCAGATTCTCTCATCATGCCTCTGTATCTTTGAGTGAATCTCTATCAATGCCTGTGTATGTTTGCATAGTTGTGCACAATTTAAAAATCCTCAAACCTCACTTTTACATAGGTTTTCTATAGAAAGAACAATATTCATTCAAATACCCTCATGGTCTGCCAGCCACTTTCAGATAAAGCTGCCAGAGACTGCTTTAGCAGTGAAAGACACATGGGTGATCACACAGCAGGGGTTGAGAACTTGCCTCTGTTCTGTCCCACACAGATCCACAGACATGAGATTCTGTCACTGAATAGGAGACACCTTGCGAGTCTGGAATCTCAGGCCTGTGAGCAGAAAGAGAGCTGAAAGACCATTAACCTCGATTCAGCAGATGCTGACATTCTCCTTCCAGAACTTTCATGAAGAGTTATCCAGTCTTTGCTTGAACACCTTCACTGCCCAGAAGCTTATTATTTCATTGTGATTTTAGAAAAGTGTTTCTTACATGAACCCCAGACTGTCACCCTGTGATCTCCACCTATGGCTCAGCACCTGTCATACTGATCCCAACCCGTCTCTACTGCAGTCTCCTCTGGTCAAAATGAAGCATCACTCATTCCTTCAGTGTCCTTAATGTGACTTAATTCCCTTTACTTTTTGCGTGTGATGCAGTCAGTTTAACTCCTATTTAGAATAGAGAACCAAAAACTGAAGGTACTTCAGTTACAGCCTAAGTAGTATATTCATCTTTTATTCATTAATGATTTTTTTAGCATATCTTTGTGTCAGAATCATGTCGTGTGTTGAGAAGGACAGGATGAACCAGGCACAAGTCTGATCCTAAAAGAGCTCAAAATCTGACAGGAAGGAGGTATAAATGTAATTTTAATAAAATAGAAAAAGTCTGTACAAAGTATTACAAAGTTACAGATAAGAAAGTTATTGTTTCTGCTAAATAGTGTTAGAAAAAACTACAGATTTGTTTTAAGCTATATATCACACTGCTGATTCATATTACACTGGACTATTGATTGGTCACTCTGACAGGAGGACTTTTGTGGTGCAGAAATTAAAAGTCAGACACTTGGAGAAATAGCTAAAGGGATTTAGGACAGGTTAAGAGAAGAAGGAAAGATTACAGGATATCACCATGGAAACCTCAGATACTATTTATTCAGTTATTTATTCATCCAGTTAAAATATTTATTAAGCATCTGTTAGGTATTTGACCCTGTGCTAGTATGGGTTATCTAGTGATAACAGACAAACAAAAACAGTCAATATCATCCATTCTTCTTAGAATTTATGGTCTGGTAGGGATACAGACATTAGATAATTACACAAGTACATACATGTTTACAAATTAACATAAGTGTTCTGCAAGAAAATAACATATTCCATGAGCAATATTCAGTTAATACTTGATGAAGATTATTATGTCTCTGAGTCTGCAACATTATCTATAATGTAGAGAAAGCACGTTTAAGACCAATGTGAGAAAGCACTTCATATCCATGAGATCTGTCCAGGATAGTGGTTTAGGGATGCGATAAACTCCCCATCACTGGGAATGCTGATGCTGAGCATGGGTGACAATTGTATAAAGATGGACATTCTCTCAGTGGGTACAAGATTGGACTCTTGATTCAGATTCTAGAGAGCCTATTAAGTTTATCACTGAATATATAGCCTTTTGAGATGGGGCTATTTTTCAAAGGTGACTTAACCCCTGTTCCCCACCACCTGACCTCCAGTTTGCGTAGGAGGCTAGAAAAAAAATCTATCTGCCATTCAGTCTTTTTCTCTGCCTGGAAAAATAAAGATAACCGACTTCTCCAGCATCTTCCCATTTTTCTCATTTAGATGTCTTTTGCTTCAGAAGGTTGGCTGCTGGCCTTTATAGGGAAGACCATGGGACTTATAATTGGAAGAACTAGATTCTAGTCCCAGATCAGCCACTTACGGGTTTCAGGCAAGTCACTTGATATGGCTGTTATGAGATTGAAATAAGGCATCTTAGGAGTGAAGAAATTGCCCCTCTGGTTGTCATTTTCCATCCACAGATTGAGTTAATCTTTTGAGCTATGGTCTCCTTGACGTTGCCAATCTTTTCACTGTCCTGCATGTTCCTCTTTTCATGGTCCTTCGAAGTCTTGATTCTTACTTCCTGCTGAAGATGATGCTTTACCAGGGACCAGCATCTTCAGGTGAGGCAGGTCAGGATCTTCAGGAGAGATAATTAGACAGATTCAAAAGAGTCCTGCCAAGCCCTTCTGTCCCTTAAGTGACCCTCTAGAGAGGTGCACTAGCCCCAAAACCTAGGCTACATCTGTGGGCACCACCCTGGAGTGTTATAAGCAAATCCAAGTCAATTCAGAGGAGCTTCAGGATGCTGAGTGGTCTAGTGGATGATGAAACACAAATAAATGTTTAACTTGTAGGTCCAGAGTGGAGTAGGAAAGTTATCTGAAAGTCATGGAGGGAGACAGGGAGAGCTTGCAAATTTCATTTTAGTCTAAAATGCTGTCACTGTAAAGGGGCTGGAATGTTACAAAATGAATCTGGAGTGGTTCTCAACATTGGGTTCATCTGAGGAGCTTTAAAACATTGATAATTAGGTACTACACCCTGAGATTCTACTTTAATCGGTATGGGGTGTTACCTGAGCACTGGGATTTTTAAGTTCTTCAGGTGATTCTGATGCATAGCAAAGGTTGAGAACCGCTGATCAATAAGGTAGACTCAAGATAAATAAATTGGTAAGAGGCACAAGGAAACACATTTCACATGTCAGGAAAGTCATTAATTTTGAGAGAGGACAGAGTTCAGCAGAGCTGGTGCATGAAGAGTGTAGAGAGTAAGAGAATGCAGGACCTAGGATCATTCTCATAATTACATTGCTCTTGTCTCCATAGTCATAGTTCTTTTTTTTTTCATTTTTAGATGTAAGATCTCATTCTGTTGCCTAGGCTGAAGTACAGTGGTGCAATCATAGCTCATTGCAGCCTGGAACTCCTGGACTCAAGTGATTCTTCTGCTTCAGCTTCCCAAGTAACTGGACTACAGGCATGTGCCACCATGCCCAGCTAATTTTTTAATTTTTAATTTTTAGTACAGATGGGGCCTTGCTATGTTGCCCAGGCTGGTATGACTCCTGGAGGTCATAGCTCTTTGTATTCCCTTGACAGTACATTCTCCTGACCATACATTTATTCCAGCAGGGCATTTTTATTAAACTTTTCAGATGTATGAACAATTTCACATCAACACTGGGTAACCAGAGGATAAAGAATTGGTGCAGGATCACTGACTCATACATCAAATCTGTTGAGTGAATGTGTGAACTGGTGATTGGAAGTAATTCAGTTTTTATACCAGTCATGAGCACCCCTTCCTACTTCACTGTTATTGTCTTTAAAAATTGATTTTATAAATTTAATTTGTTATATTACATTAACTATGTTACATTGTATTATATTACATTATATATTATTTCAACCTTCTGACTGGGATTAGCTATTTCTCTCTGATCTCATGGCCACTGAAGGAGTCTTGTATCTCTGTGTCTTTGTTTTCATCTTTGCATATATTCTTGGTTAAATATGGTCTTTTAGAAGCCACTACATCTTTGATAGTTTTCCTAAACTCTGTTTGTTTCTAACTCAGAGGTAACTTGTGTATTAGCATAATTTTCACCTGAAATGTTTATATCCTTCATTGTCCATATTCCTATTTCTCCCTTTTTCAGCTTTTTAAAACCATAGTCTCACTTTCATTCAAAACATTTTTCCCTCTCTGAGGTGGAATGGGGATACATGGAGATGATCTTTACTAGGGGTTCTTCCCTTCTAAGGTTCACGTTGTCAAAGCTAAAACTCAGTTCTTTCTGATGACTCCAACCTAGATCAGACCACAGTTTACTCTCATCTCCATAGTGAAATTGGTAACCTTACTACAAGAGAAGATCATGAATCTAAACTGTAATCTAGGCTCTGCAGAAACTGACTTTTAAGCTGTGGCCTGTTATTCAATTTTTCTCTCTGGGTCCTAGTGTCTCTCTAAGAATAAAATATCTTACTCAATATCCCATGTAATATCTTGCTTATCCTACAAAAAATCTAAAAAGCAAGTGTATTTTAATCCCCAGTTTACAGGTAGAGATACTGAGAAAATTAATGTCACATGTTCAGTAATTTGAAGCTCTGCAAATGGATTCTGAAAGACTTTAGTTCAAAATACTGAATATGTGACATTAATTTTCTCATTTTTTCTTACAACCAGAAAGAATAGTATTATTACATTCATGTCACAAGTTAAAACTCAAACCAAGCCAAACAAAAACAAAATAAAATTTTGGATCAGAGTATAAATAAGTTGAACACATCACACATCTAGTAACTGGCTGAGTATGGATTTTGGCTCAGGTCTGATTTATTTATTCCAAAGTTTCTGCTCTTAATTTTTAAGCTATGCTGTCTTTCACAAGATTGAGCAGTCTGAAATATTGCATGTTCCTGCTCAAATGTGGGAGCTAAAAAAGTTGATATCATGTAGGTAGAGTGTAGAATGATAATCACCAGAGGGTGGAAAGGCATGTGTGTTAAGGATAGGAGAGGCTGGTTAATAGCTATAAACACATAGTTAGATAGAAGGAATTAGTTCTAATGTTTGATAGCAGAGTAGGGTAACTAGAGTTAACAACAATGCATATTTTTCAAAGTAGCTAAAAGAGAGGAATTTGACATGTTCCCAACACATAGAAGTAATAAGCACTCAAGGTGATGAATATCCTAAGTACTTCGACTTGACGATTATACATTTTATGCATGTGACACAATGTCACTTGTATCCCATAAATATGTACAAATATTATGCATCCATAAAAAGTATTTAAAACTTTTTTAAAAACTTAAAAAGATGGAGCAGTCTGAAATATCTCTTTTCCAAGTAACATTTAGGATTCTGGAACTCAGGAGAACAGGAGGAGAGAAGAGGATGTCTGTTATACTTTTATTCAGAATGACGTAGATGACTCCAACTTTCTTGCTTCCTGCCCCATCTCCTTTCTTCAACTTTTCAGGTTGGCCGCTAAGGCAGAAGATCCAACGGTTGGGGACTAACTTCAGTTTTTTTCAAATGGCAGGCGAAGACTGATCTCTGCTGTTGGTGGCATGGGAGCTGAAAGCAATGAAAGTCTTGACCTCCTATCTGTCTTCCTGACTGGCATCCCAGGACTGGAGGCCCAACATGGTTGGCTCTCCATCCCTTTCTTCACCATGTACATTGTGGCCATTGTGGGAAACATCCTAATTATGGCAGCAGTGCAGGAAGACTCTGCCCTACATGAGCCCATGTACTTATTTCTCTCCATGTTGGCTGTCACTGAGGTGGGCGTCTCTGTGTCTACACTGCTACTGTTACAGGCATTCTTTGGTTTGATGCCCACAGAGTTGACTTTGATGGCTGCCTGGCCCAGATGTTCTTCATTCACACCTTCTCCTGCATGGAGTCAGGGGTCCTACTAGCCATGAGCTATGACCGCTTTGTAGCCATCTACAACCTCCTGCGCTATACAGCCATCCTGACCCTGCCCCGTATTATCTGCATGGGTCTGGGCATTACACTGAAGAGTGTGGCACTCATGGCCCCACTTCCAATCCTTTTGAGGCAACTGCCCTATTGCCACACTAATGTCCTCTCACACTCCTACTGCCTCCACTCAGATCTGATCCAGCTGCCTTGTGCAGATACTAAACTCAACAGCATCCTGGGCTTAGCCATTGTTCTCGCAAATTTCGGGCTGGACTCATTGCTTATCGTGGTCTCTTATGTCTTGATTCTTTATACAGTGATGGGCATTGCTTCTGGAGAGGGACGGTGGAAGGCTCTCAACACATGTGTGTCACATATTTGTGCAGTGCTTATATATTATGTGCCCATGATTGGGGTGTCTGTGATGCATCGTGCTGCCAAACATGCTTCTCCCATTGTCCACACACTTATGTCTAGCATCTGCCTTTTGGTGCCACCTGTACTTAATCCCATCATCTATAGTGTTAAGACCCAGACAATAAGACAGGGAATTCTCACCTTGTTTTCCTGCAAGAGGGAATTGCTCTGAATCACTGCAAGGAGTCAGGAACTGTCATTAAATTCATAAATTCCGATAATGTTTCTGCTATGGGCAAAGCTCTACATTAGGCATTTTGAGGAGGAATAGGAACAAGGAATTCAAAGTATTGCAACAGGCTTGAATCTGAAATGCAAGAGTTATTCCTAACCCTTTCCATCTCACATTTTATTTGTGTATGTGTGTCTCTGTGTGTGCACATGTACATGACTTTCTCTTCTAACCAGATATGGTGACTTTGGGGCAGAAGTAATGGATTTTCCTTTTCCTCATTTTCTCAAAACTCCTAGCAAAAAAGCCTGACAAATAGTAAGTTAACAGTAAAAACTTGAGACTTAATGAAATTTAAATTTAAATAAAGCAAAATTCTATTTTTATGGGTTAGGTAGGGATTACCTAACCATATCTTCCAATTAAAAAAATATTATCCTAGGAACATGTCTTTGAGTAAGGTGAGCATGCTCTCTGGTTTTCTCCAGATATTCATGGTTTACATCTGTTTTCCTTAGCATTATTATTAATGTTACCTTCTTTTACTCTCAAAAATGTTCTTGATCAAACAATAAATTGTTTATTTTTGTTTACATTTACCTATGAAGCAACTTCTTGTTATGTAAGAAAAGAGACTCTTCCTAAAACTTGCTGTCCAGTGGTCTCACACCCAGAATTTATGTACCGACACTCTGAGAATGAACAGCTGACCAAAAGACCTCAACTGAAGCATGAAATAAAATATGAACAATGTCACAATGCCCAGGCTACAGATTCTAAGAATCTCAGCAAAAGCAGCAAATTCTTCTTTAGTAGAATCCCAGGCTCAATTTTAGATAAACACTTATTGGCAAATAAGTCTGATATCACTGTTCCTGGCTATACCCTTTTTCTATTTCCTCCCTTCCTTTCATGCTTCTGTGGCTTTACCGTGCATGTGGTGCTTTTATTCTTATCTGTTCCCCATCCTGCCCCTTCCTCAGCCCCATAATCATGGGTCTAGTGGGTCCCCTCCCCTCTGCATCTGCCCATGTTTGCCTAGGCTTCCTGCAAACCTTGGTCAAGTGGGAACGACCATCTTCTCATCTCCTAAACACACAGGCCTTTGTATAAAGTGAATTTATGGAACTGTGCTGATTGATCAGTGATTAGTGTCACTGATCATTCGCACTCACTTTGGGGCCTCCAATTACAATGAAAATATTGTCCTCACCACATATTATTCTCCTTGACTCATCCAGCTTACAAGGGTTGTCTTTGTAAGGTTGTCTGTGACTTTTTTGAAATACTTAGTGTGTTTGTAGTCACTGATTGGTTCTTCCAGCCCACTGCACAGACTGAGACCCTGGTATTGCGGTGAAGAATTTATTGACACTAGCCACACAGGAGATGGAGTTATTACTCAAACCAGTCTCCCCAAACTCTCAAAGGCTGGGGTTTTTCAAGGGTAGTTTGGTGGGCAGGGGACTAGGGAATAGGTGCTGCTATTGATTGGCTGGGGATACAATAATAAGAATGTGGAAAATGGTAGTCATGTGCTGAGTCTGGCTCTGTGTGTGGTGGGTGCAGAGGACCAGCTGAGTCATGAGTTACAAGTCTGGATGGGGTCAGTCTGAAAAACATCTCAAAACACCAATCTTAAGTTCTACAGTAGCAATGTTAACTATAGGACCAATTGGAGCAGTCACAAATCTTGTGACCTCTGGCCACATCACTTTGAAGCAGTAAGGGACAGTAAAAACTATACCTACATTTTAGCAGAATTCAGGCCCCTCTCTTATTTCTAATCCTGTAGTCTTTCATTAGCCTTACAAAGGTAGTTTCAGCCTCTGAACAAGGAGGTGATTAGTTTGGGGGAGGGACTATGATGGTCCTTGTTTCTAAGTTAAACTATAAACTAAATTCTCTTATGGTTAGCTTGGCCTATGCCCAGAAATGAGTGAAGACAGCCAGGCTGTGAGGCTAGAAGCAAGATGGTGTCAATCATGTTAGATTTCTCTCACTGTCATAATCTTTGCAAAGGTGGTTTCATATTTACAACAGTAGTCATCCAATTTTTGTTTATGTACTTTCTAATATAAAAAGCTAAAACATATCTATATATAAGCATGGATCATTTTACATGCTTCACTTTATTGTGCCTCATAGATGTCGCATTTTTTACAAATTGAAGGTTTGTAATAACCCTATGTTGAGCAAGTCTATCTGCGCCATCTTTTCAGCAGCATATGCTCATTTTGTTAGCATTTTTAAACAATAAAGTATTTTTAATGTATGTACATTTTTAGATATCATGCTACTGAACATTTAACAGACTATATTATAGTGTAAACATAACTTTTATGTGCACTGGGAAATTTTAAGTATGACTCTTTTTTTTGCAATATTCACTTTATTGTGGCAGTCTGGAACTGTACCCATATTATCTCCAAGGTACGCCTATATCTTCTCAAGAATATTCAGATTGATATTTAATTTTTTTATGATAAATTTACTTGTTGAGCATGTCTTTTGGGATATATATAGAGTATTATAAATATACTTAGTTTAAAGTAAATTGTTGTATCACATCTTTAAATATCCAAGAAAATCTAAACACATAATGTTTTGATACCTGACATCATGAATTTAAGAATACATGAACATGTTCTTTAACAGTCAGATATTTTACATCAGTACCTTTTTCCTCTAACTGAAAATTTTATTTTACCTCCATCAAAAAGTTTTGACCATGCACTGTATATTTATATTTAAAACTATTTTAATATTCACCATATCATAATTCTTTGCAATAAAAATGTACATAATTTAAATTTGATGTTTAAAAATAGTTGAAGTTGTTTTTATTTTCTAATATCATTCCCGTATGAAATATAATGGTAGAAAAACATTTTAATTACCAGAAGTTTTAGGTTTATTTTTCTCATCAAAAATCTAAATTTTGAGCTTCAGTATTTTCTATGCTGGTTTTATTTGTCAGATAAGTTAAAATTATTTCCAAAGATATTCAGTTTTATGTTAATTCATGTGTTTGTTCCTACTGGATTGTCGTCACTTCTAGGTGCTCCTAGCTTACAGAGCAAAAAAAATATGTCAGCATACTAAACTGTGCATATACAAAATCTATAAATATTTCTGTGTTTATCTGCATCTATATTAGGCTAAACTGACATCACACTGATGTCTTCAACTCTAATTCATGGTTCATTCAAGGCTTTTCCCCTTGTGTCTGTAACCTTCTACTCTAACTCTGAAAAACCTGGCTCACGCCATCTGTCATTCACTTCACTTACCTAACTGTTCAATTTCAGCACACATGTGTAGGGGCAGGGAGAACGCCTCACTTTCATTCTCTGTGAAGATTCACTGGAATGACTGACAACAGACAGATTAATAGGATAAAAGGCATATGAATTTATTAATGTGCATATGCGTGGGAGCCACATAAAATATGAAACTCAAAAGAAAGGTTGGACGGTCGGTATATACCATCTTCATAGGGGAGAAGGAGAAGGGGAAATGTAAGCAATTGTGAGGGGTAGTAAATAATTTCCAGGGGAAATGAATAACTCAAAAGAACAATGGACTAGGACAAAGTTCCTCTGTGCTTTGGGGGAGGTGATGGGAAGGTGAGTAGTGGAACTTCACTGTGAACAAATGTTGTCTCATCGTGCAGATAATGTCTCCCAGGTAATCTCTCAAAGCTGTCTTCAGAAGAATAGATGGAAAGTTTATCTGGATGTGATGACAACTGACTTTAGTCTCTTTTCTCCTGTGGTTAATCTTTCCTGGTTATTTGGTAAGAGTCCTAGAAAAGGAGTTTTAAGATAATTGCATTTTTTTCTGGAGGTACTTTCTGTAATCAGATGAGGGAACTTCAGATAAGAAAGGGGATGAGAAAAACAGGGAGACAGAGAGAGACCTTGGTTTTGAGGCTTATTTATAAGGACTTTCAGTTTTGTTTAATTTAAAGCACTCAACATGCCAAAAAACTATACTGTAGGGGCTTTTTTGTGCCCTAACACATGTATTAGGGCGGTGTTAATCCACACCGCCATGAGAAACTGATTCATTAAGTAGGGTAGAGTACATACTATACTTCTTTTTGCCTTTAGTCTAACAGATTTCACCTATTTCCAAAGTTACTTAGGTCAGCAACTCCCCCCTTCCCCGGAATTATTTCAGTGTGGTTGTTTCATATATTTAATAACTATAAGAGAGTTAGATTTTTCTGGTCACATTGTGCATTTCATCCTGTAATCCTATAATGTCTTAAATAATTTTTAAATTTTGTTTCCATTAAACTTCATCCTGTAATGCTGTAAATTCCATAGATTTTGGTAAGTGCATAGTGTTATGTGTGCACCATAACAATATGATAGAATGATTCCACCACCCTAAAAAATAAAATCCTCGAGCTTCACCTATTCAACACTTCACTTTCCCCAAAACCTTGACTACCATTGATTGACATACTCACTATAGTTTTGCCTTTTCCAGGATTCTATTTAAATACAATCATGTATTTTGTTAGCCTTTTAAGACAGGCTTCTTTCACTTAGCAATATGCATTTTGGATTCATTCGCATCTTCGTGCAGCTTGATAGTTCATTCCTCTTTAATTGCCAAATAATATTGCATTGTGTGGATGTATTGCAATTTGATCATCCATTTGTTTACTGAAGGACACCTTGGCAACTTCAAATTTTCTGTCTCTTTTCTTTTTACGCTAATTATTGCAAAATGATTCTTAGGTGTTTGGTTGAAAATTTGTCCCTTCTTCTATAGTAGCAGGCTAGGCTAGCTTCTATTTGAACTAATGGATCCATTTAACATCTCAAAAAATTAATATCCAATCTTATGTCCTCTTAAATAGCTAACTTAAAATAATTTACAGAGGGTCAATAAGATACAAAGAATATTACATTCTTAGAATCATACTCTATATTTTATAATAAACACATTTCTATAACAAAATATGACCAGTATAGTTATTTGCGTTTTAGGTACCCAATAATTTTGCAGACACATTTCCCAATTAAAAAAATTTACAAAAATGAAATCTATTTCAAAATCTAAACATATCATGATGTTTTAAAGTCATAAAGCCCTCCTCCCCTCGCCACACACACATGCAAAGGAAGAAGACAATAAACAGTTTATCTCAAGAAAGGAAACAGAAAAGGGAGAACAACAAATAATGAAGCAGACTACTTGATTTAATCTTCATCTGATTTCTAGTTAAGTTTTGACTTGTTAGTTCATCTCTGACCACAAAATTGCATCGATAGATATCGCTCATCAAGACATTATTTATGGTAGCCTGTGCTCCTCTTTTGAAAAACCAACATAATCCCAAAATTTATTTGCTCCACATGCTGTTCTGGAGCATTAACAAGCCTGTACATTGACAAAAATTTTCTTTTGACCCATATTTCTATCCATGTTCTTGACTTTTTTCAGCATTTGGATTTTCTGGACTTAAATTCTATTGTGAGAATGCACATCTTCCATTTTGCAATTTACGCCAGCAGACCCATGTTTCTATTAAAAAATGCTAACTTTTAGGCTCTAGCAGAGAAAAAATAAAACATGAGGAAAGGATGTAGGAAGAGAAAGAGATTCCTTTGGTATTTGCTTTCTGCCTTTCACTTCTTTTTTTTTTTTTTTTGAGGCGGAGTCTCACTCTGTCGCCCAGGCTGGAGTGCAGTGGCGGGATCTCGGCTCACTGCAAGCTCCGCCTCCCGGGTTCCCGCCATTCTCCTGCCTCAGCCTCCTGAGTAGCTGGGACTATAGGCGCCCGCCACCACGCCCGGCTAATTTTTTCTATTTTTTAGTAGAGATGGGGTTTCACCGTGTTAGCCAGGATGGTCTCCATCTGCTGACGTCGTGATCCACCCGTCTCGGCCTCCCAAAGTGCTGGGATTACAGGCGTGAGCCACCCCGCCAGGCCCTGCCTTTCACTTCTAATGCTACTTACAGAGACAGGAGGCAGCCAGGGGTCCCCAGTGAAACCCTGCCTTCAACCCTAAATAACAGCCTGAAGGCTGAAAAACCAGACTGTTGGTCCTGGATGAAGCCTGCCTTTTCCTGACTGATTCTTTCTGAATAATGCCTACCTGTGTACTGGGAGGATGGAGGGCGGCCTCAGGAACTTCATGCCATTTGCAGAGGGGAAGATCCTGGCCTCTCCTCTTCCTGTGTGGTGACCTGGGATTCAATCTGTGAGTCGGGAAGCCTGGTAGCAGGACTCTTTCATCTTGCTGAAAGGTGTTTTTTTGTTTGTTTGTTTGTTTTTTGTTTGTTTGTTTTGTTTTCCCTTTTCTCTTTTCCCCGAATAACTTTCATTTTCCTCACCCTTCTATGTGTCTACGAGCCTAATCCTTCCTGGTTGTGTGACAAGAGCTCAGTTTTAGCGGAACTAAGGAGAAAGTTCTGTAACACTACCTTCCACTGTGCTCCCACTGCCTATGTTGATTCAAATCTAAGTGGATCCCAATATTGACCACCTGCACCATGAATCCAGCAATCAGAAGCTGTGATCAAATTTATAGTTGTCCCTTCAAACCGATATTGCTGGGAAAGTTTATCTTGTTTCCACAAAATATTTTTTATGATCCTTAAGGTCATATCACTGTACTAGAATATTTGCTCGTGAAAAATTCATGATGCCCAAGGAAATCTGCCTGTAAGAAGCAGAGCTACATTAAGAACATAAAAGTATGAAAAAAGTCTGCTCTGGTCCGGAAAAAAAATGAGTTTTTCTTCCCACAAGAAAGAAGTTTGAATTCTGAATACTGAAAAACTCTAGCAAGGTAGGAACTGTGAAAAGTCTTAAAACCTTACACTAATTTTAGACTTCTTGCATATGTTTATTTTGCTTGCTGAGTGTTTATTAGGTAAATTAAATTACTTGGGTGTTAGGTAAATCTGAATTTACCTAATTCAGATTAGGTAAGTGCTGGTGTTAATTAGGTAAATCTGAATGGCAGAAAAACTTGATGTGTCTATTGTCCCTCAAAATGTTATCATTCCTTTGCAAAGGAAAGTCCAATCACCCGTGAGAGTGACCCAGAACAGAAGATCTAATGTTTACCTAAATGCCTAAATGGAACTGCCTAAGAGAATAGGTGATAGGGGCAACAACAGGATTTCCTTTAAACTTCTGGGAGTTTAAGTTTAAACAAGCCCGTAGGAGAGAAAAATATCCAGAAAGAAAGACAAGCTTCGAGAGAACTTTACTCAATCCATTAAAATCCTCCCGTTGGGATAGCTGCTAAGATGTGCTAGAATTTTATCAACTCAGATCCATATCTCTTTTGCATAGAATCACTGCTGCTAGCTCACCTCAGCCAAAAATTCCATGCTAAAAGCCAGGGACTTGTCATACTGCCTTAATATTATGATGAAGTTTTATTTTATAGTTTCCTAATTCTGAATATATTCCCCCCTTAAGCCTATGACTCATACTTGTCAGTAATTTAAGAAATGCATTCCCTCATCTTGAATGCATATTTTTGAGGGAAAGGAAATTTAACATTCCCCATTGGATCTGCTTGTTCTTTACACTGTAAATGATGGGGTTCATCACCGGGGGTGCCAGCAGGTAGATATTGGCCATGATAACATGGACCAGTGGAGAGGCATGCTTGGCAAAGCGATGAGTCATAGATACACCAACCATGGGAATGTAGAGGACCAGGACAGCTAGAATGTGGGACAGGCAGTTATTGAGGGCACGGAGTCGCTCAGCCCAGGTGGCTGTGCCCAAGATATTTTTCAGAATAAGTGTATAGGAGATCACAATGAGCAGAGGATCCACGATAATAATGAGCAAGGCAAGAGCAAATCCATACCAGCTGTTGAGCCTGATGTCAGCACAGACCAGGCGGATCATATCCTGGTGGAGGCAATAGGAGCGAGAGAGAAGGTGGGAGTGGCAGAAAGGCAGTCGCTTGAGTAAGAAAAGGGAGGGAAGAACCGCCAGAACACAGCAGCAAATGATGGCTAACCCAGTTCTACCAATGACTTCATTGGTGAGGATGGAGGCATAATGGAGGGGACAGCAGATGGCCACATAGCAGTCAACGGACATAGCCAGGAGGACAGAAGACTCCATAAAGGAGAATCCATGAAGGAAGAAAAACTGAGCAAAACAGGCCTCAGAGCTGATTCTACGAACGTTGAACCAGAGAAGCTGCATGACTGTGGGTAGGGTGGTGAGGGTGAGACCCAGGTCCGTCAGGGCCAGCATGGAGAGAAACAGATACATGCGCTGGTGGACAGATGGCTCTGTGCGAATGACAGTGAGGATGGTGGTATTGCCCATGATGGAGATGGTGTAGAGACAGCAGACGGGGATGGAGATCCAGATGTGGGAGGCCTCAAATCCAGGGATGTCCGTGAGGATGAAGTAGATGCCTTCTTGTGTGGTGTTAGTCACCTGGGACATGACTGATGAATGTGTCTTCAGATTCAGGATCTTCACTCAGGGAGAAAAAGAAACATTAGAAATAATATCTCTTTGCCCCATTTAATCCAAATTCTACACAAATAAATGTTCAGAGTTGTTGAGGGTAACTAAAGCAAGATTTAAGAACATTGTGATATATGATATCCTTTCCTTAGCCCAATTCTGCAGACTGCTCCCACACAGCTAATCTTCCCTTGATGACGGAATATATATTAATTCATGGGTAACTCTAATTTTTCCTGCCCCCATTTTCCCACTCCCATTCAGTTTTCAGCACATTTAAATCAGCCTTTCATACAAATCTCACTATCAATACTGTTCTCACAAAGGCTAAAAATGAACTCTATTGTATAAATGTGATGCTTAATATTCAATCTTTATCTTTTTTTGATATAAATCCAGTGTCTTTTTCCAAATATCTCCTTTGACTTTTGTAGCAGCATTCTCACCTATTTCACTAGTTCTAAACCTATTGCTACTTTTTCTTCATCTCCTAATTTTTTCATTCATTAAGGTTTTATTACTGTACTGCAGTCTATTTCTACTCTGTCCTATTCTCATTAGCTAATGTCTTCTGATATTGATTTTATTTCTATGACATAAAAAATAACTGGAAATAAGGGAGGAAACATAGGAAAGAAGAGAAAGAGAGGAAATAGTCAGAAGTCTGTTTAACAGCCCAGGTGAAGACAATCACATTTATTGAGTACTATCTACATTTAGGCACTGCTTTAAGTGGATAACTCGTATTAATTCTTATGTTCTAACAAGTCATGTGCCCTTTTCTTTTTCCTGATGATTCACAGAGGAGTCTTACCTGTGGTTTCTCCTGCCTTGGAGGTACCCTCGTCACCATCTGTGGCTTCTGTTTTCTCAGCTTAGCTCAGAGAGCAGGTGCGGTATAAGCCCCTTGCAGATCTCTAGTCTGGAGGGTGGAAGGTGTGGCAGGTCGCTTCAGGATTACACGGAGGCATCGCATCTTGGGACCTGGGTCCCACAGGGAGCCCAGTAAATCAACTCTGGTGGTGACAGCCTTTGCTGCCCCTGGTGTCCTCACAGAGCAATAAGTTAGAAAGCCATATTGAATCACAGTTTCATTAGCTTGTTGAATGTGATTTGAAACTGCATGCTTAAGCTTGAACTGTACAATCTCTCAAAAATTAGTTCTAAAAGACTTCCTTCTATAAGTACTCCGAAGCTGGGATAGAGTTTACAGGGGCAAGAGAGCTGTAGTTGAAAGAAATATTGTGCATCAATTTCAAGGGGCATTCATCTTAACCTGAGCCTCTGGAAACACTAAGAAAAAAGAAATGTTTATATATATGTACAAGAAATAAGGAAATGAAGACAGAAATCAAAACTGAATTAGAAAAAAAATTATTCAATAGTTAGCTATTTGGTGGTTCATCTCTCAATTCCCACAAAACTAATTTCAAAATGAATTAAGTAACTAAATGAAAATCAGTGACAAAAAATAAAATAGAGAAAATAATATAAGCATTTAAATCTTTCCTTTGTGAAGACTTTGTAAATAGCAGCAATAGACAAGAATCACAGAGAAAGACAAGTAGATATAATCTTTAAAAGTGAAATTTTCTCTGTAGCAAAAAATGGTAAAATTTAAACATTTCAAAAATATTTATAAAAATATGGAAGAGATTACTATCTTAAATATCAAAAATTAAATATATCAATATTTATCAAGAAAAATACAATAGATTAAGAAAAACTATATGACAAAGTTAACAGTAAAAGAAATACAACTACAAAGAAGCATAAAACAATGTTCAACTGCATCCAAAAATGCAATAATGGAAAGTTAAATCGTATAATTGGTGTTTTAAACTTTCAAAATAACAGAGAAATTTTTATGACAACATGCTATGCAAATAAGGAAATGGCAGTGTAGAAACATTCATACTTTCTTAAGTGTAATTTGTATGTTAATTTCTGGAAAATGATTCGATCATAGATGCCACTTTAATTCAGTAAATTTACTTCTGGTAGTAAATGATAAAATAATTTTAAATAAGGATAAAACCTTTTAATGAAAATAGACTTTTATGTAATAACAAAAGAGTAGAAAGAGATAAATGGTTCAAATATTAAAAGGCCTATATATCTATCACCTATCATAACTAAAATAAATATGCAACATTTGTTTTCAAAAGATTATAATTAGAGCTTATGTTTCTATTAAGCACATTGAAATGTAAATAGAAACATAAGCTCTAATTATAATCTTTATATATGTGCTTACATTCTATTGTAATCATATTACAATAGAAATGTGCTTACCTGTGCTGGAACTATGGTAGTTGCTATAAAAATAATTTCAGTTAGTGCTAATAATGACCCTTGGAAAAAGGAGCTATTATCATGCCCATTGTATATAAACTGGGATTTAAAGAGGTTATGTCCCTTGCCAAGGTTTCAGATTTTGAAAAAGAGACAGGAAAAGTATTTGAAGTATCATCGTTTCTCGATGTGAGAGGTTGTTTCCAGGAGCTCTCCTGGATAGCAACATCTGTAGATGTTCATGTTCCATACCTAAAATGGTAGTGTTTGCATGTAGCCTATGCACATACTCCTTTATGCTTAAATAATTTTGAAATCACTCATCATGACTGATACAATATAAATGCTGTGTAAATAATTGATATTCTATATTGTTTAGGGAATAATGACAGGGGAAAATAATCTGTGCATGTTCAGTGTAGATGGAAGTTTTTTTTCCAATACTTTTGACCCAAGATTGGTTGAATCCATGAATGTGGAACCCACAAATACGGAGGACCAACTGTAGTTCTGTTGAATTCCAAAGCCAAAGTACATTACCACTATGTTCTTAAAAGCACTTCTTTTCTCTAGGTGTGCCTGATAACTCCTTATTACCTGAGATGCTAAAGACATTTTCATTCCTGGATATAGATATAAATTGGGCACTATGAGTAAAGCATTAGCTTGTCATCATGATTTTGGGATGTCTGTGACACACAAGTGTGCCCCCAAAAGTCTCATTATGGCAAACATAGAGAAGATAAGAAATCTTACATCATTTCAAAGATAAAGGGGAATATTTTAGACAATTTGAAGGAGAGTGAAGATATATCAAAAGTAAGTCCTCAGATGTCATACTAGGATATAGAATTCATATACCTGCACATGACTCAAAAAATGAGCACATGCCTCAAGAAATAATCAGAAACTGCCCTATTACCGATATCAAGAAACACTCACCAAAGTATACTGTGGTGTCTCAGGAACTTCTAGTGAGACCAGATGATGCTTTTTTTTTTTTTATAATACTTCAAGTTCTGGGGTACATGTGCAGAATGTGCAGCTTTGTTACATAGGTATACACGTGCCATGATGGTTTGCTGCATCTATCAACCCGTCACCTACATTAGGTATTTCTCCTAATGCTATCCCTCCCCTAACCCCCCATCCCCCGATAGGCTCGGGTGTGTGATGCTCCCCTCGCTGTGTCCATGTATTCTCATTGTTCAACTACCAATTATGAATGAGAACATGTGGTGTTTGGTTTTCTGTCCTTGCGATATTTTGCTGAGAATGATGGTTTCCAGCTTCATGCATGTCCCTGCAAGAGACATGAACTCATCCTTTTCATGGCGGCGTAGTATTCCATGGTGTATATGTGCCACATTTTCTTAATCCAGTCGATCACTGATGGACATTTGGATTGGTTCGGTGCTTTTTTTGTTTGTTTGTTTTGTTTTTCTTTTTGTTTTGTTTTGTTTTGTTTTTATTATTATTATACTTTAAGTTTTAGGGTACATGTGCACAATGTGCAGGTTAGTTACATATGTATACATGTGACATGCTGGTGCGCTGCACCCACTAACTCGTCATCTAGCATTAGGTATATCTCCCAATGCTATCCCTACCCCCTCCCCGCACCCCACAACAGTCCCCAGAGTGTGATGTTCCCCTTCCTGTGTCCATGTGTTCTCATTGTTTAATTCCCACCTATGAGTGAGAATATGCGGTGTTTGGTTTTTTGTTCTTGCAATAGTTTACTGAGAATGAGGATTTCCAACTTCATCCATGTCCCTACAAAGGACATGAACTCATCATTTTTTATGGCTGCATAGTATTCCATGGTGTATATGTGCCACATTTTCTTAGTCTATCATTATTGGACATTTGGGTTGGTTCCAAGTTTGCTATTGTGAGTAGTGCCGCAATAAACATACGTGTGCATGTGTCTTTATAGCAGCATGATTTATAGTCCTTTGGGTATATACCCAGTAATGGGATGGCTGGGTCAAATGGTATTTCTAGTTCTAGATCCCTGAGGAATCGCCACAATGGTTGAACTAGTTTACAATCCAACCAACAGTGTAAAAGTGTTCCTATTTCTCCACATCCTCTCCAGCACCTGTTGTTTCCTGACTTTTTAATGATTGCCATTCTAACTGGTGTGAGATGATATCTCATTGTGGTTTTGATTTGCATTCCTCTGATGGCCAGTGATGGTGAACATTTTTTCATGTGTTTTTTGGCTGCATAAATGTCTTCTTTTGAGAAGTGTCTGTTCATGTCCTTCGCCCACTTTTGGATGGGGTTTTTTTTTTCTTGTAAATTTGTTTGAGTTCATTGTAGATTCTGGATATTAGCCCTTTGTCAGATGAGTAGGTTGTGAAAATTTTCTCCCATTTTGTGGGTTGCCTGTTCACTCTGATGGTAGTTTCTTTTGCTGCGCAGAAGATCTTTAGTTTAATTAGATCCCATTTGTCAATTTTGGCTTTTATTGCCATTGCTTTTGGTGTTTTAGACCTGAAGTCCTTGCCCTTGCCTATGTCCTGAATGGTAATGCCTAGGTTTTCTTCTAGGGTTTTTATGGTTTTAGGTCTAACGTTTAAGTCTTTAATCCATCTTGAATTAATTTTTGTATAAGGTGTAAGGAAGGGATCCAGTTTCAGCTTTCTACATATGGCTAGCCAGTTTTCCCAGCACCATTTATTAAATAGGGAATCCTTTCCCATTGCTTGTTTTTGTCAGGTTTGTCAAAGATCAGATAGTTGCAGATATGCGGTGTTATTTCTGAGGGCTCTGTTCTGTTCCATTGATCTATATCTCTGTTTTGGTACCAGTACCATGCTGTTTTGTTTACTGTAGCCTTGTAGTATAGTTTGAAGTCAGGTAGTGTGATGCCTCCAGCTTTGTTCTTTTGGCTTAGGATTGACTTGGCGATGCGGGCTCTTTTTTGGTTCCATATGAACTTTAAAGTAGTTTTTTCCAATTCTGTGAAGAAAGACATTGTTAGCTTGATGGGGATGGCATTGAATCTGTAAATTACCTTGGGCAGTATGGCCATTGTCACAATATTGATTCTTCCTACCCATGAGCATGGAATGTTCTTCCATTTGTTTTTATCCTCTTTTATTTCATTGAGCAGTGGTTTGTAGTTCTCCTTGAAGAGGTCCTTCACATCCCTTGTAAGGTGGATTCCTAGGTATTTTATTCTCTTTGAAGCAATTGTGAATGGGAGTTCACTCATGATTTGGCTCTCTGTTTGTCTATTATTGGTGTATAAGAATGCTTGTGATTTTTGTACATTGATTTTCTATCCTGAGATTTTGCTGAAGTTGCTTATCAGCTTAAGGAGATTTTGGGCTGAGACAATGGGGTTTTCTAGATATACAATCATGTCATCTGCAAACAGGGACAATTTGACTTCCTCTTTTCCTAATTGAATACTCTTTATTTCCTTTTCCTGCCTAATTGCCCTGGCCAGAACTTCCAACACTATGTTGAATAGGGGTGGTGAGAGAGGGCATCCTTGTCTTGTGCCAGTTTTCAAAGGGAATGCTTCCAGTTTTTGCCCATTCAGTATGATATTGGCTGTGGGTTTGTCATAGATAGCTCTTATTATTTTGAGATACGTCCCATCAATACCGAATTTATTGAGAGTTTTTAGCATGAAGGGTTGTTGAATTTTGTCAAAGGCCTTTTCTGCATCTATTGAGATAATCATGTGGTTTTTGTCTTTGGTTCTGTTTATATGCTGGACTACATTTATTGATTTGCATATATTGAACCAGCCTTGCATCCCAGGGATGAAGCCCACTTGATCATGGTGGATAAGCTTTTTGATGTGCTGCTGGATTCGTTTTGCCAGTATTTTATTGAGGATTTTTGCATCAATGTTCATCAAGGATATTGGTCTAAAATTCTCTTTTTTGGTTGTGTCTCTGCCCGGCTTTGGTATCAGGATGATGCTGGCCTCATAAAATGAGTTAGGGAGGATTCCCTCTTTTTCTGTTGATTGGAATAGTTTCAGAAGGAATGGTACCAGTTCCTCCTTGTACCTCTGGTAGAATTCAGCTGTGAATCCATCTGGTTCTGGACTCTTTTCAGTTGGTAATCTATTGATTATTGCCACAATTTCAGCTCCTGTTATTGGTGTATTCAGAGATTCAACTTCTTCCTGGTTTAGTCTTGGCAGAGTGTATGTGTCGAGGAATTTATCCATTTCTTCTAGATTTTCTAGTTTATTTGCATAGAGGTGCTTGTAGTATTCTCTGATGGTGGTTTGTATTTCTGTGGGATCGGTGGTGATATCCCCTTTATCATTTTTCATTGCATCTATTTGATTCTTCTCTCTTTTTTTCTTTATTAGTCTTGCTAGCTGTCTATGAATTTTGTTGATCCTTTCAAGAAACCAGCTCCTGGATTCATTAATTTTTTGAAGGGTTTTTTGTGTCTCTATTTCCTTTAGTTCTGCTCTGATTTTAGTTATTTCTTGCCTTCTGCTAGCTTTTGAATATGTTTGCTCTTGCTTTTCTAGTTCTTTTAATTGTGATGTTAGGGTGTCAATTTTGGATCTTTCCTGCTTTCTCTTGTGGGCATTTAGTGCTATAAATTTCCCTCTACACACTGCTTTGAATGTGTCCCAGAGATTCTGGTATGTTGTGTCTTTGTTCTCGTTGGTTTCAAAGAAAATCTTTATTTCTGCCTTCATTTCGTTTTGTACCCAGTAGTCATTCAGGAGCAGGTTGTTCAGTTTCCATGTAGTTGAGTGGTTTTGAGTGAGTTTCTTAATGCTGAGTTCTAGTTTGATTGCACTGTGGTCTGAGAGATAGTTTGTTATAATTTCTGTTCTTTTACATTTGCTGAGGAGAGCTTTACTGCCAACTATGTGGTCAATTTTGGAATAGGTGTGGTGTGGTGCTGAAAAAAATGTATATTCTGTTGATTTGGGGTGGAGAGTTCTGTAGATGTTTATTAGGTCCGCTTGGTGCAGAGCTGAGTTCAGTTCCTGTGTATCCTTGTTGACTTTCTGTCTCGTTGATCTATCTAATGTTGACAGTGGGGTGTTAAAGTCTCCCATTATTAAAGTGTGGGAGTCTAAATCTCTTTGTAGGTCACTAAGGACTTGGTTTATGAATCTGGGTGCTCCTGTATTGGGTGCATATATATTTAGGATAGCTCTTCTTGTTGAATTGATCCCTTTACCATTATGTATTGGCCTTGTCTCTTTTGATCTTTGTTGGTTTAAAGTCTGTTTTATCAGAGACTAGGATTGCAACCCCTGCCTTTTTTTGTTTTCCATTTGCTTGGTAGATCTTCCTCCATCCTTTTATTTTGAGCCTATGTGTGTCTCTGCATGTGAGATGGGTTTCCTGAATACAACACACTGATGGGTCTTGACTCTTTATCCAATTTGCCAGTCTGTGTCTTTTAATTGGAGCATTTAGTCCATTTACTTTTAAAGTTAATATTGTTATGTGTGAATTTGATCCTGTCATTATGATGTTAGCTGGTTATTTTGCTCATTAGTTGATGCAGTTTCTTCCTAGTCTGAATGGTCTTTACATTTTGGCATGATTTTGCAGTGGCTGGTACCGGTTGTTCCTTTCCATGTTTAGTGCTTCCTTCAGGAGCTCTTCTAGGGCAGACCTGGTGGTGACAAAATCTCTCAGCATTTGCTTGTCTGTAAAGTATTTTATTTCTCCTTCACTTATGAAGCTTAGTTTGGCTGGATATGAAATTCTGGGTTGAAAATTCTTTTCTTAAGAATGTTGAATATTGGCCCCCACTCTCTTCTGGCTTGTAGAGTTTCTGCCAAGAGAGCTGCTGTTAGTTTGATGGGCTTCCCTTTGAGGGTAACCCGACCTTTCTCTCTGGCTGCCCTTAACATTTTTTCCTTCATTTCAACTTTGGAGAATCTGACAATTGTGTGTCTTGGAGTTGCTCTTCTCGAGGAGTATCTTTGTGGCGTTCTCTGTATTTCCTGAATCTGAATGTTTGCCTGCCCTGCTAGATTGGGGAAGTTCTCCTGGATAATATCCTGCAGAGTGTTTTCCAACTTGGTTGCATTCTCCCCGTCACTTTCAGGTACACCAATCAGATGTAGATTTGGTCTTTTCACATAGTCCCATATTTCTTGGAGGCTTTGCTCGTTTCTTTTTATTCTTTTTTCTCTAAACTTCTCTTCTTGCTTCATTTCATTCATTTCATCTTCCATCACTGATACCCTTTCTTCCAGTTGATTGCATTGGCTCCTGAGACTTCTGCATTCTTCACATCGTTCTCGAGCCTTGGCTTTCAGCTCCATCAGCTCCTTTAAGCACTTCTCTGTATTGGTTATTCTAGTTATACATTCATCTAAATTTTTTTCAAAGTTTTTAACTTCTTTGCCTTTGGTTTGAATTTCCTCCTGTAGCTCGTAGTTTGATTGTCTGAAGCCTTTTTCTCTCAAGTCATCAAAGTCATTCTCTGTCCAGCTTTGTTGCATTGCTGGTGAAGAACTGCATTCCTTTGGAGGAGGAGAGGTGCTCTGCTTTTTAGAGTTTCCAGTTTTTCTGCTCTGTTTTTTCCCCATCTTTGTGGTTTTATCTACTTTTGGTCTTTGATGATGGTGATGTACAGATGGGTTTTTGGTGTGGATGTCCTTTCTGTTTGTTAGTTTTCCTTCTAACAGACAGGACCCTCAGCTGCAGGTCTGTTGGAGTTTGCTTGAGGTCCATGCCAGGCCCTGTTTGCCTGGGTATCAGCAGCAGTGTCTGCAGAACAGTGGTTTTTCGTGAACCGCGAATGCTGCTGTCTGATCGTTCCTCTGGAAGTTTTGTCTCAGAGGAGTATCAGGCCGTGTGAGGTGTCAGTCTGCCCTACTGGGGGGTGCCTCCCAGTAAGGCTGCTCTGGGGTCAGGGATCCACTTGAGGAGGCAGTCTGCCCATCCTCAGATCTCCAGCTGCATGCTGGGAGAACCACTGCTCTTTTCAAGGCTGTCAGACAGGGACATTTAAGTCTGCAGAGGTTACTGCTGTTTTCTTGTTTGTCTGTGCCCTGCCCCCAGAGGTGGAGCCTACAGAGGCAGGCAGGCCTCCTTGAGCTGTGGTGGGCTCCACCCAGTTGGAGCTTCCCGGCTGCTTTGTTTACCTAAGCAAGCCTGGGCAATGGCGGGTGCCCCTCCCCCAGCCTGGCTGCCGCCTTGCAGTTTGATCGCAGACTGCTGTGCTAGGAATCAGCGAGACTCCGTCGGCGTAGGACCCTCTGAGCCATGTGCAGGATATAATCTCCTGGTGGGCAGTTTTTTAAGCCCGTTGGAAAAGCGCAGTATTCGGGTGGCAGTGACCCGATTTTCCAGGTGCCATCTGTCACTCCTTTCTTTGACTAGGAAAGGGAACTCCCTGACCCCTTGCGCTTCCCGAGTGAGGCAATGCCTCGCCCTGCTTCGGCTGGCGCACAGTACGCTGCACCCACTGACCTGCGCCCACTGTCTGGCACTCCCTAGTGAGATGAACCTGATACCTCAGATGGAAATGCAGAAATCACCCGTCTTCTGCATCGCTCACGCTGGGAGCTGTAGACTGGACCTGTTCCTATTCAGCCATCTTGGCTCCTCCCGGTTCGATGCTTTTTAATGCTTTCACTGTTAATGCTTCCTGGAGCCCTGAAAAGACCAGGCATCTAGGATTTACTCAAGAAGATATAGTCATATTCTGGCAAATGATTTGCATATCAGAAGGACTACCATATCTGTAAAGATCCACAGAGTGTAATGTCCCTTGAGCAGAGAAGCTTGAATTTGAGGAGGAGGAGAGAAAGGTCTGTGCTGTTATATTAGTTTTCTGTGGTGACCAGAGCAAATTACCTCAAAAGTGATAGCTTAAAACAACATTTTTTGTTTTTTAATCTTAGAGTCCGTAGTTCAGAAATCTGAAATAGATCTCACTGGGCTAAAATCAAGAGATTGGCTGGACCACCTTGCTTTCTCAAGGCTTTAGGGAAAACCCATTTTCTTGCCTTTTCCAGCTTGTAGAGGCCAACCACATTCCTGGATTTTTAGTCAATTTCTCTCTCTACAAAGCCAGCAACTTCAGGCTGAGTCCTTCTGACATTGCCTTTTCTCTGGTACACTTCTGCCTCTTAGGACATTTCCCTTCAAAGGACACTAGTGATTATGTTGGGCTCACTTGATTATGCAGGACTTTCACCTTATTTTAAGGTTTGCTGATCAGCAACCTTAATTCCATCTGCAGCCTTAACTGCCCTTTTCCATGTAAACCAACATATTCAGAAGTTCCAGGGATTAGGATGTGGACTTTTCTTACAGGGGTGGAGACATTATTTGGTCTACCACAATTATGTTCCTTTTAATCATTCTGAATTCCCATGAATGGGGACTTATTTCATTTTCCATTCATTAATGTATTATTAGAAATACAGTCATGTGTCACTTAGCAACAGGGGTATGTCCTGAGATATGTGTTGTTAGTCAATATTGTAGTTGTGCCAACATCATACTGTACTCACACAAGCCTAGATGGTACAGCTTACTACACATTTAGGCTATATGATGTAGCCTATTGCTCCTAGGCTACAAACATGTACATGTTGCTCTACTGAATACTGTAAGCAATTGTAACACAGTGATATTTTTGTATCTAAACATATCTAAACATAGAAAAGGTATAGTAAAAAATGCTACAACAGATAAACAATGATACACCTGAATAGGGCATGTACCATGAATAGAGTTTGCAGGACTGAAAGTTGCTCTGAGTGAATCAGTGAGTGAGTGGTGAGTGGATGAAAAGTCCTAGGACATTACTGTTTGCTATTATGGACTTTATAAACACTGGACATTTAGGCTATGCTGAATTTATAAAAAATAGTTTTCTTTCTTCAATAATAAATTAACCTTAGCTTACTGTATCTTTTCTACTTTATATACTTTAACTTTTTGACTGTTTTGTAATACAGCTAAATCCATGAATGCATTGTACAGTGGTACAGAAATATTTTTTTCTTTACATCCTTATTTTACACATTTTTTATTTTTAAAATTTATGTATTTGTTTTTACTTTTTAAACATTTTTGTTAAAAATTAAGACATGGACACACACATTAGCCTAGACCTACACGGGATCAAGATCATCAGTATATTGTTTTCCACTTCCACACATTGTTCCACTGGAGGATCTTTTGGACAATAACATACATGAAGCTGTCATCTCCTAGGATAATGATGCCTTATTCTTGAATACCTCCTGAAGGACCTACCTGAGTCTTTTTTACAGTTAACTTTTTTTTTCTAAGTAGAAGAAATACTCTCTCAAATAACAATAAAAGTAAAGTATAGTAAATAACAAGTGATAGGATTTTTCACTTTCATTATAATCTATGGAACCACTGTCCTATATGCAGTCCGTTGTTGATTGAAAAGTCATTATGTGAAACATGACCGTATTTTACTATTCTTTTAGTGATTATCTCGTAGATAACAAATTGCATCTTGACATCTTATCGTCTACTATAAATTACCATTTTTCAATTTTCCCAGTAATGCTAGATAGAAGCTCAGAACTTTAAAAACTCAAATGATATCTCTTTCTTTTTGCATGATTCCTGCCACAATTATAGTTCAAAGAATGTTTAAACCCCAATACAACATGAGTATTATTGTTTTTTTCAGTCAGTGTTTGCTTTCTTCTACATATTTACCTTTTCCGATGCTTTTAATTTCACTCCATATTTCTGTGCTTGTCTCTGGGTTCATTTTCCTTTTGACTAAAGAACTTATTTGATATAACGCAGGTTTGCTGCTAACAAATACTCTCAGTATTTGCTTATCTGAAAACTTCTTTACTTTTTCATTTTAAAAGAATATTTTCACTGTGTATAGAATGGGATGTTGGTGGTTATTTTACATATATAAATCTATTATCTTTCAGTGTCTTACATTTCTACTGAGAAGCCAGCTGTTTGTACTATTTTTGATCATTTAAAGATGAGACATTTTCCTCTGACTGACTTCAGTGTATTTCTCTTTGTTACTGGTTTCTGTTAATTTAAATATGATATGCTTATTCAGGGCTTTCATAAACTATGTGGACCTTCTTGGATATATGGATTGATGCGTTTTACCAGTTTAGGGGAATTCTCAACCATTATCTCTTGAAATAGTGCTTCTGTACCTCCTTTTCCTCTATTGTTTAAGTTTCCATGAATGTTACATTTTTAAAATATGTCCTACATGTATTTCACGTCTTTATATTTTCAATTTTTGTGCTTTATATTTTCAATTTTTGTGCTTTCATTTGGCTATTTCTATTGACTTGTTTTTCTTTTCTTGGAAGAGCTTTCTGTTGCCTTTAATATTCTTTTAAATGCATTTATTTTGATAGATTTTTTTTTAGTTCTAGAATTTGCATTGAATTATTTTTTAATATTTTCCGATTCTTTGGTGAATTTTTCCATTATTTCATCAGCTTTTTCCCATTTTCCTTTACTTTTTGAAAAATACTAATTGGATTTACTTTAGTTAATTCAAAGTTCTTTTCTGTTCTGCTGGTGTGTCTTTTTCCCTCTGTCTGGGCAAAGCCCATATCCTCATCCTTTTCCTCTTGCAGAGAATTGACATATGCCTCCAGGGAAAGAAAATGGCTCTAGATGTCAGTTTACCTCTCCAAGGTTCTCCACTCTCCAGAATCTGAGAGGGCAACCTGTTGTTGCCCTTGCTTCCTAGCTTCCTAGCTTCCTAATGCCTTTGAACACACACAGACACACACAGTGATTTTAAAATATGACTTTTCTAGTTATTTTCAGCAGGAATATTGGTCTTCCATAGACTACAACATCCTGCTTAGAAGTCAGGGCATCCCTTTTAAAAAAGGTTAGTACCACCAAGAACATACCTATAGATCAACAAGTTGGGTTTATTACTTTTAGTGATGAAGAATGCACAACATTTGGAATTAGGAGGGTGTTACAAAAATATTATTATAGGTTATGGGCTTGTTTTTGGTGATTTTGAGGAAGGCTTAAGGATTTGATGCTTTTCTATGAATTAAATGCTTTCAGGAAGTAGGGGAAATTTTCCTTTGATAACTTCATAAATCTTGTCTACAGAAAGTGAGATTAAGGCTGAGTTGATAATAAATCTGGAGTCACTCTCATTAACTGAGGGGGAGTGCTTGGTGTTTTGAGGCTTGGACATTGTTTATGTTTGGATTATAAAATGGTCTTTTTTTTCTGGATACATTGTGATCACAGGCTGGTCTTGTATGTTATTGACATTCTGAATGGTTTATATTTAACAAAAGAACACCAAACTTTAGCTGTGAGTGCCAGACCAGTCTCTAGCTAATAGCACCAGACCACCAATTGGATGTCATGAATGACTTCTCTTGTTTTAATAAATAGATTGAGAACATAAGGAATTAGAACAGTTGCTGTGACTGCTGTATTTTTTCCAAATTATATCCAAGGCCATTGCAGGAAAACAGCAAAGGAAGAAAAGGAAGGAAGGAAAGAAGGGAGAAAGGGAGGGAGGGAGGGAGGAAGGGAGGAAGGGAGGAAGGGAAGGAAGGAAAGAATTTTGACAGTGTTAAGCTAGGAGGTTTTTCCTAATACATGGGATAAAATAAGATATCACTTAGAAAGCAATTATTGGGATAAAATTAAAGGATGAGGAAGGGACTGGAGTGAGCAAGGAAGAGTAATAATCATTATAGATGGATGAAGCAGCTTGCTGTAAACAGTGAAAGCTAATTTGGAACTGCAGCAAATGAAAGATATTTGATATTGCTGTAGTTCAGAGAGAAAAAGAGTGATGTAAGATGTAGCTTCAGGGACGGTCAGTGAAAAATTGAAAAAGGTATCATAAGCCCTGTGAAAATATGTTTTTGGGGAGGGAAGCCAGAATTATTGAAATATAGACTGAAAGTGAATATTTTCAAAATATATTCTCTCAAATCTTTTGAAATTTCAAGCATGTGAATGTTTAACCTTTGTCAATAACATTTTATTAAAATGTGGATACAAAATTAATCATTATTGATAGGAAAAATGGCAGAGAGGAAATATATGGTAATTAAAAATAAATTATTTGCTTATTTGAAGAGAATGAAGGATATTTTGAATAACATTGAAATTTATAAAGTACAGATATTAAAAGTGTACCCATGAGAATAGAAGTACAGTTTATAACTCCAGAATAAACAGGGGAAATAATAAAAAAAAAAAAACTGATGGAAGACAGAAAAGGAGAAAAATGTGTAAATCAAAATATGTAAAGCAGATAAATTGAACACATGTATTTATTCAGGTATTAATACAACTATTAACTCATGGTGAATAGCATAATGTGTGAGAAATCAAAAGCGGGTGAGAAATCTTCAAAAAATGAAAATGGGAAGCACATGGATGTGTGTGACAACTGATTTTGCAGAGCAAAGAGATATAGAGCCCAACTGATTACAGAGGAAGAAGTGAACAAGAAACCATGCAATTCTGCGAAGTCAGAAAGTTTCATGTATTTAAGGCAGCTGAAACTCAGGAAGAGGGGATGATACCATGTGGAACTCAATGCAAAAGACTTAGTAAAAGTCAATGTGTAGAGATTCACTCATCACCACACAGGCAGGTGATTATTATTATATGCTTTTTAATTGGCATAGAATATTCATAGATAAAAGTGTCCATCTTCTAAGTATATAGCTCAAAAATTATCACAAAATGAATATATCCTGTACCCTCAATACAGATCAAGAAATATGCCCCACAGTACTGTCAGTTTTGGTAGGCATTCTCCATGCACTTAAAAAATGGGTAGTACATAATTGTTATTTTCTTGCTTTTTAATTATTAATAAGATCAGTATTTTTAATGATGTTTTTCAAATCTTTTAAATCATTAATTTTGTGGTTTTGGGCTAGTTGTGTTATTTACTAGAAAAGGTGTAGTACAAATTTTCACTGTCATTATGCATTTGAGTACTTATTTTTGTAGCTCTGACAGTTGTCTCCTTGTACTCCAACCCTCTGAGTTTGCTGTAAGCTCTTCTTATTTACTCATCTATTACTTTTAAATTGATACATTCCTTAAGGGAAAAAATCTCAATAAATATCAGGCTCACTTCTCTAGGCTTCCCTTCTCTTTGGAATCTTGATCTTTACATCCTCATTGCCTTGAATGCTCTCTCAAGTCATTTAAAACTATTTCTATATCTTTTCTAATTGTTCTTGGCAGGAGAATTGGCTTGAAACAAACTCATATTCACTGGATAAATGTGAAAGTGTTTATTTAGTGTCCTAATTTTTAATTTAGCTCCATGCTTAGCTGAATATAACGACTTATAACTTTGTCTTGTTGAGAACATAAAACGTAGTTCCAAAGGTATAAATTTTAAGTTAGCATAGAATATAAAGGTAGAAAATCCCAGGGAGCCATCAGATTCTGCTTATTACACAATTTCATAGACACCAAGAGATTCCAAGATTCTTTTCACTGTGTGATTTTCTAGGATTCTTCCTGAACCTGATGTTGTCTCTGAGACTGGACTTCAGGATAAAGATTGGAAAAAATAGAATTGGGAGGAGCATTACATATAAAGAAATCCATTCTAGAATGAAGCCGAAGATATTCAGTAAATTGGCTATAATCTGAGAAACATCTAAGGAGAAGTTATCTTTACAGAACTTCAGTATTTCCAATGGCCATACATTTACTAAATATAGCAATAATATTTAAGAAGGCTGAGAATTCACTATGCAATCTCAGAAAGAAAATGGAAATGACTTCCTAAGATTCTCATTTTATGTTAAGCCATTTAACAATCTGGTCCTAACGTCTTTTCCTGTACCTCCCTAGTTGTGGGACATCTTTTTACAGATACTCTAATGTTACTCAGATGTTTCTTCTCTTCTCATCTCAGGAAATAATCACTGTCTTATTTATCTGGCCATTGATGAAATGATTCTTCTTGTGGATTTACTTGCTTGGTTTCCATTGATAATTTGGAGGCATTGTCCTCTATGGAGTTGTGTCACCTATCAGCGGGCTATTAATTTAGGGTATGGTTATAGACAACTGCAGATCCCCAGGTCAGAATCTCTAGAAACAGGATACATGGAAACCTGGAGGCAGACTCACACCATTAACTGTGCAAGAAATTAAGACTTCTTGTAAAAGCACTCTTTGTCAATTATTGACATCTTTACAATGCAGAATGCAAGCAAACTATTTAAAATGTTTAAATTTATATTCAGAAGCTTTATAGGTGTGTCGTTATTTGTATAAGAAGCATTATAAGGCCAATTTAAAAGTTTTTTCTAAACAACATTCCAGAAAGTGAAATGTACAGCAGAGATAGAGAATGTAGAAAAAAAAAAAAGTTCTTTCTAAGTTCTTTGAGTGGAAGAAACCTTGTATCTTTTGTCACTGCTTTATCTCTAGGGTCTAGAAGTATACCTGACTCATTGAGTATGCTCAATAAATTCTACTTGACTGACTACTAATGAGATCAAAGGCTTTATTTCTTGCTTAGTTGACATAATTTAGGCATTAAGAGCTCAGACTCTGAAGTCTTACCCAGGTACATTCCAATGCTAGGTCTTAGATGCATAGATTTGAGCAAGATGTTTACTGTATGTAAACATCAGTTTTTCATCTGAAAAGTAATAATTACATTAATCCTATTTCTTAGAGTTGCTATAGGAAGTGATGAAAATAATAAAGTTCTTAGTATATATTTTATGTTAAAAATCTTAATTTCTTTCCCTGAAAATGTAAGTATAAACGCTTTACATCATTTTAAATGCCTGCAAAAGAGCATCCAACAAGGTAGAAAATATGAATGTCTACAAAGAGGATGCTTGCCTCTTTAAGAGTTTCTGCAACGGTGGGTTCTTGGTCTTGGTGAATTCAAGAATGAAGCCGAGGACCCTCAAGGTGATTGTTACAGTTCTTAAAGATGGTGCGTCCAGAGTTTGTTCCTTCAGATGTTCAGATGTGTCTAGAGTTTCTTCCTTCTGGTGGGTTCCTGGTCTTGCTGACTTCAGGAGTAAAGCCGCAGACCTTTGCATTGAGTGTTACAGCTCTTAAAGATGGTGCATCTGCAGGTGTTCATTCCTCCCTGGTGGATTCGTGGTCTCGCTGACTTCAGGAGTGAAGCTGCAGACCTTCGCAGTGAGTGTTATAGTTCATAAAGGTAGTGCAGACCCAAAGAGTGAGCAGCCACAAGATTTATTGTGAAGAGCAAAAGAACAAAGCTTCCACAGCGTGCAAGGGGACCCCAGGTGGTTGCCGCTGCTGGCTTGGGCAGCCAGCTTTTATTCCCTTATTTGGCCCCGCCCACATCCTGTTTCTTGGTCCATTTTACAGAGCACTGATTGGTCCATTTTACAGAGTGCTGATTGGTCCATTTTACAGAGTGCTGATCGGTGGGATTTTACAGAGTGCTGAATGGTGTGTTTACAAACCGTTAGCTAGACACAGAGCACTAGTTGGTGCGTTTTTACAGAGTTCTGATTGGTGTATTTACTAATCTTTAGCTAGACACACAGCGCTGATTGGTGCATTTACAACCCTTTAGCTAGACAGAAAAGTTCTCCAAGTCCCCACCCGATTAGCTAGACACAGAGTGCTGATTGGTGTGTTTACAAACCTTTAGCTAGACACAGAGAACTGATTGGTGCATTTACAATCCTTAGCTAGACAGAAAAGTTCTTCAAGTTCCGCCCCCCGCCCTCCCCGCCCCATCCCCTCCCCCCGCCCCCGACCCAGAAGCCCAGCTGGCTTCACCTCTCACAACCTGGATGGGAGAATCCCAGAATTTTGCATAATAAACAAGATTTGTAGTCTTCAAGACTTCCAAGTTGGGGCCTTGGTGAGGTTGGGTGAATGCCACATCATAGCCTGTAGTGGAAGCCTCCTTTGAACTAGCTGGTATGTTTCTCTCCTATTGAATTCAGAGAGCAATAACTGAAGACAATGTAATACATTTCACTTCCTCTCTTCCTAGCACAGAGGGCTCAATAGATTTCCCATTACACCTTCTAACTCCCAGGTGCCTTTTCCTCATTAGGAGTGCTGTGTTACAATCTTTTCTGCATTCCTGCTCCAGGTATGCAAGGTAATGAAGAAAACCTCATACCACATGTTTTAAAAAAGCCTCACTTTTGTGTACTGTTCTGTCACACATAATTCACCTCTACCTGCACCCTCACCTCAGTTCATGGACAGACTATAGAGAACTTCCTGTTAGACGCCATGTTTTAAGGTGATATCAATCGCATAACATGCAATCTAGGGCCACCTGTTATTATAGAGAGCAAGCAAACAAACAAAAACATTTCTTCCTACTATGGTTTTTGGCTACACTCTGCGTCTTTTCTCTAATAGCATTCGGACAATGGCACCATGGATCTCCTTGGTCTTAATGCTGTAGACAATAGGATTGACAACAGGTGGGAAGAAGAGGTAGGCATTGGCCATCATGGCTTGCAGCAGAGGGGACACACGATGTCCAAGGCGGTGCACTATAGACAAGCCAATCATAGGCACATAGTAAGCAAGCACAGCACAGACGTGTGAGCCACATGTGTTGAGTGCCTTCTTCCTCCCTTCTCCAGTGGCAATACCCAATACAGTGTGGAGTATGAGCCCATAGGAGATCACAATCAGCAACGAATCCAGCCCAAAAGTAGAGGTAACAATGAAAATCCCATAGATATTGTTAACAGAAATGTTCCCACAAGATAGATAAGATTGGGGTGCAGACAATAGGAATGTGAGAGGGCATTGTGGCCACAGAAGGGCAGACGCCATAAGAGAATGGGCAACGGAGCCATGAGCATAATGCTTTTCAGTACGATAATAGCTCCTGTGCCAAAGACCCTGGGCAGTGTCAGGATAGCTGTGTAGCTCAGTGGGCTGTAGATGGCTATAAAGCGGTCCAAAGACATGGCCAGCAGCACAGCTGGCTCCATCATGGATAAAGAATGGATGGAGAACATCTGGAAAAAGACAAGCTTCAAGACTAATTTCAGTATTTCCAAAAAGGAATATGCCTAACACTGTAGGCAGGGTGGATGCAGAGACACGAACCTCGGCCAGTGCCAACATGGCAAGGAAGAGGTACATGGGTTGATGTAGGGCAATATCTGTTCTGATGACGTGAAGAATGATGCCATTCCCAAGGAAAATGATGATGTATATCAGGGAGAAGGGGACGGATATCCAGAGGTGCTCTGACTCCAGCCCTGGGATGCCAACCAAAATGAAAGTCGTAGGTAAAAACCCCAAAGAGTTATTAGAAATTTTCATGTTGACATATCATCCTCAGGGATCAGTGCCACCTTGAAAATTAGAAACAAACTAGTGAGATGACATCATTATGAAGAAAGACAACTGGGCACTGAGGGAAGGGAAGAAAAAAGCAAACTCACAGATTTATGTGGCCAAACTTCTTATTTCTAAAAACTGACAAATGACCACCATCAAGAAATTTCCAGTATGGAGAGTGCTACAGCTTCTGTCATAGGCAGATAGAAAATTATGTTCTAGAAAATTATATTACATTATAGGCAGAAAGAAAATTATGTGTCTGATCAGGTGCAGTGGCTCATGCCTGTAATTCCAGCACTTTGGGAGGCTGATGTAGGCAGATCGCTTGAGCCCAGGAATTTGAGACCAGCTTAGGCAACATGGCGAAACTCTGTCTCTACTAAAAAAAATACAAAAATTAGCCAGGCTTGTTGGAGTGTGCCTGTAGTCCCAGCTACTTGAGAGGCTGAGGTGGGAAGATCACTTGGGCCCAGAAGGCAAAGGTTGCAGTGAGCCAGGATTGCACGCCTACACTTATGCCTGGGTAACAGCATGAGACAAAAGAAAAAGGAAGAGAAAAGAAAAGAAAGAAAAAGAGAACAGCAAGCGGGAGGGAGGGAAGGAGGAAAGAAGGAAGGAAAGAAGAGAGGAAAGAATAATAAAAGAAAAGGAAAGAAGAGAGAGAGAGAAAGAAAAGGAAGGAAGGAAGAGAGAGAAAAGGAAGGAAGGAAAAAGAAAAAGCAGAAGAAAAAGAGGGAAGGAAGGAATGATAGAAAAAGAAAGAAAAGAAAGATTATGCATTTAAGGTGTAGTGCACCTTGGATCAACTTAGAGAGAAATGACTGCCTTGAGTTGGTGTGGAGATGTCTGGCCCTAAAAAGCTGCTGGGGAGACAGAGAAATGTAAGCAATCCCAAAATAAGATATGGAATAATATCAGGAATAGGTGAAAATATTTTATTGGTAAATATACAAAGACAAGGTCTATAGCATGGTATATAAAAAGAGCTAAAAATTACCTGAAGAATGAATATAATTGTATGAATAATTAAGCAAGGCTGAGATAGTGGCAGTGGCCAGAGCCTGGAGCAAGTGGCAGAGAATTAAACTAGAAAAGCATAGAATTTGGACCCACACTGGGCTAGCTGTCCCATGTTTTGAAAATTCTAGGAGTCAACTAGAAAGATTATGTGCAAAGGCATGGAAGATTCAGGAAGGAGAAGGAACCTACGTTCGTGGATGTGTGTGCAGACTTTAAGGTTCATGAAAATATTCTGTCAACGATCACATCCACAATCTGTTGACTCAACAGTTCTCAAAGAAACTTACCTTATCCATTGGGACTTTTTCTTTCTAGCTCAGACACACTGCTGAATACACTACGGCAACAACAGTGGAAATCTAAACAGATTTTCAAGGATGTTCTTTTCCTGGGGAGGAGAGGAAGGCAATAGAGGGAAAGAGAAAACCACCTGCCTGGATTGGGTGTGTTTTGAGATAAGCATTGTCTAGGTCAGCAGTTATAACATTAGAATCCTAGACTAGCATGGTAGGAAGGACCTCTGAAGATTGTTTTCAACTCATTCACCCAAATGCACACAAACACACACAGACACACCTGCTTACCTATTCACACACGAACAAACATGCTTCCCGCATGTGCTGAAAATCTGATTCTTGTATGAACTTTCCATTCAGCCACTGCTGAACTTACGCATCAACAGGGACCTCACTATTCCGTAATGGTTATTATGAAGTTCTTCTTTGCTCTGCAGATCTATAACCAGTGAGCACACCTCTATGTCAAGGACCTTGCAGGACCAAGGCAACACAGAGTCCTAGACCTACTCAGAAAATCTCTGCAACTTTCAACCACAGCTCACAGAGAACAAATCTTCTTCCACAGATATTCAAATACAGTCGTCACCTATGCTGAAGTCTTATCTCCAAGCTGGTTGCAATTATATTAAGTACTACAAAGGAAATGTTCAAGATACTTTGAGAGGGTCCTAAAGGGAAAAACCCAATTTATTCTTAAAAGTCAGGAAAAGCTTTCCTTGGAAAGTGGCATTTCAGCTAAGACCTAAGAATTAGTAGAAAATTTCCAGGCTAAGTTGCATGCAATGTAGTGCAGGAAAAAAAAAAGAGGGGAAATTATCATGGCAGTGGCAGTGGGCATATAATATGGCACTTTGACAAAAACTAAAATAAAATATGGAGAAAATAAAAACTGTAGATGTAATAGGATATTAAAATAATTTATTTTTTCATATTTTTGCTATCATGAAAATATGGAAAGAAAAAAATTAATTGCCTGACTAAATAGACTAAATACAAGATCCTTGGACACTTACCATGCTCTGATACAACGTAACATAGTAGATTATCAGCTTAGGAAAAGCTCTGTGCTGTGGGCTATGTTAAAATGTAGGGCAGGGAAATTCAGGGGCAAATTATTGACCTTAACAAATGATCACACATCAGAACATCTTATGGCTGAAAATGAGAAACATTTCTCTTCTGCATTCTTATGCCCTTATGTTCCTTCCTCACCTCCAAAAGCTCAACATAGCCTTCTTAGTTCTTTAAATAGACCAAATATTGATCTGCCTCTGGATTGAGCAGCTGTTCTTCCCGTGTGCTGCCTTACTGAATCCTTGATCCCACTGCACCCTGTATCTTGCCTGCCACACCTCAAATAACCGGATATTGGAAGAAACAAATCTTGACTGATACTTGAAACTAGAGTCTCTCCTCCTCTGCCTTCTCTGCCTGTCTGTGGTCTCTTTTGTTTTCTTCCTTTTTTTTTCTTTCTTGCATTTTTTTTTTTTTGCATCCTTCTCAGTTTCCATCTCCAGAGTCTCTACCGCCAGATAAGGGTCAGATCTCCTTGAAAGAGATCTTAAAACACAATCATTCTCCTGAGTTTAGGATTTGTTTGACAAGAGCATTTTAGCTTGAAAGGTTACAAAAGGGATCATGTAGTCTATAGCCCAGTATAATAGGACACAACAAATCAGAAAAAAAGTAGAATGTGGGACAGTGATGACTGTACCCCTGGAGCTGGACAGAATTGGAGGTGAATCTTATGTTCGGTATAACTTTACGTACTTTACCTTTGTGCACATTAGTATCTTTGTTTTTAAAGATAAAGATGTTAATACTTACCTCAGGGACTGGCTCTAAATATTTAATGTGAGCCTTTAGCAACCAGTGAATGTTAATATTCTCTCCACTCTATATCTCTTTCAGGAATTCTCAGGAGTCAATCACAGTCAGCTTATTTCCAACTTTTTATTAATAATTGTCTTTCCTTGTTATTGGCTCACTGATACTCAGACCACATCTGTGAGGTAAACAAGGAGACAAGAATTTCCCACTTAATAGATGAGCATATAAACCAGACATAAGCATTTTGTGAGTAACCCAAGATAATATGATGGCAAAACTATTTCAAGAATTCATGATGTGCTCTGGTGTTTTTGTTTTGTTTTCCATCTGCCACCAATTTAGGATGTGATTCCTCTCCTTCTGCCAGACAGGTTCAAGAAGCTAGGGAGGTGACTACTGTCTTAGGAAAAATGCTAAGGGCTTCACACTGTGACATGGGGTTGGGAGTCCTGAATGCTGCTTCAGAAGGCAGGGCTTGGGGATTGTATTAGTTCATTCTCACACTGCTCTAAAGATACTACCTGAGACTGGGTAATTTATTAACAAAGGAGGTTTAATTGACTCACATTTCCACATAGCTGGGGAGGCCTCAGGAAACTTACAATTATGGCAGAAGGAGAAGCAGGCACATCTTACTTGGTGGCAGGCAAGAGAGAGTGAGCAAGAAGAGGGAAAACTGCCTTATAAAACCATCAGATCTCATGAAAACTCACTCAGTATCACGAGAACTGCATGGGGGAAACTGCTCCCATGATCCAATAATCTCCCACCTGGTCCCTCCCCCGACATATAGGGATTATGGGGATTACAATTCAATATGAAATTTGGGTGGAGACACAGAGCCAAGCCATATCAGGGATCATGGGCTTGTGCACTCACCACAAGTGAAACTGGCCTCTGAGCCTCAGGTGGGATGGGGAAGCTCACTTCAGCAAGTCCCTGCCACTGTGGCATTCATATCTTCTTAGTCCTGGGGCTGGAATGCTGCCCATTTTTTGAAAAAGCTGATCAGAGTCTCTAGGAGTAGAGTAATGGGGAGAAAGTTAGGTTCCCTGAGGAGCAATTACCCAGGTAATTACATTAGCCTCTCTCAATATCCAGAGAACCTAAGGGAAACAAGCAAAGATATAGAGTCAGTATCTTTGTGAAATGAGTGTAATAGTATTTATCCAGCATATTTAAATAACTAATATATGTAAATTTCTTTTTTCTAACTTATTTTTTGTTATACTTTTAAGTTTTAGGGTACATGTGCACAAGGTGCAGGTTAGTTACATATGTATACATGTGCCATGTTGGTGTGCTGCACCCATTAACTCACCATTTAACATTAGGTATATCTCCTAATGCTATCCCTGCCCCCTCCTCCCACCCCACAACAGGCCCCGGTGTGTGATGTTCCCCTTCCTGTGTCCATGTGTTCTCATTGTTCAGTTCCCACCTATGAGTGAGAACATGTGGTGTTTGGCTTTTTGTCCTTGTGATAGTTTGCTGAGAATGATGGTTTCCAGCTTCATCCATGTCCCTACAAAGGACATGAACTCATCATTTTTTATGGCTGCATAGTATTCCATGGTGTATATGTGCCACATTTTCTTAATCCAGTCTATCATTGTTGGACATTTGGGTTGGTTCCAAGTCTTTGCTATTGTGAATAGTGCCGCAATAAACATACGTGTGCATGTGTCTTTATAGCAGCATGATTTATAATCCTTTGGGTGTATACCCAGTAATGGGATGGCTGGGTCAAATGGTATTTCTAGTTCTAGATCCCTGAGGAATCACCACACTGACTTCCACAATGTTTGAACTAGTTTACAGTCCCACCAACAGTGTAAAAGTGTTCCTATTTCTCCACATCCTCTCCAGCACCTGTTGTTTCCTGACTTTTTAATGATTGCCATTCTAACTGGTGTGAGATGGTATCTCATTGTGGTTTTGATTTGCATTTCTCTGATGGCCAGTGATGATGAGCATTTTTTCATGTGTCTTTTGGCTGCATAAATGTCTTCTTTTGAGAAGTGTCTGTTCATATCCTTTGCCCACTTTTTGATGGGGTTTTTTTTCTCTTGTAAATTTGTTTGAGTTCATTGTAGATTCTGGATATTAGCCCTTTGTCAGATGAGTAGATTGCAAAAATTTTCTCCCATTGTGTAGGTTGCCTGTTCACTCTGATGGTAGTTTCTTTTGCTGTGCAGAAGATCTTTAGTTTAATTAGATCCCATTAGTGAATTTTGGCTTTTGTTGCCATTGCTTTTGGTGTTTTAGACATGAAGTCCATGCCCATGCCTATGTCCTGAATGGTATTGCTTAGGTTTTCTTCTAGAGTTTTTATGGTTTTAGGTCTAACATTTAAGTCTTTAATCCATCTTGAGTTAATTTTTGTATAAGGTGTAAGGAAGGGATCCAGTTTCAGCTTCCTACATTTGGCTAGCCAGTTTTCCCAGCACCATTTATTAAACAGGGAATCCTTTCCCCATTTCTTGTTTTTCTCAGGTTTGTCAAAGATCAGATAGTTGTAGATAGACAGCATTATTTCTGAGGGCTCTGTTTTGTTCCATTGGTCTATATCTCTGTTTTGGTACCAGTACTATGCTGTTTTGGTTACTGTAGCCTTGTAGTATAGTTTGAAATCAGGTAGTGTGATGCCTCCAGCTTTGTTCTTTTGGCTTAGGATTGACTTGGCGATGCGGGCTCTTTTTTGGTTCCATATGAACTTTAAAGTAGTTTTTTCCAATTCTGTGAAGAAAGTCATTGGTAGCTTGATGGGGATGGCATTGAATCTATAAATTACCTTGGGCAGTATGGCCATTTTCACGATATTGTTTCTTCCTATCCATGAGCATGGAATGTTCTTCCATTTGTTTGTATCTTATTTCCTTGAGCAGTGGTTTGTAGTTCTCCTTGAAGAGGTCCTTCACATCCCTTGTAAGTTGGATTCCTAGGTATTATATTCTCTCTGAAGCAATTGTGAATGGGAGTTCACTCACTGTTTGTCTGTTATTGGTGTATAAGAATGCTTGTGATTTTTGCACATTGATTTTGTATCCTGAGACTTTGCTGAAGTTGCTTATCAGCTTAAGGGGATTTTGGGCTGAGACAATGGGGTTTTCTAGATATGCAATCACGTCATCTGCAAACAGGGACAATTTGACTTTCTCTTTACATAATTGAATGCCTTTTATTTCCTTCTCCTGCCCGATTGCCCGGGCCAGAACTTCCAACACTATGTTGAATAGGAGTGGTGAGAGAGGGCATCCCTGTCTTGCAGCCTAGGCACATTTTCATTAGGCAGTGCAGTGTGGTTAAGAGCAGTGTCTCTGGGACCAGATCTGTATTACAATCATAACTTCAATAGCTCTTCACTCTATGATTGTGCAAAGTATCTGATTAATCTTAGTTTCTTCATCTGAAAAATTGAGACAATTCTACCTACTCCATAGATTAGAGAGCCATTCATATGCAATTTTAAATGGAGTACAGTTAGAAGCAAATACTCAATAGACACATTTTATTAGTTGTACTTTCCAGCATTCCAGTGAGCAATGTTGCAGTGAGCTCTAAGAAAAGATTGAAAAATAATCTGACAACAATGAAGCGTAAGGTATTTGGAGTGGGAAGCCATGAGCTCTTGCACAGGTTTTTGGACAATCCTTCCATATGGCTTTGGCAAAGTTACTGAATCTTTCTAAACCTTAGCTTTTTTACTATGTTGAAAGATTTCCACATGGGCCCTGCCTCTTTTCGAGAGAAATGATTAGGTTTAATGGGGCTGTGGAGGAAAGCACTCTGAAATGTTAGAAGCTTCATCAATTGGAGCAATTGCTGAGATTATGTTTCCTTGCCTGCCACAACCCTGTATCATTCTCTACAAGGCATAGCCCAGTAACAAGTCCAGATCTGTCTTCCCCATCAAAAACATCACGGGAGATATGATAGAACAGCAGCCCTAACAACAGATTGGCCATCTTCCTGGAAGCTGCCCTATTCCATAACCCTGCATATAGTCATGCTAGATAAGGGATATTAGAGAGGTCACTCCAATGACTTCCTTTATCCACAAAACAAAGGACCTTCAGCAACTTACTGGTCCTTTCTTCTCTGTAGCTTCTTTCTCATGCAGCCCTTCCACTCCATGCCAGCATCTTCCATTTGACTCAGGATGCTGTTCTACGTGGGCTGCACTGGCACTTATAAAGCTGTCTCTCTTCCTTGGGTCTTTGGCCCTCAAAGGAATCTCCCTAGATGGACGCAGACTTGATGAATGTCAAAGAGGGATTAGCATCCTCCTAGACCAAAGCATTTGAGATGCCCAGTTATCTTAAATGGAAATTTAGTGAACCATGAGTACCTCTAGGAGGTATTTCAGTGAGCCAGAGGATCCTTGACTGTCTTCTCTCCCCAGCTGCCAACTTCATAAGAAAATTTATTGGGTGCTTCTCAATCCTCTTTTTTGTCTTTCTTTTCTTTTCCCAGACAAAAGTCCCCTTGAGACAGTCTTTACAACCAGGTAGTTATTCACTGTCATTCACTGAGCAAGTATGTAAAGATCACAAGCTTTGGGTCAGATATTTGAATGCAAGCATTAATAAGACACAAACTCTGTCTTTCAGAAAGCATTGTCTTCTGCAGGAGGTTGATGTGAAAAAAACTAACGTCCCCTGATGAAGCAAAAACAGGCTTCCCAGGTGATACAAATATTTAGCAAGCTTTCCTTACTAATGTCTGCACTATCATTCAAAATAGGTAACATTTTAGATAGAGGGGAAAACATGTACAAAGGCTCAGAGTTGTCACAAAGCAAAACATAAAATTCTGTGAACTTCAATTACATGAGCCATCTGTGTTTTACAAATACAGTATCAATTTCAAAGGCTTAGAGAGGCTTGTGGATATTAAATAACGGGATAGTTGTAAAGATTTTTGCCTGCAGGAATATAGGCTTGTGCTGAGGAATGGGCCAGATGATTTAAAGCAGATACTGTCATTAGCAGGAATATGTACAGCTTTGGCTGATTTTATGTTTTTTTTGGTTTGTTGTTGTTGTTGAATCAGTGGAGCATAGTTAAAACTACAAGCACCACAGTCAGAACTGTCAAACTTGGTATAATATTGGGCAAGATATTTTGTCTCTGAGCCTCAGTGTACTTATCTGTAAAATGGGTAATCTAGTAGTATCCATCTCATAAGGTTATTGTCAAGATAAAGTGACTTATAGTGTATTATGCCCTTAGAATAATACCTAGGTTATAATATGTGCTTAAAAAACCATGATATGCAAAATAGAAGGTACTCAGTACCTTCTACTGAGTTTTTCTGTGAATCTATAACTCTTAAAATCAAGTCTATTAAAAAGTATTTAATACAATAATTTTATGTTACTGTTTTCTGTTGCTATCTTTTCCTGATACTAAATGGAAAAATAGATAACATATTCTAGGAAAGGGAACAAAAAGTTAGGGAGAAGCCAATGATGGGACTTCCTTCAGTATAACATGGAAAACATGGCCCTGAAACGAGTGGTCCTGTTTGGAGAGGAGTCCAGCATAATGGTTTAAGAAAATCAGATGCGCTTGATATTGAATTTCAGTTCTGACTTACATTAATGATTTAACTAAGGAAAGTTGCTTTCCTCTGTGAGCCTCAGTTTCCTAATTTTAAAACATTGAAAATAATAATACCTCCCTACTTCACAGGTTTGGTGAGAAAATTAAATGAAATAATGTAAAATAATGAAAATAAAAAGTACTCAGCCCTCTCTACCGTGAGTTAAATGCTTAATAAACATTAGCATTTATCATGATCATAATTATCATCTTCATTGTCATCTTCAGCATAATCGTATATAACTTTTTATAGTCATTGTAAAATGCTCTTTTTAGATTATAAAACCGAAATGTCTTCTTCAGAAAATTTGTATACGGCAAAGATAGAGAAATCTATATAGAAAATAAGATTATATATAACAGCTGTTTTTCTTTTGATACAAATATTTATAGCCTTTTACATAGTGATTGTTCTGTACCTAATTTTGCTTATTTTTATTTAATATTTTGCCAACAGTTTCCTAAGCATTTAAATGTCATTTTAATAATAGTGTATCAAATGAATATGCTTTGATTTATGTAATATTTTTATTCTAGACATTTTGTATGCTTACATTCTTAAAATTATGAACAATAACACAAATTATAATATTCACTTATTAAATAGTTCAACACATATTTATTGATCACTGACCTAGGAGATGGATTTAGAACTGTGAGCAAACAGGAAAAAAATTTTGCCACAAACAGCTTACATCCTAAATTTTTAATTTATCATTTATTTAGGACAGATTTTTAGAAGTGGCATTTCTGAGACACAGAGCATGAATATTTTCAAGTCTTTTGATGTATTTTGTTTTTTATAAAAGGCAAATTAAATTATGTTTTCATTCTGGTATGTGAAAATACCTCTTTTACCACATACTTAACAGCACAGATATTTATTTATTTTTCTTTTTTTTTGTTTTTGAGAAGGAGTCTTGCTCTGTTGCCCAGGCTGGAGTGCAGTGGCACGATCTCGGCTCACTGCAAGCTCCACCTCCTGGGTTCACGCCATTCTGCTGCCCCAGCCTCCTGAGTAGCTGGGACTACAGGTGCCCACCACCATGCCCGGCTAACTTTTTGTATTTTTAGTAGAGACTGGGTTCCACCGTGTTAGCCAGGATGGTCTCGATCTCCTGACCTCGTGATCCACCCGCCTCGGCCTCCCAGAGTGCTGGGATTACAGGCGTGAGCCACCGCGCCCAGCCAGATATTGATTGTTAACTCTATTCTTCAATATTCGTTTAGTAACAAATTAAGATATGTTAATTTGCATTTTAAATTTGAGTAAGGTAGAAGTTTTCAAATATGTTATTACCTGTACGTATTTCCTAATTTGAAAATGAAATTTAGATGTCAGTGGTCTATTTGTTAATAAGAGGCAAAATGGGACTTCAGTGCTAATCTAAATCCAAATCCTAAATTTTTTGTACCCCATTCTACCAAATGAGATCTATAGAATAGGAATTTCCTCTCAACATGGAGAAGAATATTCTAAGTCTCGGAACTGCTATTGAGTAATGTGGCCTACTATGTGGATGTAAATTAAAGTTTAGAATGGAACCTATGTTTAAGGAGTGCCAGCCTGTAAGGCTGCAGAAACTGCTGGGTTCCAGAGGGGCTCCCAAGCCTGAGAGTCTGATAACACCCACACATACAAACATGAGATACCACACAAACATACACAAGAAACCGCACAAACATACATACATATTTTTAGAGTTTGGTTCTTTTTTAAATTTCGCTTTGTAATTTTGTTTGTTTTCCTTTTTATTTTTGAATCGGGGTCTCACTTGGTCACCCAGGCAGTAGTGTGATTATGGCTCACTGCAGCCTCAACCTCCTGGGCTCAAGCATTCTTCCCACCTCAGCCTCCCAGGTAGCTGAGACTACAGACGTGCACCGCCACACATGGCTAATTTTAATTTTTTTTGTAGAGATAGGGTCTTGCTGTATTGTTCAGGCTGGTCTCAAACTCCTGGACTCAAGTAATCTTCTTGCCTGAAGTTGGTCTCAAACTCCTGGCCTTCAGCAATCCTCCCACCTTGGTCTCCCAAAGTGCTGGGATTATAGCATAAGCCACCGTGCCTGGCCTCATGGTAATTTTAACCTGTAGGAGAATGGGTGGGAGGATCCAGAGGGCCTGAGTAAAGTAGAACTGGGACAATGAAGATATACCACCTTGATGGATGCCAGCAGAAAGGTGTCTTCTTGGGCTTCTGAATGTGAAGAGGAGGAGTTCCTCGAGACAAGAAGAGAACTTCTGTTAGCTCTGGATCCCTCTTTATGTATCTATATGTCCACGCATACATTTAATATTTATTGAGTATATGGCATGTGCTAGGCATTGTATTTATATACATTTACTGGCGAGCAAGACATGCCTAATTCCTCCAGGGATCTTGATTTAGTCATTCTAATGGACACATGCACACACCTTCATAAACAGGACATTACTGTGTGACAAATGTTACAACGGGAAATGCAGGGCACTGTGGAAGGAAACCGATGGAGCATTTGGTGCTTTACCATTGGAAAGGGAGGAGCTATCTGTGAAAATGTCCTTGAGGAAGCAATTTCAAAGCTGAGACCCCTGCAAGGATTGCATTTAGTCACTCGTAGGGACAGGCTGATCAGCCAATGTAAAGTTTATTTCCTCCTGAGCAATGGGATTGTGACTTCAATATGTTTGTGTGAGTTTCCTTGGCTGAAGCTTTCTCACGTTACATGTCATTGTTCAATATCACACAACTAAAACACCTACAAGTAAATACTGACTGTAGCTTAATGTCAGACTTGAGGTTGTAAGGTAAAATCAGAGATGAGAGGAGTCAAGGATAGGATCAAAGTCTCTTCTTCTAGAGGAATATGGTCAGGAGAGAGCACAACCTTAGAAATTTGGGGGGGTGTTGCTTGAAACAGGTGTTGAGGAAGAATGCAGGAGTTCTGAGGTTTCTGATGTGACTTGGGGGTCTGAAAGTTACTGCTGACCAGGATAGAAAAAGATGAGAAGAAACTTGGCCAGGTAGATAAGATGGAAGCAGTCCCAAGGAACCATGGAAGGAGGTGTATTTCCGGAGGTGAGTTAGAGCAAATGGCATTTACCTGGTCTCTGCCAGGCTCTCCTCTGGGTGCTCTGGTATTTATTGTTCTTTTTAGTTTTTATTTAGTTTCATTTTAGTTTTAGTTACATTGATGATGACCTTCAATAAAGTTGCCTTCTGGATAGCTTTGATGCTACCAAAAATGCCAGTTCTCAGCTGTAGGAGGAGCCATTAAAATCTAAGCAAGAGAAGTTCAGTTTTTTAAAGCCACAACTCCAGACATAAATTTGCCCATATTTTATTTAGGACAGGGGCAAAAAATCTTTAAGAGCATGCTATATACTCAATACTCCAAATTTTCAGTCCAATTTGGGGCCTTCTTATAGGCCTCTAGGGGGAGTTTTAGCCCCAGGACTCATTTACTGGCCTTTTTAAGACCTAGGAACTTGATAATGGCACGGTGGATCTCCTTGGTCTTAATGCTGTATATGATTGGGTTAAGCATGGGAGGCACAAAAAGGTAGACATTGGCCATAAGAAGATGAATAGCAGGTGGGGCATGCTTCCCAAAACGGTGCACCAGGGACAGCCCCATCATGGGCACAAAGAATACTAGCACAGCACAGAGAGGAGCGGTGCATGTCTGAAAGGCACGGCGCTGCTCCTCTTGGGAGGCCAGGCCTGCTACTGTGTGCAGGATGAGTCCATAGGACAGTGCGATGAGCACCAGGTCCAGCATCACAGTGAAAACTACCACCATCAGTCCATACAGATTATTGAAGGTGATATCTGTGCAGGCCAGCTGTATCACTTCCTGGTGCAGGCAAAATGAGTGGGAGAGGACCACAGATCCACAGTAGGGAAAAGCCTTCAGGAGGAGGACAATAGGGATAGTGGCCACAGGTCCCCGGAAGATGACAATTAGGCCTGCTCTGACCACTTGCTGGCCAGTGATAATGACCGAATACCTCAGAGGGTGGCAGATGGCCACAAGGCGGTCAAAGGACATCATGAGGAGCACTGAGGACTCCATGAAGGAAAAAGAGTGGATGCAGAACATCTGGATTTGACACGCTCCAAAGTAGATACTATGGGAGTTAAACCAGAAGATCCCCATAGTGGTGGGCAACGTGGACACACACAGCCCCAGGTCAGTGAGGGCCAGCAAGGATAGTAGATAGTACATGGGTGTGTGCAGACGAGGGTTGGTCTTAATAATGATCAGAATGAAACAATTGCCTGAGATGGCAACCATGTACATAAAGAAAAAGGGGATGAAAATCCAGTGTTTGATGCCTTCCAATCCAGGAAAGCTGGTGAGATAGAATATGGGGCTAAACTGAGTAATGTTGGATAGCAGCATGAATTGAGGACTGAGCGAATATTGGACTGACATTCCTCGGGGATTGAGCTGAAAATAAATGGATATTTCTGGTTATTAATTCTTCAGCTTCACTAACATTCACAACATCACAAGCAGTACCATGGTCATCATCACCTTTAGTATTATCTACTCCACCCTTATGAATTCTGCCAATCTCACTACTTTATTGAACTTTCTTTGATAACCTCGCCCTCACCAGTTTTCCTCTGTATTTCAATTATTTCAGTTCCTCTCTGCCTCTTTGCTGGTGTGCCTTTATTGCTCAACCCTTAAGTATAGTTCTTCCCATCCTTGGCAATTTCCTGGCCATATTCTATTATTTCTTCTTAATGTCATCCACTACCATGATTTCATTTACCATCCATATATTGATAAATAACAAATATATAATTCCAGAACTTGTCTTTCTCTCTTTTGATTTCCAGACTCTAGCAACATCTGTACTTTTCATTATCTCAGTGGCTCAAGTCAAATGTCATGTTTTATGTTAGACTTCTCCATATCACATCTCTCCATAGTATCTAATCAACCAATCACCAAGTCCTAGGGTTTCTGTTTACTGAATACCTCAAGTCTGTTTACTCACCGTCACCTTCATTGATGCTATTCTAATTCAGATCACTCTTTCAGGACTATTCCAGTGACTCATCTTTTGTACTACTGTATTCAGTTGACTACTATATAGCAAGAGAGACGTATACATAAACAAGTTTTTAATGAAGTAAAAAAGGTTTAAAATGACATTCAAGACCCTACCTTATTTTCTCTCCGTGTATATCCTATTTTCTTATCTATCCTAATTTCCTCTGTATATTCACGGTGTTAATGACACTAAACAATTCTTCCAGTTTATCTAGTATGCTTGCTCATAGGTAAACATTTGTATTTTCATTCTTCCTGGAATAAAAACATTTTTTCCTGAAATAGCTTTCCCTTAATCTTTGTCTAGTTAACTTCTACTAATATAACCCACCTTAGCTTAGATATGATGTCCTTCAGAAGGCCTTCTTAAATTCCCCAAGTTTAGTTTGAATACCCTCTCCTATGTGTTCCTGTAGTTCACTATGCACTAATTACCATGATATTTTCCCTGCAGCATTGTCAATTTCTGTATTGCTTCTATAATGTGAATTCCTTGTGGACATAAACCATGACTGTCTCTTTTTTAATTTTAATATTAGCTCTAGGGATTGACTTTTTTAGCCACCATATCATTGGAATCCTTTAAATATTATTTGAATAAATTATTAAATATGTATCATTACCATTAATCTTATTTCAATAATTATTTCAATATTCAATTATTTCAATAATTATTCATTAATTGATTCAATAAATACATATTGAAATTGTATTACATGGCAGACATAATTCTATTAGGTTGGTGCAAAAGTAATTGTGGTTTTTACCATTACTTTCAATGGCAAGAACTGCAATTACTTTTACACCTAGGTACTGAAAATACAATGAACAGAAACAGAACAGAGACAAAAATAAACACATACATACATACTGCAATGCAAGGTAATGTAATGCAATAAAGAAGTAGGGAGCAAAGGAGGAAGGTAAGAGTGATGCATTTTATATAGGGTAGTCAGAGAAGACCTCTCTGAGTAGGTAATTTTAGAGAAGAAATCAAAATCAGAGGGCAAGTGTGTGGCTATCTTAGGGAAAAACATTCAAGGAAGGAGGAAGAACAAGTGAAAGTTCCTGAAGCAGAGAGCAGCTTGACAAGTTTAAAAGACAAAAGAAGGCCAATGTATATTCAATGGAGGAAGCAAGGTGGGGAATGGTGGCAAATCCACTTGAAGTAGCAGCTAAATGCTACGTCATGTATGATCTTGCAGGTCACGCAAGCTACTTTGAATTTTATTATACTTGTGAGCTTCGAGTTGAGAGCAGAGGTGCTGCATGGATATAAGGCTTACATCACTTTGGCAAGGGGTAAAAAATAGTCCACATTTATCTTTTCCATTTCTTTACTTCTCAGTTTACTACTCAACCAACCACCCTATAATGTTTTTTTTAAAACCCACTTAGCTAAAGCAATGCTCCTTAAATTCACCAGTGACTTCTAGGGGCCAAATGCAATGGAGAGTCTTAATCATACCTGCTTTTATTGATTTTTTTGTGCAATAGTTGTGTGCTCTGGCCATGCCTTCCTTTTTAGAGCTCTCTCTAGAAATTCTTAATGCCAAGATCTGCTGGTTCTCTTCTGATTTTTGTGATAGCTTCTATGCACTCTCTTATTTCCATTGCTCAAATATTTATGTTATTCAGTTTACTGTCCTTGAACACCTTAACTTCTCATTCATTATATTATCTATTATTATTATTACTTATACAGTGGTGGCTCTTAGACATTAATCTCTAGTCCAGATAACTCCGTTACATATCAGGCCTGAGTTTCTGCCTTCTCACTAGGTGTTTCCAAAAGGATACTGATGAAACTCAACACGTCTAATATTGAGCCCAGCATCCATCTTTTCACACCTGATTCTTCTCATATTTATGCATTTTTTATAATATTATTCACCATTTCCTGCCATTCAAGACAACATTTTTGAGCTGATGCTCTACTCAACCCTCTCCCTCTTTCTGTATCTAATTTTTAACTAAGTTCTTTTAATCTATCCCTGTAATCTATTCATCTTCATCTCTGTAGCCAATGTCCTTGTTCTTAGCTTTTCCACACCTGCTTGCCTGACCTGTCATTCAACATGCAAAGCCAGGCTCCTCCTTCCCTTGGTCCATCCTCTACTGCAGCCACCGAGATTATGCAGAAAGTACTAACTCTATGAATCACTGCACTGTTTTCAGTACTTCAGTAGCTCCTATCATTAGAATAAAGTTCAAACTTGTAAAAGATCTGTGGTGATAGTCCAATTTATTGAGGCCATACATGATTTAGATGCTGTGAAAAGCTTGACATAATCATGAATATTTCATGTAACTATGAAACATTTTATTACTACTTCACAAGGAGAAAACTACAAAAAGGTAAACAATCATCCCAAGGCCTGGTAGTGAGCGAAAATCAGGATAAGATATGAACCTTTGTCTCTCTATGCATGGCCCTGGTAGCCTCAAACACCCTGTAACACCATCTTTAGCCCGGTCCTTCTTGTTTTGGCACCTTTCCAAACCCATCTTTTCCCAGTCAACACACCCATATCATTTTTTTCTTCAATTCCCTACACATACTTTTCTTGTTTTTATTCTTCTATATTTATTGCTTTCTTGGCAAAAACCACCCCTGTTTTTCCAACCAGTAAACACTTGCGGATCCTTTAAGACTTAGTACAAATATCACTTCTTCTGTCAAATCTCTCCTGACTTCCTTCTGTAGCATTAGGTACATCTTTCTCTGTTCTCACGTAGTACCTGTAATGTACTATTAAGGTGTAAATACACACACACATTCTTTATATTTTTATATTTATATATACTTATTGATATATATATAGAACATACTTATACATCCATATAAGTACACATATGTATAAGTTTAAATAACATATAAGTGTATAGATTTACTCATAAATACTTTATAGAATATACATTTTAGTATATACATTATATATTCTTTATATACTTTATAGATTTTTTATATATAAGTATAGGGTATACATATATGTGTCTGTATATTTATATATGTAAACAAATATACAAAAATATTAGATATTTGTACACATATATATACTTTGTACAACATATATATTATAGGTAGTATTTATACGTATTCTTTATTATACATGTTTAGAACATAAATTTATATTGGCAAAAACTGCCATTAATTTTTCACCAACCTAATAATTCATTTTTTAAGTTGATTAGACTGGAATTCTCTAAAGGCCCCTGGAGCCTGACAGTGTCTAAGATGTGGTAGGTACCACTATATATATATTTTTTTGCATGAAAAACTAAATGGGTGAATAAATAAAGTACTCACCTCTTATCCTGATTCTTTGTGCCTGGGGTTCTGTTGTCAGCTCTGTGTTCACCAACTTCAGAGTGATGAGATGGACAGGGAGAAGGATCTGGTAGAAACAAGATGTCTATACAGAGACAATGACAGGGCTGGGATTATTTCTCTTGGAAAGTATACTTCCTCTTGGGAAGAAAGCTTTAGGGGATTTCTCCTAGCAAGAGAGATAATTATCCATGATAGGAGAGCAACAGTCATTTTTTCATGTCTACTAAGCAATGGAGGAGTCCACTCAGAGCAGTCAGTTACATCTAATTACAACATAATTAAAATATTCAAGGCAGAGTAGATTCATCTTAGATCACAGGAGAAAATTCCTGAAAAGAGATTTTCAGTATACAATGAGTAATTGGCTCTCTACCTCACCTGTGTCTAAATATTCTTTTGTTTGAATTTAATATTAGTTATTTTTTAATGAACTACATTGGTGGAGGATACTGTTTCTTGTAAATAGGAGAATATGCAAAAGACGCTGCACCTAAACACAAGGACTTGAACCAGATTATTCATTTTTGAACCCCTAGAGAACATTTCCACAGTGGTCAAACTCATCTGTAAACATGCCTGTTTTTAGTAGGATAGAGGAGGATTTTGGAAGGCGAAGGCCATATCCTGGATACTGGGGAAGTTACAAGGTGTTGTTTGGATTAAAATAAGCAGATTGAGGATGGGGTCTTTTCTATGTTAACTGGACCAGCATATAAAATGCATTTAATAATTTGTTGAATAAGTGAATGACTGTTTTTCTGATGAGAGTAAGGAGAGGGTGTGTATACCAGATGGCTCGGCAGGAAAGAGTATAGAGACCAGAGGGCTTCTGCCATCCTGACTTCTAGACATGATCCAGGGAGGGGCTGGCCTGGCCATGCAGGCACTCATCAGGGGAGTGAGGCAGCCCTGCCTCCTGGCCTTCCTAACAGAATACTGCAGATGAGCTCGCCTCTTTTCCAGCAAGAGAAGGTCCTGTTTTCTGTTCTTTCTCTGGCTCTGGTTCTGTGCATAGACTCTGAGAATATCAGAAGAGATTCTGTGAGAACCCTGGTTTCTAAGACTTCATTTTCCAAGTGAAAAATCTAAGGCCCAGACTGCTGTATATGGTGGTTCACACTTATAATCCTGGCAACTTGGAAGAATAAGGTGGGAGGATTGCTTGAATCCGGTTTGAGTTTACAGTGAGCTATGATTACACCACTGCACTGTAGCCTGGGTAACAGAGCTAGACCTCATTTCTAAAAACAACAAACAAAGAAACAACAACAAAAGAAAACAAAGAAAAAAAAATCCCATTAGGCTTAGTGCAGGGAATGTGGGGAATCCATTTGGCTAAGGACATTCAAACATTTGGGGGAAAAGCCTTAATTGTAACTGAGACCATGTCTTTTTGGGCTCACTGCTTTTGTGATACCTATGCATTCCCATTTTCCCTCATTTTCTCCCTCCTCTCTCCCATGTCCCCCTAATTACCCACTCCTGAAACCCCGGCACAAGACAGTAGTGAGACTCACCAGCAGGTAATAACAAAAATGTGAAGCCAATGAGTAGGTTCCAAAGGAAGAAAGAAGAGTATAGATAAGGATGACACAAGGGTCACTGAGAGGCACAAGGCTGTGGCTGTCACAGAAGGATTTATCCTCCTAAAGACCATGGCTCCAGCTGGGAGAACTTAATGGTAAACAAAGGGTCCCCAGGGCTGGGAATCCTATGGGCAGGAAACTTTCTTTATCTCCACCCCTGTCTCCTGAAGCTGAAGAGCCCTAACTTTTTAGCATTCAGTCCCCAGGTTTTGGCTACACAGACATCTGCTGCAACAAAAGTACTACTGCCTTATCTGTTTATTTTTAATTTCATAAAGAAGTCAATTCATATCACTTATCATTTTATTTACTGTCTTCTGTTATCCACTAGTAATGGACCCGTCGTTTTCCAGAGAGGTCGGATGTAGTATATGAAGAGGATTATCCATGTGATGTTCACAGTGGCTTTTAAATTGCACATCTGCCTTGAAGCACCACAATCACCACTACTTCAAGATTCTCTCACTCCTGCACTCATTTTCCTGTCTATTTTTATATTTCCATTTACTGCAGATAATTAAATTGCCCTCCATCTCTGCCAGCCTCTATATCTTTGGACCTAGAAGTCAATCTTGCATATTCAATCCTACCCCAAACAAATGTCCAGGTCAGTGTCTCAGGCTTTCCCAAAGCTCTCTACTTCATCTTTGAATGCACTGGACTTTCCTTCAATGAGCCCTACAACAAGTAGCCTTTACAAAACTTTTTTCCTTCTTTTCTGGTAGCAAATGCCATCAACATTTAGAAAAAAAAAAATAGTCTTGTACTTCTTCCCCAGACTATGCTACAGAACCTGAGTTAATGTGATCAGGTCATGTGTACATTTCTCTTTTCTTTCAAAACTCACACACAACCTCTCCACCACAAACACACACACACTCTTGGAGACTGGCATGAAGCAAGGTATTACATCCTTTAAATAGGGCATGGTTGATTAGAGTTGTGTGGGGATGAGCTCCAAAACGGGGCATACAGATCTAAAACCAGGACAGAGACCCATGAAGTTTATGACATGCCATTGTGATCAGACCACACCCAGACAGAAGTGGCACCACCTTACACCGGGTAAGTAACTGGTTGTTAGGGCCAGAGTGTAGGAGAGTCAGGGTGATAGGACAAGATGCAGAGAGCAGGATGTCTTATTAAATTGTAGTTATGAGGAAGGTTCTGGCTTCGGTACAATAGGAAGGAGCTGAGCATCTTCATTTAGGCTTGTAGGAGAGGGCACCACTACCAGAAAAATTTCAGAAAATCCTGCATTTATTAAGAACATGATTTTAGCCTATTTCACTGGGATCCTAGCCAAGGACAGTATAACAGCAACAATGCTGCTATTATTACCAGCAACAGCAAATATTGCTATTATTCAGGGGCATCTATCACACATAAGATAGGAAAACAACTATCTTAGCGCAATGTAAGAGATGGACATGGCAATTATATTAATATTTGTGGGTAGCACCTGGCCCACAGGTGAGGGCCAGGGAAGGCCCCAACCTGAGCTATGAAGACTAATTAAGAATCAACCACAGATAGGGCTTTATAGAAAGGTATTTCCAAAAAGGAGGGGTAGTGTAAGCAAGGGCATGGAGGTGAGGAAAAGTTGTTTATGTGTTTTGAGAACTATAAGATTTTCCGGTGATCAAATATAACATTTAAGAGAGTTAATACCTTGGAATAAAACAGTAGAGGTAGGCAGGGGCAAGACCCTGAATGAGTTTATATGACATGTCAAACATGGTACACATTTTGATGGTTGGGTTTAAAAAGGCAGGAGATAACAATCATATTTTCCAGAGTACATTGTTAACAATATGCAGGAAGGATTTAAAGTCTGCACTGGAAACAGATGTTATTTTGGTGTATGGAGCTGGATGCAGATATGTAATTGACAGCTTTTTACGTAGATAAACAATACTGTTTAGTGGATAACCTACCATTTAGAGATCTCTAATATTTGCTTACTTTTTTAAACTAACATCTGTATAATAGCTTTATATTCTATTTCTCTGAATTATATAATTGAAGGACCAGTTTCCAAGCAATAGATTTATTTGAAAACCAAATGAAAGAACTCAGCATTTTTGATTCTTTATTGCTCTAAATGACCTTTAGATTTGTTTTATCATATCACAAAATAGTCCTCTTTGAAGTGTGACTGAAATTACATTAAACATTCTCATCAATTTTCATTGACGTGCATTAAGTGCGTCCTGTGAGAAACTCTGATCAAGAACTTGAAGATAGACAGATTAACATGTCATGGTCTTGCCTTTATGAAGCTCACATTGAGTAAAGATGTTAGATTGTTCAACGAAGTTTCCAAAATAGGGTCACTAGCCCAGGCTAGGAAGGCAGAGGTAGTTTCTGAAGCCTGGAGGCCAAGAGGAGGATGATGGGGACAATGAAGGAGCAAGTCCTCGGACCTATCTCTATCACTGTGGGTAATCATGCGAATATTAGGTGAAGTGAATGTGGGTGCATGATGGTTGGGGAAGGTGAAGTATCAACACATTAGTGTGAGGCATTCAGGCCTTAACCTTTAAGGTATTAGAATTCATTATTAAAGAATCTAAATCCATTACTAAAAGTGAAAAGTGTCACTGTAACAGTGTACCTATTTGTTAATGTGCAAATGGTTTTCATTGCATGTAATATTGTTTGTGTGTGTGTGAGAGAGAGAGAGAGAAACAGCGAGCGAGCGACAGAGAGAGAGAGGTGGGGTGGGGGTATGGTGGGGTGGAAAGCCTGGCTTTCAAGGGGCCAGTATAAGTTTTATTTAAGGAACCTCTATCCAGAATTGATACCTAGCCAGCCCACTGAGCCAGGCTTGGTGAAGTAGGAGATTCCTTCAGGAGAACTGAATCCCCAAGGTCTGTACACATGCTGTGGTTTTCCAATGTAGCCACCAGGGGGAGCATTCAGCCCAAGGATAGGCTTAAATTCTGACCAGCACCAAGGCCCTACTATCCCCAGGGCACAAGAAAATGTGGCTTTTCTTCCAGCACCACCTTCCCGTGTCCTCAATACCCACTACACAGCTGAAAGCTGCCAACCAGTTCATTCTTCCTTTGAGGATGATCTTCCTCTCTCTCATGCACAAAATAGACATATCTACATCTTACAAACACATAAAAACTAAAATTGATGGAGAGAGATAGGTTTTCTTAGCTTTTTCAGATTTTTACAGATGGTAATCTCACACAAATCTATGTGTGTGGCCTTTAGTCTTAATCATATTGACCAAGCCTTAAATCCCCACTCTGACCAGAAACAGACCTAAATAAAATCCTTACTCACAGGGTTCTCAATGTCTCCAGACTCACAACAGACTCTTTTTAGGTGTCTCTGTCACAGAAAATGGCCACAAGGTCACCTCACTCTCAGGCCTGTTAGAACAAGTCCTTCCCAGAAGAACTCCATTTTGTGGTGTGAGATCGATGCGGGTCTTTCAGACTGGAGAGACCCACAGAAGTTAGGATTGCCAAAAGGGTCTTCTGGACTGGTCCACAGCCCCTAAGAAATTTTCATGTTGCAATTCATTTTGTCCATCCCCCTGCCTCCCTGGACACCTGCATCTGTGTGTGCACAGAGAGTCTGGAAGGTTTACAGAGAAGTCTCCACATCTTCCCACAGCAACTCTTTCAGAAACGCCTTCTTTCGTAACATCCTACCTCTCTTCAGTCATTATGAAAGGGAACCGATTTTCATTTTCATTGTGAAAACTTTTCAGAGAGACCCCTTTTGGGAAACCATCTCTTCTCCCCACTCCAAGTTGGGCTAAAGTTTTAGTGTATTTTGCATATTTTGATTTGCTATAACAGAGTACCTGAGTCTGGGTAGCTTATTTTTTTTTTTTAAAGTTTTGTTTGGTTCATGATTCTGGTGACTTAAAAGTCCAAGATCGGGCGGTTGCATCTGATAAAGGTCTCATGCTGGTTCCAAACATGGCAGAAAGCAGACAAAGAGCAAGTGCATGCAAGGAGATCACATGATGAGAGAGGACGCCAGGGAGAGAAACCCAGAAAGCCAGACTCATGGGAAAGTATCAAGCTGTCCACCATATGTGAAATTAGAATTCTAAAAGGAAACAAAAAATGGATTAAACGTTTTTTGAGGAATTATTGACTGAATGTTTCAACATCTGGACATAAAATCTATTAATTCATATCTTTAGCTAACCTTGAGCAATGTCAATTAAAAAATAAAACACAACTAAATGCATATCTTACAAATGGCATAAACAACAAATGTATGCCAATCTTAAAAGCAGACATAGAAAAAGACACATTGCATACAAGAAAATTATTAGAGGAAACAACGGAAACCTGAAAAAATAAACTGGAACTTTATTTTTTATTTTTTTATTTATTTTATTTATTATTATTATTATACTTTAAGATTTAGGGTACATGTGCATAATGTGCCGGTTAGTTACATATGTATACATGTGCCATGTTGGTGTGCTGCACCCATTAACTCGTAATTTAGCATTAGGTATATCTCCTAATGCCATCCCTCCCTGCACCCCCACCCCACAACAGTCCCCAGAGTGTGATGTTCCCCTTCCTGTGTCCATGTGTTCTCATTGTTCAGTTCCCATCTATGAGTGAGAATATGTGGTGTTTGGTTTTTTGTCCTTGCGATAGTTTACTGAGAATGATGATTTCCAATTTCATCCATGTCCCTACAAAGGACATGAACTCATCATTTTTATGGCTGCATAGTATTCCATGGTGTATATGTGCCACATTTTCTTAATCCAGTCTATCATTGTTGGACATTTGGGTTGGTTCCAAGTCTTTGCTATTGTGAATAGTACCGCAATAAACATACGTGTGCATGTGTCTTTATAGCAGCATGATTTATATTCCTTTGGGTATATACCCAGTAATGGGATGGCTGGGTCAAATGGTATTTCTAGTTCTAGATCCCTGAGGAATCGCCACACTGACTTCCACAATGGTTGAACTAGTTTACAGTCCCACCAAGAGTGTAAAAGTGTTCCTATTTCTCCACATCCTCTCCAGCACCTGTTGTTTCCTGACTTTTTAATGATTGCCATTCTAACTGGTATGAGATGGTATCTCATTGTGGTTTTGATTTGCATTTCTCTGATGGCCAGTGATGATGAGCATTTTTTCATGTGTCTTTTGGTTGCATAAATGTTTTCTTTTGAGAAGTGTCTGTTCATATCCTTTGCCCACTTGTTGATGGGGCTGTTTGTTTTTTTCTTGTAAATTTGTTTGAGTTCATTATAGATTCTGGATATTAGCCCTTTGTCAGATGAGTAGGTTGTGAAAATTTTCTCCCATTGTGTAGGTTGCCTGTTCACTCTGATGGTAGTTTCTTTAGCTGTGCAGAAGCTCTTTAGTTTCATTAGATCCCATTAGTGAATTTTGGCTTTTGTTGCCATCGCTTTTGGTGTTTTAGACATGAAGTCCTTGCCCATGCCTATGTCCTGAATGGTAATGCCTGCGTTTTCTTCTAGGGTTTTTATGGTTTTAGGTCTAATGTTTAAGTCTTTAATCCATCTTGAATTAATTTTTGTATAAGGTGTAAGGAAGGGATCCAGTTTCAGCATTCTACATATGGCTAGCCAGTTCTCCCAGCACCATTTATTAAATAGGGAATCCTTTCCCCATTTCTTGTTTTTCTCAGGTTTTTCAAAGATCAGATAGTTGTAGATATGCGTCGTTATTTCTGAGGGCTCTGTTCTGTTCCATTGATCTATATCTGTGTTTTGGTACCAGTAACATGCTGTTTTGGTTACTGTAGCCTTGTAGTATAGTTTGAAGTGAGGTAGCCTGATGCCTCCAGCTTTGTTCTTTTGGCTTAGGATTGACTTGGCAATGCAGGCTCTTTTTTGGTTCCATATGAACTTTAAAGTCGTTTTTCCAATTCTGTGAAGAAAATCATTGGTAGCTTGATGGGGATGGCATTGAATCTATAAATTACCTTGGGCATTATGGCCATTTTGATGATATTGATTCTTCCTACCCATAAGCATGGAATGTTCTTCCATTTGTTTGTATCTTCTTTTATTTCATTGAGCAGTGGTTTGTAGTTCTCCTTGAAGAGGTCCTTCACATCCCTTGTAAGTTGGATTCCTAGGTATTTTATTCTCTTTGAAGCAATTGTGAATGGGAGTTCCCTCATGATTTGGCTCTCTGTTTGTCTGTTATTGGTGTATAAGAATGCTTGTGATTTTTGCACATTGGTTTTGTATCCTGAGGCTTTGCTGAAGTTGCTTATCAGCTTAAGGAGATTTTGGGCTGAGACAAGGGGGTTTTCTAGATATACAATCATGTCGTCTGCAAACAGGGACAATTTGACTTCCTCTTTTCTTAATTGAATACCCTTTTTTCCTGTCTTCTGCCTAATTGCCCTGGCCAGAACTTCCAACACTATGTTGAATAGGAGTAGTGAGAGAGGGCATCCCTGTCTTGTGCCAGTTTACAAAGGGAATGCTTCCAGTTTTTGCCCATTCAGTATGATATTGGCTGTGGGTTTGTCATAGATAGCTCTTATTATTTTGAGATATGTCCCATCAATACCTAATTTATTGAAAGTTTTTAGCATGAAGGGTTGTTGAATTTTGTCAAAGGCCTTTTCTGCATCTATTGAGATAATCATGTGGTTTTTGTCTTTGGTTCTGTTTATATGCTGGATTACATTTATTGATTTGCATATATTGAACCAGCCTTGCATCCCAGGGATGAAGTCCACTTGATCATCGTGGATAAGCTTTTTGATGTGCTGCTGGATTCGGTTTGCCAGTATTTTATTGAGGATTTTTGCATCGATGTTCATCAGGGATATTCATCTAAAATTCTCTTTTTTGGTTGTGTCTCTTTCTGGCTTTGGTATTAGGATGATGCTGGCCTCATAAAATGAGTTAGGGAGGATTCCTTCTTTTTCTGTTGATTGGAATAGTTTCAGAAGGAATGGTACCAATTCCTCCTTGTACCTCTGTTAGAATTTGGCTGTGAATCCATCTGGTCCTGGACTCTTTTTGGTTGGTAAGCTATTGATTATTGCCACAATTTCAGATCCTGTTATTGGTCTATTCAGAGATTCAACTTCTTCCTGGTTTAGTCTTGGGATAGTGTATGTGTCCAGGAATTTATCCATTTCTTCTAGATTTTCTAGTTTATTTGCGTAGAGGTGTTTGTAGTATTCTCTGATGGCAGTTTGTATTTCTGTGGGATCGGTGGTGATATCCCCTTTATCATTTTTTTATTGTGTCTATTTGATTCTTCTCTCTTTTCTTATTAGTCTTGCTAGCGGTCTATCAGTTTTGTTGATCCTTTCAAAAAACCAGCTCCCAGATTCATTAATTTTTTGAAGGGTTTTTTGTGTCTCTGTTTCCTTCAGTTCTGCTCTGATTTTAGTTATTTCTTGACTTCTGCTAGCTTTTGAATGTGTTTGCTCTTGCTTATCTAGTTCTTTTAATTGTGATGTTAGGGTGTCAATTTTGGATCTTTCTTGCTTTCTCTTGTGGGCGTTTAGTGCTATAAATTTCCCCCTACACACTGATTCGAATGTGTCCCAGAGATTCTGGTATGTTGTGTCTTTGTTCTCATTGGTTTCAAAGAACATCTTTATTTCTGCCTTCATTTCGTTATGTACCCAGTAGTCATTCAGGAGCAGGTTGTTCAGTTTCCATGTAGTTGAGTGGTTTTGAGTGAGTTTCTTAATCCTGAGTTCTAGTTTGATTGCACTGTGGTCTGAGAGACAGTTTGTTATAATTTCTGTTCTTTTATATTTGCTGAGGAGAGCTTTACTTCCAAGTATGTGGTCAATTTTGGAATAGGTGTTGTGTGGTGCTGAAAAAAAATGTATATTCTGTTGATTTGGGGTGGAGAGTTCTGTAGATGTCTATTAGGTCTGCTTGGTGCAGAGCTGTGTTCAATTCCTGGATATCCTTGTTAACTTTCTGTCTCGTTGATCTGTCTAATGTTGACAGTGGGGTATTAAAGTCTCCCATTATTAAAGTGTGGGAGTCTAAGTCTCTTTGTAGGTCTCTAAGGACTTGCTTTATGAATCTGGGTGCTCCTGTATTGGGTGCATATATATTTAGGATAGTTAGCTCTTCTTGTTGAATTGATCCCTTTACCATTATGTAATGGCCTTCTTTGTCTCTTTTGATCTTTGTTGGTTTAAAGCCTGTTTTATCAGAGACTAGGATTGCAACCCCTGCCTTTTTTTGTTTTCCATTTGCTTGGTAGATCTTCCTCCATCCTTTTATTTTGAGCCTATGTGTGTGTGTGCACATGAGATGGGTTTCCTGAATACACTCTTTATCCAATTTGCCAGTCTGTGTCTTTCAATTGGAGCACTTAGTCCATTTACATTTAAAGTTAATATTGTATGTGTGAATTTGATCCTGTCATTATGATAGCTGGTTATTTTGCTCGTTAGTTGATGCAGTTTCTTCCTAGTCTTGATGGTCTTCACATTTTGGCCTGATTTTGCAGTGGCTGGTACCGGTTGTGCCTTTCCATGTTTAGTGCTTCCTTCAGGAGCTCTTTTAGGTCAGGCCTGGTGATGACAAAATCTCTCAGCATTTGCTTGTCTGTAAAGTATTTTATTTCTCCTTCACTTATGAAGCTTAGTTTGGCTGGATATTAAATTCTGTGTTGAAAATTCTTTCCTTTAAGGATGTTGAATATTGGCCCCCACTCTCTTCTGGCTTGTAGAGTTTCTGCCAAGAGAGCTGCTGTTAGTCTGATGGGCTTCCCTTTGTGGGTAACCCGACCTTTCTCTCTGGCTGCCCTTAACATTTTTTCCTTCATTTCAACTTTGGTGAATCTGACAATTATGTGTCTTGGAGTTGCTCTTCTCGAGGAGTATGTTTGTGGCGTTCTCTGTATTTCCTGAATCTGAATGTTGGCCTGCCTTGCTAGATTGGGGAAGTTCTCCTGGATAATATCCTGCAGAGTGTTTTCCAACTTGGTTCGATTCTCCCCGTCACTTTCAGGTACACCAATCAGACCTAGATTTGATCTTTTCACATAGTCCCATATTTCTTGGAGGCTTTGTTCATTTCTTTTTATTCTTTTTTCTCTAAACTTCCCTTCTCGCTTCATTTCATTTATTTCATCTTCCATCACTGATACCCTTTCTTCCAGTTGATCGCATCAGCTCCTGAGGCTTCTCCATTCTTCACGTCATTCTCGAGCCTTGGCTTTCAGCTCCATCAGCTCCTTTAAGCACTTCTCTGTATTGGTTATTCTAGTTATACATTCATCTAAATTTTTTTTCAAAGTTTTTATCTTCTTTGCCTTTGGTTTGAATTTCCTCCTGTAGCTCGGAGTAGTTTCATCGTCTGAAGTCTTCTTCTCTCAGCTCGTCAAAGTCATTCTCCATCCAGCTTTGTTCCGTTGCTGGTGAGGAACTGCTTTCCTTTGGAGGAGGAAAGGTGCTCTGCTTTTTAGAGTTTCCAGTTTTTCTGCTCTGTTTTTTCCCCAACTTTGTGGTTGTATCTACTTTTGGTCTTTGATGATAGTGATGTACCGATGGGTTTTTGGTGTGGATGTCCTTTCTGTTTGTTAGTTTTCCTTCTAACAGACAGGACCCTCAGCTGCAGGTCTGTTGGAGTTTGCTAGAGGTCCACTCCAGACCCTGTTTGCCTGGGTATCAGCAGCGGTGTCTGCAGAACCGCAGATTTTCGTGATCCGCGAATGCTGCTGTCTGATCGTTCCTCTGGAAGTTTTGTCTCAGAGGAGTACCTGGCCGTGTGAGGTGTCAGTCTGCCCTTACTTGGGGGTGCCTCCCAGTTAGGCTGCTCGGGGGTCAGGGGTCAGGGACCCACTTGAGGAGGCAGTCTGCCCGTTCTCAGATCTCCAGCTGTGTGCTGGGAGAACCACTGCTCTCCTCAAAGCTGTCAGACAGGGACATTTAAGTCTGCAGAGGTTACTGCTGTCTTTTTGTTTGTCTGTGCCCTGCCCCCAAAGGTGGAGCCTACAGAGGCAGGCAGGCCTCCTTGAGCTGTGGTGGGGTCCACCCAGTTTGAGCTTCCTGGCTGCTTTGTTTACCTAAGCAAGCCTGGGCAATGGCGGCTGCCCCTCCCCCAGCCTCGCTGCCACCTTGCAGTTTGATCTCAGACTGCTGTGCTAGCAATCAGGGAGACTCCGTGGGCGTAGGACCCTCGGAGCCATGTGCAGGATATAATCTCCTGGTGCGCCATTTCCTAAGCCTGTCAGAAAAGCACAGTATTCGGGTGGGAGTGGCCCAATTTTCCAGGTGCCGTATGTCACCCCTTTCCTTGACCAGGAAAGGGAACTCCATGACCCCTTGTGCTTCCCAAGTGAGGCAATGCCTCACCCTGCTTCGGCTGGTGCATGGTGTGCTGCACCCACTGACCTGTGCCCACTGTCTGGCACTCCCTAGCGAGATGAACCCCATACCTCAGATGGAAATGCAGAAATCACCCGTCTTCTGTGTTGTTCACGCTGGGAGCTGTAGACCAGAGCTGTTCCTATTTGGCCATCTTGGCTCAAAAACTGGAACTTTATTTGTGAAAGAAAAAATCGATCAATATAGACTTCCAGTGAAAATTTTCTTCAAATCAAGACAATATCTAAAAAATTGCCGAGACTGATATCAAGCAGCTATCTCTATACATGTTCTTCCAGGAGTTTTGTGATTTCAGGTCTTACATTTATGTCTTTAATCTATTTTGAGTTGACTTATGGCTTAAGGTAAAGGTCCAATTTTATTCTTTTGCATTTGGATATCCAGTTTTCCCAACACTATTTGTTGAGGAGACTATCCTTCCCCTATTGTGTTGGTGGCCTTGTTGAGAATTACTGGACTGTATATACGTAAATTTATTTCTGGGCTCTTTATTCTGTTCAATTTGGTCTATGTGTCTATTTATGTGATAGTACCATACTTTTTTGGTTACTATAGCTTTGTAATATAATTTGAAATCAGAACGTGTGCTGCCATCAAGTTGGTTTTTCTTTCTCAAGATTGTTTTGGCCATTTGGGGGTGTTCTGTGGTTTCATACAAATTTTCAAATTGTTTTCTGTAAAATGTGCCAGAGCTCAGGTAACAAAAGCAAAAATAAACAAGTGGAGCAACATCAAACTAAATATTTTCTGCACAGCAAAGAAAACAATCATCAAAAGGAACAGTTTGGGAGAAAATATTTACAGATCATATATCTGATACAAGTCTAATACCCAAAATATATAAGGAACTCAATCAACTAAATATGAAAAAATATAATAGTAACCTAAGTAAAAATGGGCAAAGGATCTGAATATACATTTCTCTGAAGACATGCAAATGGTCAGCAGGCATATGAAAAGGTGCACTACATCACCAATCATCAGGAAAATGCAAATCAAAACCACAAGTATCACTCACACCTGTTGAGATGGCTATTATCAAAAAAGACAAGAGATAGGGGTTGGAGAGGCTGTGGAGAAAGGAGAACTCTTGTGCATAGCTGGTGGGAATGTAAGTTAACATAGCCATTATAGAAAACGTATGGAAGTTTCTCAAACAACTAAAAATAGAGTTATTGTATGATGAAGAAATTTCTCTGCTGTATATGTATCCAAAATAAATAAAATCCGCATTTTCTAGAGCTATCTGCACTCTCATGTTAATTGCAGCATTATTCACAATAGCCAAGACATGGAAACAATCTAAGTGGTATCTATATATAGATGAACAGATAAAGACATTGTGACAGGTCTGTATATGATATTGTGATATATGTCATATGTATGTATGATATCACAATATTATTCAGCCTTAAAAAAGGAGATGGGGGGAATGTATAAACCTAGAGTACATTTTGCTAAGTGAAATAAACCAGACACAGAAACAAATAAAGGCATGATATTACTTATATGTGGAATCTCAAAAGAAAAATAAGGTCAAATGCATAGAAACAGTGTAAAAAGGGGAAGAAAGAAAGAGAAAATAGGGAGAAGTAGGTCAAAGGTTATAAACTTGCAGCTGTATAGGATAAATAAGTTTAGAGATCTAGTGTATGGCATGAAGACTTAATACTGTACTGTAAACTAAACATTTGTTATGACAGTAGATGTTAGATGCCCTTACACAAAGAAAAAGCAAAAGGTATCTATGGAAGGTGTTGTATTGATGGATAGGTTAATTTGCTTGATTGAAGTAATCATCTCACTATGTACACATATATCCTATATTTTTTGAACAAGCTTACTTGTTTCAGATAAAATATTTTAAAAGCTTTTATCTGAAGCAAGTCAAATTTCTGTTTCCTAATTGTTTAGGGTCCTTCATGTTATTTCCACTCTTAAAACTTATGTAACCCTTTGGATATAATGAGATATATGTTTTTCTCTATTTTTAATATCAGTACTCTTTAGATACAGCTATCACTGTCTCTCAGGGTACCTCTGCCTCTGGTCATTTTGTTCATTCTTTATGTTGAAATTTTATATCTCCGGCCTACAACTCAGGGTTTTACAGTTTCATCAATGTCTCTATTAAATGTTTATGAGCCACAGAGAATGAGAATTATATGTTCAATTTTTTTGAACTTCTGTGTTTGAGTTTTAAAAAAATTAACCTAATGTGAAAGACCCTAGATCCGGGGAAAGGTGCTGTGTGGCTTAGAGTATAAACATCAGAATGTGCTATGGACTTTCTAGAATATTTCAGTGCCCTTGTATATCCTCAGAATGTGTGGAGAGTAATTCCAAAACAAAGCCCTTACTTCAATATCCATGGTGGTCCATAGCTAGGGCTAGCAGAAGGAAGGGTTCAAAATCACTATTTTTATCACTCAAATTATCTGCTCTTGGAAAAACCAGTCCCTTTGGGTAGCCCCAATCATGTGTAAGTCTTTTTCCTGAAGTATGATCATATGGTTCTCTTCCTTCTGTCTGCTCATTGAACCAGAGCTCCAGGACCAATACCACTATGGCAATACTTCTTTTGCCTCTACAACTCTCAGGTCACAGCTGAAATATTACCTCCTCTCAGAACCCGCATTTGTCACACTAGCTTACATAAATTTTGTTATTCTCTATTGCATCAAATTTTTTCTTTCTTTCATAGCAGCTATATGAGGTTGTAATTATTTTTGTCACTTTTTTATTATTTCCTTTCCGTTAAAATACAAGCTTCATAGGAACAGAGAATATATGCACCAATGTATTTTTGTACCCAGTAGTTGCTAAAATAGAGAAGCCTCTCATTAGATAAACAAACAACTAAACAATGACCGCTTGTTAAATAAATGTATTTAGTTATTCTATTATTCATTTCTAAACACAGAAAGAGTGAGAAAGGGAGAAAGACAGAAAGTAAGAATGAAAGAAAGAGAGTGAGATAAAGAATAGATATTTTCTGGCATTAAATTATTGCCCTCAAATTGGACAGAGACATACCAACAAATGATCCTCTGAAGATTTGAATTTAATTTTCCCTGTAAATTGCTCTGACCTGACAACCCAGCTATTTTAGTTTAGTCTTTGCAGATGATATACATAAAATGCCTATCTCACTTTGCTGTAGCATTTCCAATCCTGGACAGTCAGCATAAAAGATACTATCGTCACTTATTTAATATTTCATAGCATTAAACATTCAAACCTTCAACTTTAGGATTTACTATAAAAGACTGTGACTGTTAATGATAATAATAAATACATTGATGATTATGAGCATTATTTTTAAATTACAACTTGGTAGCCTCTAGCATTTATATACCTGTATTTTCTATATGCATTTCTATAGAAGCAGCTTGCACATGCTGTACAAACCATAAGATGGCAGGAGAGGTTTGTGGAACACTGACTCTCCTGGGGCCATGCAGAGGGAGGTTTGAAGATCTTGTTGATACAGATTGACACAGAATACCAAAGCCTCTTTCCCCACTGCCTTTCCTTGAGTAAAAATCCTGAGAAAATGTCTTCCCTTTCTTTCTATGTTGATAGCAAAACCAATGAGGTCATCACTTTTAACAACTGTTGACTTATTTTGGATTTTAGTCTACATTCACTGTAACACAAAAATGCAGACAAGCAGCACTGATTTTAGTGTGGCATCATGGAAATAACAGTGCTACACATAGCCCTTGCTACCAGCCAATAGGACTATTTATTTGAGTATGTTCATATATGTATATATAAATGTGTAGAAAAGTTGCAGAGAAATGTATGGCAGATTATAAAGGGAAATTATCTCCAGGGAGGATAGAAAGGTAAGGATAAAAGGTCTTTACTTTATATTTAATATACATGGAGTATATATAATTTTTTAAATTATATCATAGACATATTTAGGATAGTGAATGGAAAATTTTAAAAATACAACTACTTACTAGTTGTATACTTTTTTAAATGTCTCAAATTATCAGATTTTATTTTTTATCCAGAAAAAATATATAAAAAGTCTGTTTCATAGAGTTTTACTGAGGTATAATAGATGTAATTCTCCTAAAAGTGTTATATTTTGCAAATAGTGGCTGCTAAAATATTATTGTTAATAGTATTCCACTAACTAGTAATAATAACTTTAATTAATATTTGTTAAGCCGTGACTTTGTTTCTACTACCCCACACACATGGGCATACATATCTTCTTCTATCATGTTGGCCTCATTCAGTACAGTACTAGAAAATCAGTAGGGACTCAGGTTATATGTGTGAATGGATGAATAAATGAATGAATGCCTATTTTTAAAGACTTCATCCTTTCTGTATGTCTAACCTTAGATTCTAGTCATGGCCATATGTCTCTAGGTGGCCCAACCACCCTATCACAGATTCTGCTTCAAAGGCACTCATCTTGGTGAATGAATATCTAGTCCCAGAAGGAGGCTAAAAACTATCTTGTCCACATCTAGTTGGCTGACACACAATTTAGGCTTCTTGGGTGTAATCAGATCTGTAAGCATGATCCGGAAAGAAAAAGTTCCTGAACAGAGGCTTCCAACATCCTCAGAAGGAAACCTCTCTTAATCCACATAAGAATGGTGTAAATTCCAACATCTTGCTCCTAAGAACACTTTGCCCTGGGGGAAAAAAAGAAAAGCCATCGTAAGCTTTCAGAAGGCCTATGCTGAGGTTTTGCTTCCTTCAGTTTTAAAGCATAATATTTTGAGTAACTCAATGTTTAGAAACCTCAAATTTTGCTCTTGACAGATAAAACTGAAACCTCTACTATGCTCTGCTTTCTCACAGGATGCATGTGAGAATAAAACACAAAGTCTTTATGTTAGAATATCTTGTGTAACTTCAAGTATTACGATTGTGAGAGAGCTTTTTAAAGGTTTTTATTTTCTTTGTCAGAGCTAGACAGAGTATCTTCTCAGCCCAAAGGTCAAATTGTCTCATTTTCACAAAATTTTCAATGATGATTATAGTAATAATAGCAATGATTTCTATAATACTTACAATGGACCAGGCACTATTGAACACGTTAGACATATTAATGTATTTAATCATTAAAATAATTCAACCATGTGGGTACTATTGGTATCCCCACTTAAAGATGAGTGGACCAAAACACAGAAAGATAAATTGCTTTGCTATAGGGTACGCAGCCAATAAGTGGAAGGTGGGATTGTAAACCAAACTGTTTAATTCCCAAAACTACTGCATAAGACTGTATGAAGAAGCATGAAACAATAGGTTTCAAGAAGCCTACAGAACACTTAACAGGATTTTTCATGCTGGTTCATAGTTAAGTTATTGGTTGAAGATGCAACAAATCTGAATGGCAGAGGAAAAAACAAAGAAAGAGAGTTCTGAGTGAGCCTGGGTCTCCATAGGAGCAAAGAACCAAGTGAAGCTTGGGTTAGTTGTGGGGTGTAAGATATAATTAGAAGAGAAGTAGCTCTACTCTGGTAGAAGTGAAACTTTGAAGAATGTCTGATTCCTCACAAACTGCTGAGTAAGGATAGGAAAATGCATAGCCTTGGTCAAGATTTAAGCATGAGGACATAAAAATAGATATAGGCAGAAAGCACAAGTGAAAAAAAATACATTTTTGAATGCATATATTGTGCAAGTGCCTCTATTCTGGGTGCTAGCATACCAGAAACAACATTTTTGTTCCTTTTGTCAGAGGCATTTGAACCAGAGCAACTCCATCTTAAATAGGAGCTGGGTACAATAAGGCTGAGACCTACTGGGCTGTATTCCCAGAAAGTTAGGCATTCTCAGTCACAGGATGAGATAAGAGGTTGGCACAAGATACAGGTCATAAAGACCTTGCTGAAAAAACAGTTTGCAGTAAAGAAGCTGGCTGAAACCCACCAAACCAAGATTGTGATGAGAGTGACCTCTGGTAGTCCTCACTGCTACTCTCCCACCAGCACTATGACTGTTTAGAAATGCCATGGCAACATCAGGAAGTTACGCTAAGCGGTCTGAAAAGGGGAGGCATGAATAATCCACCCCTTGTTTAGCATATCATCAATAAATAACCATAAAAATGGGCAACCAGCAGTCCTCAGGACTGTTCTGCCTATAGGGTAGCCATTATTTTACTCCTTTACTTTCTTAATTAACTTGCTTTCACTTTTCTGTATGGATTTGCCCCAAATTCTTTCTTGGGCACGAAATCCAAGAACCCTCTCTTAGGGTCTGGATTGTGACTCCTTTCTGGCAATGCTTTTAACTTCAAAAATCTCCTTTCAAAATGATTTTATTCCAGTTCACAATGAAATAACTAAAACTCTGTGTCACTAAGTGGCTTTGCAAGGTGGCATGTGTATGTGTGGCAGAGCTTCTCTTCCTTCAGAACCACATTCCTGAGACTTGAGAGAATGTCTTTGGTCTCTGCTGCTAGAGAATTTTATCCTGGTTCATGGACTGCAGCGGGAGGTGGAAGCATTTTCAAACTTTGGGAGGGGAATGTTAGGAGACCATTAGGCATGTGCTCAAGAGATGACACCAAGTCCAGGCAGGGACTAAAACTTTGTGCCTGTTGTCTCATGAATCAGATAGCACCCCTGCCTAAACCTTCCCAGTCCTGCATTGCACAGAGACCCGTGCTTGGGATTGGAATTAGTCATCAATACAAACTTATTTTCCCAAATTTTAATTTTTATTCTAAAGACTTTGAATCTCAAGTGAATACCCTGATTTCCTTCCTTCCTTCTTTCCTTTCCTTTCCTCCTCCTCTACTTTTTCTTCTCCTTCTCCTTCTTCTTCTTCTTCTCTTCCTTCCTTTCCTTCCCTTCCTTCCTCCCTCCCTACCTCTCTCTCTTTCTCTATTTCTTTCTCATCTTGCTTTTGCCTTCCAGGCTGCTGGAGTGCAATGGCGCGATCTCGGCTCACTGCAACCTCCGCCTCCCAGGTTCAAGCGATTCTCCTACCTCAGCCTCCTGTGTAGCTGCAATTACAGGCATCTGCCACCAGGCCCTGCTAATTTTTTTGTATTTTTATTAGAGACAGGGTTTCACCATGTTGGTCAGGCTGGTCTCGAACTCTTGCCCTCAGGTGATCCTCCTGCCTCAGCCACCCAAAGTGCTGGGATTACAGGCATGAGTCTGTAATGTAGCCTTTTCTTTAACAGGCTACCCACAGAGGAACCTTCCCTTGAGCTCCTTTTCAGATTCTTCCTTCTGTTTCTCTGGCCCTTTCTCCTTTGTCTTCTATACTTTCCTACTGATTTTCCTTCCTGTTTCCCTCATCCTTAACTTCCTACTTAAGGCTTGCTCTATCCTCTTCACATACTGTTTCTTATTTTGCCCACTGGGTTCACCTCTAAGTCACACACAACTGGACAAGTAAGCATACCCCTCAGCAACTCTTCCATTAACAGCCCCCAAACATGCTGATTACCTGGCTGCTCCATAGGGTGGTTGGTTGGTCTTAAGTCTCCCACTAGCCAGCACCTAGCAGTTCTTCAGTTTGTGTGGTTCTCAGTGCTGGTGATCATGCTGAGCCTGCCCCCTTCATGCCTCTCTGGTCAGTCAGACCCTTCAGAACCCAAGAGGTAAGCAGAGTTCCTCTAAGAATGGTTAGCAACTTAAACTTCATCCTGTCATCAAGCCAGCACATACTAAGCATCTATAATGTGCTAGACAATGTGGGTAATGGAGGTGATGCCTGGATTATAATATCTGCCCTCAAAAGCTTATATCTATTTTTTAAATAATTACAGGACAATTTAAATGTATCAGTTTGGGTTGAATAAAATCAGGGATGTTTCTCATTAGGGCCTCAACACATTTGGAGGTGTGTTAAGACAGTAGTCAGATTCACACCAAGAGCCCTGTCATGGCAAACCGATGTCATGTGCATCTCGATAATGTTTTTGTGTATCAATATGCTTTGTGAAAAAACTTCGAGGTAGTACAGCCATATCCTATCCTGTGCATAGACAGGAAAATGGTTGCTGACTGGCAGACCAGAATTGGGTTACCTTTTCATCTAAATGCATCTCTCCACAGCGATTTCTACAGTATGCTTGATCTTGTCTCTCATCCCATATTTGGTTACTTGTTGCCATGCCGGGACCAGCCATGCATTGGTTTGCCTTTGGCATCAGTGTATGCTCTATACCCATGTTTTCCACAGCTGGCAAACACCAGTGGTATTCTAATAACACTGTTCTCACCACCAGCCCTTCTGGTTCACTAGATGTTTCCATGGAGTCCTGATATAATAGACAACTTATTTTAAACACAGTTGCCAGCCCTACACTCTAAATGTCTACAGAACTCACCAGACAAAGAAGAAAAGTTATTTAGCAGTTGTGATAAGCTACCACTTGAATTCAAGGTTATTACAAGCATGATTATTGACACATTTGGTTTTATTGAGTGTCCCTTATTTGCCCAAGATTCATTGCTGTGACAAGAATGACAAGAAGAAGCAGTTACTTGAGAAATCCCCTTGTAGCCTTCTGTTACTTCATTTTTTTCCCTCTCTCTCTGCTTCTCCTTGTGTATCCACCATAGAAGCTACAATGATTAAAAATTATTTACTAAAATCATTTAATAAAACTATATTAAATGGAAATTCACCAATAGAAACTTAGGAAAGGTAACAAAGTCCTGTGAGGTTGGCTTCAGCATATCCAGAACACATGCTCAGGAAGGAAGAGGGTGGGGGGACCCTGTAAACAAGGGACTTTGATCATTCACTTTGAAGAGTCTTCTGTCATATGCTGGATGGGCAAACAGCTTAGAGGGCTGCCTTAGAGTGCACAAAATCAGAGATATTCAGAGATGCACATGAGGATGGAGTGAGAAGAGGAAGAGAGAGACACATAAATACCTCTCACGCTTAGTTTATTTTTTCATTTAATACAGAATATTTTTTAAGCTCCTACTCTCTTCAAAGCACTGTGCTTAAAGCTGGCATGTAGTTGAATTTATAGTCCAGCAAGGAGACTGACCATTGAGAATTACAAATATGGCAGGAATTTCTAAACAGAAAGATGTGCAGCTCTCATATCCTGTCACAGAAATGACACATCACATAGCTCCTAAACTGCATCATAGCCTTACCATGACCTCCTGTTTCTGCATTTGGCTTGCCTCCATATCACCCCAAATTCCAATGGTTTTGTGAAGTCAAGATTGGTGGTCAAGGTCGAGGGAAAGTGCACAGATCAAAAGCTCATCTAACTATGTCAAACTTTGTCATAGCTAGATGAGCTTTTTGAACTTAAAGTTTGTCAAAATTTAGGAAAATATTTTGCCCTTAGGTGGTCGCTTGTTGAACCCTGAAAATTTTACTCTTTCTTTAGTGTTGAGATACCTCTTCCTTTATTGAATCTATAATCGACCTTATTGCAACCATGGAGAATGAGATAGTACCTGGCTCAGAGGTCCACATCACATAATATGTGGGTGAATCTATCACTACACTGTTGTGAAGCCCTGTTCTCCAGCCCAGGCATTCTTCCATTCCTAACACAAGCTTCTCCTCCTTTACAGAAATGGGTCTGAGTTGCCTATTTTTATACCTGCCATGTCATGCTGAGTGGGGGCTGGGGTTTGCAAAGAGAGAAGACAGCTAGGGAACATAATTGCTATGGTAATTGCTTTCTATTGTACACTAAATATAGTCTGGATGTATTGCATATGGTCCCTAGTTTTTAATAGAATCCTCATGAAAATGCTACTTTCCCGCTTTCCAATAACAGAATGATGGAAAGACCTTCACAAGTCCAAACACAAGCAAATGGCCAAATGGCAGAGTTGTTCTTTTTCTGTGTCACATAAGATTCCAGACAATATAATCTTAGTAGTATCTATGAGAAAAATCTACCTCAATATATCTTCTTTCTGCATTCACACTCAAAAACTTGGTATCTGTGCTTGGTTTAATAAAAGTAGTGAGTGTACCTCATGGAGCTGAGTGGTGGTGATGTGTGTTTATGATTGTGTGTGTGGCGCTTTTGTGTGAGAGAGAGAGTGTGTGTGTATGTGTGTCAAGAGGTTAAGGGCTTAAAGGAACAATTAATTGGTGATTAGGATCATGTACTCAACACCATAGCTTGAAGTAAAAAAAAACAAAAACCAAAAAAAACTGTAATTCCAATACTGCTGCATCATGACTTGAAAAACGATGTCTGTCCACTCACCGGTGTGTGTGTGTGTGTGTGTGTGTGTGTGTGTGTGTGTGTGTGTGTGTGAGGGGTTGGGTTCGTTGTGGGGAAACACTTGAGATCCTGTATTGATGAAAAATGATTTCTCCAGACTAATCATTCTGTTCGTAAAACTTTGAGTTTTGAAGACACTCAGGGTCTCTTTCTTCCCTTAAGCTTTCTCTCATGGAGGAATGCCACTCAGACATCTACTTAGCACATTTTACAACACTTGCATTTCCTTGGGCTCCTTTTCCTTGTTTTCAACCTTCATGCCCCAATCCCTGCCTAACTTCTATTATTTCTTTTTTTTTTTTAATGCCATACATCTGCATTTATTATAAGCAACAGGCGGGACACTTCCAGCAATAGAAAGAAAACTTAATTTACAAAAGCAGGGATTCAGTGAAGCCACCTGGTTGTTACTCTTGGGCACTCACATGTAGATGCCAACCCAGAGCATCAGGAAGAGGACTTCAAAGCCCATGAAGAGTGAGGCCACCAAGGAGATACTCTTTATAGATATCACAAGTGTACTTGGTAGAGGTGACCTCGTAAACAAAGAACCAGGTGGTGAAGAACATGTCGATGGCCAAAAGCTCTACAATCAGATGGGGGAAGACAGCTGGGTTGACCGGGCTGTTGTATCTGCTCATGGCCTTGAGCTCCATTTTGCCCCAGCAGGCTAAGCCACCACTCTGCCACCAGAAGACTTCTGTTATTTCTTATCTTTTGCTTTCCTGACTTCATCTCTGCTCTCTGACTAGGTAATTATATCTAACAATGTTATCTATTCTGATTCATAGTATCCAGTAGACCTGATTTAATCATCACATTCTCATTATAAGGCTCAACAACTAATGTTCACAATTTTCCAAAGCCATAGACTGATCATCTGATCTACAAATACACTAAATTCCTGACCATCTTCGTAGTTGATTATGGCTCTGAATGGCTTTTTGCCCAAAGCATCCAGCACCATTTTCATCTGGGTAGTTTCCCCTGCTGGTAAAAATAGTAAACACTTTTCCTTATCTACTCCCATCCCCCGACAGAAACACGGGATCCACTATCACTCTCTATCTGGGTGTGGTTGAGATCTTCAAAATCTGCAGTGCTGATAGCTCAGCATGGAATGAAGTGAACCAACAAGCTCTCTCTGACTTTGGTTTATAAGGATTTGCATACATTTTCTGATGGATACTAGGCTCATTTCTGGGAATATGCAGCAATTTAAAGCATTGTGCCTCATGTCAAAGTTTGCTTTACTCAATCTGACACTAATCTATTTGGTAAGTTTTTCTTTCTGTTAGTCTATACCCTTGTCATTACAGTGTCCCCTATCCTCACTCTAACTTCATCTTTTTTGGGAGTAAGTACTTGGTAGAACACATAGAGGCAAAGAGGAAGCTGGTTTATGCAGCCCGAAGAGAGCAACAAAGGAAATAGATAATCCAAACCAGAGTCTGGAACTACACCAGAGATATCATTCTGTATTCCCGTGGATTTTCAACTTGATTTTTTCCTAACTAGATCACTCTGCTAGGGAATGAAAAAGGAGATCTAGGATTTTCCCTCTTCTAGGAATTTGCAAAAGAGATTATTCAGAAGCCAAGTTCTAAAGATTTTAGGGAGTCTTTGGGATGATAGATTCTTATACCCCATCACATCTTGACTGATACATTACTGCATTTCCCTCTCTGCAATCTCTGATAAGCCAACCGTCTACTGCTCATTCCTATGCGGAGCCTCTAGGCCAAGACACACTGGAGTTCTTTACCGACCTGTTCATAAGTCTGTTCATTGTTGCCACAGATGTGACTATGAACCCCTAAGCCTGGTCAAGATATTGGATCCAACACCAACTTTTTAGACTATACTCAGAAGCCAAGCTGCAAAGAAAATTAGTTTCAGAAACTCCTCCCTACGGCCCACTCCTCTCTCCTCCCTCCTTCTTTATTCTCCCAGCCTGAGGGATTTAGAACTTTGGAACAGGAGTCGCTAAGGTTTCTTCCTGCATCTAGGTTAGGGAATTAGCCACATCTCCAGAAATAAGATTTATTTTAAGCATCACATAGGGGTAGAAAAGAAAATGTAGGGAGGATGGCCTTTTTGCAGCAGATTTCTTTCTTTCTTTCTTTTATTATTATACTTTAAGTTTTAGGGTACATTTGCACAACGTGCAGGTTTGTTACATATGTATACATGTGCCATGTTGGTGTGCTGCACCCATTAACTCGTCACTTAGCATTAGGTATATCTCCTAATGCTATCCCTCCCCCCGACCCCCACCCCACTGCAGGCCCTGGTGTGTGATGTTCCCCTTCCTGTGTCCATGTGTTCTCATTGTTCAATTCCCACCTATGAGTGAGAACATGCAGTGTTTGGTTTTTGTCCTTGCGATAGTTTGCTGAGAATGATGGTTTCCAGCTTCATCCATGTCCCTACAAAGGACATGAACTCTTCATTTTTTATGGCTGCATAGTATTCCATGGTGTATATGTGCCACGTTTTCTTAATCCAGTCTATCATTGTTGGACATTTGGGTTGGTTCCAAGTCTTTGCTATTGTGAATAGTGCCACAATAAACATACATGTGCATGTGTCTTTATAGCAGCATGATTTATAATCCTTTGAGTATGTACCCAGTAATGGGATGGCTGGGTCAAATGGTATTTCTAGTTCTAGATCCCTGAGGAATCGCCACACTGACTTCCACAATGGTTGAACTAGTTTACAGTCTCACCAACAGTGTAAAAGTGTTCCTACTTCTTCACATCCTCTCCAGCACCTGTTGTTTCCTGACTTTTTAATGATCGCCATTCTAACTGGTGTGAGATGGTATCTCACTGTGGTTTTGATTTGTATTTCTCTGATGGCCAGTGATGATGAGCATTTTTTCATGTGTCTGTTGACTGCATAAATGTCTTCTTTTGAGAAGTGTCTGTTCATATCCTTTGCCCACTTTTTGATGGGGTTGTTTTTTTCTTGTAAATTTGTTTGAGTTCATCATAGATTCTGGATATTAGCCCTTTGTCGGATGAGTAGATTGCAAAAATTTTCTCCCATTCTGTATGTTGCCTGTTCACTCTGATGGTAGTTTCTTTTGCTGTGCAGAAGCTCTTTAGTTTAATTAGATCCCATTTGTCCATTTTGGCTTTTGTTGCCATTGCTTTTGGTGTTTTAGACATGAAGTCCTTGCCCATGCCTATGTCCTGAATGGTATTGCCTAGGTTTTCTTCCAGAGTTTTTATGGTTTTCAGTCTAACATTTAAGTCTGTAATCCATCTTGAATTAATTTTTGTATAAGGTGTAAGAAAGGGATCCAGTTTCAGCTTTCTGCGTATGGTTAGCCAGTTTTCCCAGCACCATTTATTAAATAGGGAATCCTTTCCCCATTTGTTTTTTTTGTCAGGTTTGTCAAAGATCAGATGGTTGTAGACATGCGGCATTATTTCTGAGGCCTCTGTTCTGTTCCATTGGTCTATATCTCTGTTTTGGTACCAGTACCATGCTGTTTTGGTTACTGTAGCCTTGTAGTATAGTTTGAAGTCAGGTAGCGTGATGCCTCCAGCTTTGTTCTTTTGGCTTAGGATTGGCATGTCAATGTGGGCTCTTTTTTGGTTCCATATGAACTTTAAAGTAGTTTTTTCCAATTCTGTGAAGAAAGTCATTGGTAGCTTGATGGGGATGGCATTGAATCTATAAATTACCTTGGGCTGTATGGCCATTTTCATGATATTGATTCTTCCTACCCATGAGCATGGAATGTTCTTCCATTTGTTTGTATCTTCTTTTATTTCATTCAGCAGTGGTTTGTAGTTCTCCTTGAAGAGGTCCTTCACCTCTCTTGTAAGTTGGATTCCTAGGTATTTTATTCTCTTTGAAGCAATTGTGAATGGGAGTTCCCTCATGATTTGGCTCTCTGTTTGTCTGTTATTGGTGTATAAGAATGCTTGTGATTTTTGCACATTGATTTTGTATCCTGAGACTTTGCTGAAGTTGCCTATCAGTTTAAGGACATTTTGGGCTGAGACAGTGGGGTTTTCTAGATATACAATCGTGTCATCTGCAAACAGGGACAATTTGACTTCCTCTTTTCCTAATTGAATACCTTTTTTTCCTTCTCCTGCCTAATTGCCCTGGCCAGAAATTCCAACACTATGTTGAATAGGAGTAGTGAGAGAGGGCATCCCTGTCTTGTGCCAGTTTTCAAAGGGAATGCTTCCAGTTTTTGTCCATTCAGTATGATATTGGCTGTGGGTTTGTCATAGATGGCTCTTATTATTTTGAGATACGTCCCATCAATACCTAATTTATTGAGAGTTTTTAGCATGAAGGGTTGTTGAATTTTGTCAAAGGCCTTTTCTGCATCTATTGAGATAATCATGTGGTTTTTGTCTTTGGTTCTGTTTATATGCTGGATTACATTTATTGATTTGCATATGTTGAACCAGCCTTGCATCCCAGGGATGAAGCCCACTTGATCATGGTGGATAAGCTTTTGGATGTGCTGCTGGATTTGCTTTGCCAGTATTTTATTGAGGTTTTTTGCATCGATGTCCATCAGGGATATTGGTCTAAAATTCTCTTTTTTTGTTGTGTCTCTGCCCGGCTTTGGTATCAGGATGATGCTGGCCTCATAAAATGAGTTAGGGAGGATTCCCTCTTTTACTATTGATTCGAATAGTTTCAGAGGGAATGGTACCAGCTCCTCCTTGTACCTCTGGTAGAATTTGGCTGTGACTCCATCTGGTCCTGGACTGTTTTTGGTTGGTAAGCTATTAATTATTGCCTCAATTTCAGATCCTGTTATTGGTCTATTCAGAGATTCAACTTCTTCCTGGTTTAGTCTTGGGAGGGTGTATGTGTCAAGGAATTTATCCATTTCTTCTAGATTTTCTAGTTTATTTGTGTAGAGGTGTTTATAGTATTCTCTGATGGTGGTTTGTATTTCTGTGGGATCGGTGGTGATATACCCTTTATCATTTTTTATTGCATCTATTTGATTCTTCTCTCTTTTCTTCTTTATTAGTCTTGCTAGCAGTCTATCAATTTTGTTGATCTTTTTGAAAAACCAGCTTCTGGATTCATTGATTTTTTGAAGGGTTTTTTTGTGTCTCTATTTCCTTCAGTTCTGCTCTGATTTTAGTTATTTCTTGCCTTCTGCTAGCATTTGAATGTGTTTGCTCTTGCTTCTCTAGTTCTTTTAATTGTGATGTTAGGGTGTCAATTTTAGATCTTTCCTGCTTTCTCTTCTGGGCGTTTAGTGCTATAAATTTCCCTCTACACACTGCTTTGAATGTGTCCCAGAGATTCTGGTATGTTGTGTCTTTGTTCTCTTTGGTTCCAAAGAACATTTTTATTTCTGCCTTCATTTTGTTATGAACCCAGTAGTCATTCAGGAGCAATTTGTTCGGTTTCCATGTAGTTGAGCGGTTTTGAGTGAGTTTCTTAATCCTGAGTTCTAGTTTGATTGCACTGTGGTCTGAGAGACAGTTTGTTATAATTTCTGTTCTTTTACATTTGCTGAGGAGTGCTTTACTTCCAACTATGTGGTCAATTTTGGAATAGGTGTGGTGTGGTGCTGAAAAGAATGTATATTCTGTTGATTTGGGGTGGAGAGTTCTGTAGATGTCTATTAGGTCCGCTTGGTGCAGAGCTGAGTTCAATTCCTGGATATCCTTGTTAACTTTCTGTCTCGTTGATCTGTCTAATGTTGATCTGTCTAATGTTGACAGTGGGGTGTTAAAGTCTCCCATTGTTATTGTGTGAGAGTCTAAGTCTCTTTGTAGGTCTCTAAGGACTTGCTTTATGAACCTGGGTGTTCCTGTATTGGGTGCATATATGTTTAGGATAGTTAGCTCTTCTTGTTGAATTGATCCCTTTACCATTATGTAATGGCCTTCTTTGTCTCTTTTGATCTTTGTTGGTTTAAAGCCTGTTTTATCAGAGATGAGGATTGCAACCCCTGCCTTTTTTTGTTTTCCATTTTCTTGGTAGATCTTCCTCCATCCCTTTATTTTGAGCCTATGTGTGTGTGTGCACATGAGATGGGTTTCCTGAATACAGCACACTGATGGGTCTTGACTCTTTATCTAATTTGCCCGTCTGTGTCTTTTTACTGGAGCATTTAGCCCATTTACATTAAGGTTAATATTGTTATGTGTGAATTTGATCCTGTCATTATGATGTTAGCTGGTTATTTTGCTCATTAGTTGATGCAGTTTCTTCCTAGCCTCAATGGTCTTTACAATTTGGCATGTTTTTGCAGTGGCTGGTACCGGTTGTGCCTTTCCATATTTAGTGCTTCCTTCAGGAGCTCTTTTAGGTCAGGCCTGGTGATGACAAAATCTCTCAGCATTTGCTTGTCTGTAAAGTATTTTATTTCTCCTTCACTTATGAAGCTTAGTTTGGCTGGATATGAAATTCTGTGTTGAAAATTCTTTCCTTTAAGGATGTTGAATATTGGCCCCCACTCTCTTCTGGCTTGTAGAGTTTCTGCTGAGAGATCTGCTGTTATTCTGATGGGCTTCCCTTTGTGGGTAACCCGACCTTTCTCTCTGGCTACCCTTAACATTTTTCCCTTCATTTCAACTTTGGTGAATCTGACAATTATGTGCCTTGTAGTTGCTCTTCTCAAGGAGTATCTTTGTGGCGTTCTCTGTATTTCCTGAATTTGAATGTTGACCTGCCTTGCTAGATTGGGGAAGTTCTCCTGGATAATATCCTGCAGAGTGTTTTCCAACTTGGTTCCATTCTGCCCGTCACTTTCAGGTACACCAATCAGATATAGATTTGGTCTTTTCACATAGTCCCATATTTCTTGGAGGCTTTGTTCATTTCTTTTTATTCTTTTTTCTCTAAACTTCTCTTCTTGCTTCATTTCATTCATTTGATCTTCCATCACTGATACCCTTTCTTCCAGTTGATCGAATCAGCTACTGAGTCTTGTGCATTCATCATGTAGTTCTCATGCCTTGGTTTTCAGCTCCATCAGGTCCTTTAAGGACTTCTCTGTATTGGTTATTCTAGTTAGCCATTAGTCTAATTTATTTTCAAGGTTTTTAACTTTTTTGCCATGGGTTCGAGCTTCCTCCTTTAGCTCGGAGTAGTTTGATCGTCTGAAGCCTTCTTCTCTCAACTTGTCAAAGTCATTCTCTGTCCAGCTTTGTACCGTTGCTGGTGAGGAGCTGCATTCCTTTGGAGGAGGAGAGGCACTCTGATTTTTAGAGTTTCCAGTTTTTCTGCTCTGTTTTTCCCCATCTTTGTGGTTTTATCTACCTTTGGTCTTTGATGATGGTGACGTACAGATGGGTTTTTGGTGTGGATGTCCTTTCTGTTTGTTAGTTTTCCTTCTAACAGGACCCTCAGCTTGCAGCAGATTTTTAAAAGAACTTCCAGGACCTTGTCTGTATATTGACGCCTATGTCACTACAGGAATCAGAGCAGGGCATTACATTGATCCTTTAAGAAAATTTTGCTACCCTATACCCCTTGACCCTACTCTTTTTTTTTTTTTTAATTTTTAAAGGTAATTGTTAGAAATTTCCCAAGGTTTATTTGAAATGACACACCACTGAAAACATAACTTTTACAGATGATTTGTGGATACAGTACACATCACCTATCTTACTTTAGGACAGTCTGTGAAGATGATATTTTTCCTGCTGCAGTTCCTTTGTCAAGTGACTTTAGACAGATACAGGACTGCAAGAGTGACTCAGGTCATGCTGGCATAGGAGAAGCAGGTGCTAGTGTTTCACTTGAACTAGTTGTTGGGCTGGGGTGGAATGAAAGCTCCCTAGGCCATGAGGACATCTTTGCAATGTGGAGAGGACCCAAATCAGTGGGTGTTGCTCTTTGAATGTTGAAGGCCTTGTCAGCATACTGGTCACCCAGTTTCATCATCACTTCATACTGTTTGTACCAAAGCACCACAGTTTCCTTATGAAACTTAGCTTCAAGGCTGGAGATGTTTTTGAAAGTATTAATATAAAATCCAATTCGTCTTGACTATAATAATGGTAACTTTTCTTGTAAGTCACCATTAAACTCTTCAAACTTTCTCTATGCTTTCTGAAATTCTACTTCTGCCTTAGACAGAGGCTCCTATCCTTCCTCCTGAAGCTCTGTTGAGCCCGATGGAGGTGGGCAGGCACTGTCATAGTCCGTAAGCTTCCTGCTGCACTTGGTGATGTGATTCTTCAAGTCAGGAAATTGGTCCAGGTAGTTTTCCAGTGTTAGCAAGGATGCATCCATGAGTTTTTTGTGGATATCCTCCCAGAGCACATCACCTTTCTCACCAACCATTTTCACACCTTCCTGCCCAGACCAATCCAGCGCACAGACTTCACACAGTGACTCAGCTTCGTCAAGGTCTCTTGAATGCCTTTGATTGCTTCTAAACATCCTCAGAGTTCTCTCAGGTCTGGTACCCTCTGCTTCTTGTGGCTTGAAGTTCTGGACATATTCTTCAAACTGTTTGTCTTTTGTCTCAGCAGCTTTCCCTGGCTTCTGGAGGACGTTTTCCTGTGAGTGGCTGAGTCTCTTCCAGGCATTCTTGGCAAAGATGCCCTCTTGATGTTGGCCAGGGCTGCAGGTCCAGGACCTGGGAGGAGCTGAGCGCTCAGTGTGGCTGGTGGCGTGGAGGGGCGGGAGGAAGTGGGGAGGATCATGAGGAGGGGTGAGGTCTTCGACCCTACTGTTGATATGTTGTTCAGGGACCATCGGGAGCCCAGAGCTCTGCTCTGTTTCACGGGACTCCACAAAGAGAACTGCAAGTCCCAGTCTTTCACCTCTCTTGGACTTTTTATCTTGTCTCTTCATCACATCTCTTCAGTATAAGGAAGAACAGAAAGGGAGGAGAGAAACTCAGGGTTGTCAGTCAAATGTGTCCATTTACAGAATTTATAAAATGTATTGTTATCCTAGTTATCTTTATACTAGCCTGCTATGGCAGGTTTCAGGATCACTGGACCTAGAGGGTGAGTCAAGAAAGATTTTCTTTGATGTGGCTTAGATCCCCCTGAATTCATTCCCAAAAGCCCAAGGGAAGAAAGAACAGGATTAAGTATACATTGCCCATATCTTGGAAGACAATACAGAGAGCAGTAACAGACAGAAGAACTAGCAGACACACAGAAAGACATGGGTCACTTTAAATTTTATTTATTCATTTTAATGAAAAATTATATTTTGTTAAAAATGGTCTATGTGAGAAGTTCTGTAATACAGTAGGGAATAAGAACTATGTTATATTTACCATCCTCGAGCACACAGTCAAGAAGCTACAAAAGAGAAAGGCAAATTTCACACACAGCCAAGTTGAGTAAAACAAACAAAATCTTTTGGTCTAATCAGATAAAGATCATTTACTAGCCTGGAAACTATTGTGAAGGTATTATTTTATTTTTGTTTTCTCTGTGTTATTTATACATCCCAAGAATCCTAAAAAATCCCCACCTTTCTGTGATGAAGAGTAGGTGGGCAGCCATAGATCACTGAGTGTCAGTATGACAGAGGCCAGAGATGAGGGGCATCCAGCTGACTGGTCACTGGGTGGCCCCTTGTGTAGTCCAAGCACATCATACCCTGTATTTTGGTCAAAAGAATATCTTTCTTTTAAAATTAATTTAAAACTTATCATTTGAGTCATGGATACTGGCTCTTCACCTGGCCATAGGACCACAAACCCCCTCTTCTCATGCCTAGACTCTGAAAAGAATCAAAAGTATTTGGAGCCAGAAAAGGCCATTTTATCTTCTAGTTATGAGCATTGCCTCCATCCTCTCCCTTCCTCCCCACTCTCCACATATGACCAACTGTTTGTTTTTCAACTCTGCTATTTTGCACATGCCAGACACCCCTATCTAGTCTTATCTCTGATGTTCCCCTAAACCAGACCTCTCATACCACTTTATGAAAATGCATCTCTCTGTTCAGTAGTAACTGGAATTAACTATCAAGACAATGGTCATCTGAATTAGAAATTATATCTCTGTTTTCAAATTATTATCAATATTATTTGATAAATGTTAACCAAAGTTTTAACTGAACACATTTCTCATAGAGATACTTTCCCTAGACTCATCATTTTGAATTGAGGGAAATGGTTTACCCTCATTGAAGAAAGTAATTGAGGGAAATGGCTTACTCTCATTGAAGAAAGTCTCATTTCTTCACGTGCAATTTTCTAGAAACAGCAGCCAGCTCCATATATGCAAGAGAACTGGATGTATGTCTGAAGCCAAAAATGCCTTATTCCTATGTATAACAGGACTAATATATGCAAGCCATATGGAGAGCAATGGGCATTGACTGAAATGCCGGTGACCCAAATCATAGACCCAAGAATTATATATATAATTGGTTCATATATATATATTATTTATATAATATATATAAACACACACAGATACATACACACACTATTATATATTAAGTATATATAATAGTGTGTATTATATATATTAAATATATATAATAGTGTATGGGTATGTATCTGTGTGTGTATATGTATGTGTGTAAGTATGTATGTATGTGTATGGTGCCAGCCATAAGCTAATCAAACAATGTGAGTTAAATTACCTGAGAAAACAATATCAGTTGAGCACTGAGATATGTACTTAGTGTTGTACATATATCTTATACAAATCAGCAATAGACAGGCAGGGTAAAATAATGTTCTAAGTAGCAGAGGGATTGACTGATTTCCACTGAAATGCTCAGGGATTGATTAGTTCTCATTGAAATGACTTTCCCTAGTTACTTATGCTGGCAACATTGTCATCCTGTCCAGGTCCCCTGAATTATTCCTCAGAGACCAGTGAAACAATGTCATGCTCTAGAGTGAGGCAGAGAGAATAAACGAAGTATGCCACTCTGAATCTGCTTAGTTTTAATGCTATAGATAAATGGGTTCATAAAAGGTGGGAAAAGGAAGTGGATGTAGCTCATTGTGATGTGAACGACATGAGGAACATGCTTTCCAAACCTATGAATAAATGTCAGACAAACTACAGTGACATAGAAGACCAGGATGCAGCAGATATGAGAGACACATGTGTTGAGGGCCTTGGCCCTTTCTCCTCCAGAACCAATGCCCATGACAGTCTTGAGAATCAAAATGTAGGAGAAAAAGATGATGAGAAAGTCCAACAAGACCATTGCAAATAAAACTACAACTGGATAGAGACGGTTGAAGGTGATGTCAGCACAGGCTAGCTTGATGACATCTTGGTGTAGACAGAAAGCATGGGAGAGTACATGGGATCGACAGTAGGGAAACCAGTGTAGGCGAACAACTATTGGCATAATGGACAGACCAGCCCTTGTCAATACCCGCACACCAATCTTCATTACCTGGGTGTTGGTCAGGATAGAGGTATATCTTAAGGGGCTGCGGATGGTAATGAAACAGTCATAAGCCATGGCAAGCAAGACACCTGACTCCATGACAGAAAGAGTATGGATAAAATAGGCCTGAGAGAAGCAGGCTCCATGGCCAATCTCCCTGTGATCTAACCACAGAACACCTAGCACTGTGGGCATTGTGGTCAATGTCACTCCGAGGTCTGTAGCTGCCAACATAGCTAAGAAATAGTACATGGGCTCATGGAGGTTATGATCATTCCTGATGAGAAAGAGAAGAGTGCCATTGCCAAGAAGTATGGAGATGTAGGCTGCCAATAATGGGATGAATATCCAGTGATGTGCCTTCTCCATGCCTGGGAAGCCAGTAAGCTGGAAGGTGGAAGCAGACTTATTGAGCCCCATTGCCAGCTTTGCAAAGAGGCAAATATTTACTCCAGGTAAAGCAATAGTAATCAGTTGTATAAAAGTTGCTCCTTGAGAATTCTACCTGTTCATAAGATGTTCACCAGTCCTGACTTTCAGTGACAGCAAGGATGATAATTTAGTCATTCCTGGGAGATCCTAGGTATGGGAAAATAGAATGTATAAAGAAGATATTATTTAGGGTTTACTCTATGTAAGATTATTGGATACTACGTTGGGGATACAGCTATTCATGCAGAATAAACATTGTTGAATTCATTGTAAATCATATAACCCAGAAAATAAAAACAAAATGAAAGAAGAAATCACTATATTTGAATAGTGCTGTAATGGCCTGAAACTTATAGGTCACTTTTCATGGTGCTCTTCATCCTGACTGGTGGTATTATAGGGTGGATGTAAAGGTTTCCCAGGCTATGTGAGACCTAAAAGATCAGTAGAAAAATGGTTCTAAGCACTATTGGAAAAGCAGATATAAAGATTATATGGAAAAACAAATACACAAGTAAGAAATATATGAGCAAATACAATAAAATAGTAAATTTCAGAGATTGACTTTTCTTCAATATTCCTGGAGGGAAAATTCAATTGATGAAGCTCCAGAGACTTTTGGGTAGTTAGAAAATGACGTAAGAGTGACTTACCTGTGTGTGTTTCCAAAGCACATAGAACTCTAAGTTGCCCAGCTTTATAACCCTAGTTATTGATACACTGCTTCAAAGAATTCAAATTTTCATAATATAAATTGAAGAATAAACAGTAAAATGTGGATTTGATGATAAGCTTTTGAAGGCACTAATTGATAATAGCACCAAACTACTGTTGCATATCACCTACTTGGTGATGCAAAAATAAAAATTGGTAATTTAGGCAAGATCAAGGAGAATTTTTTTTTTAAAACTATGGAATCTGATGGGATTTGACAAAAGTGAGAAGGCTCTGTGACTCATTAGAATTCTAAGATTTCAGCTGGTGCAGGCAGCCAACCTCTGAGAATACATAAATTGTGTGTTGGTGGCATGAGCCAGAGAAAATAGGCCCACCTTCTCTTATGGTTGGTTTGGACTATACATCTCATATACTATTGAAAGAGCATATTGATGTAAATTTATGCACGATTTACAAGACCTCTTTCTGTCCATGAAAAGAATGCATCCAAGATTACTGGACTTTCATTTTCAGAAGAATTTGTTGAAGTTTCAGCTCTGCTCTTTCTAACAATAATGATCTTGGGAAAGTAATTTAATCTTGAGATTTGGTTACATAACCTGTAAAGACTACTAGTGATTTCTGTCTTCTCAGTCATTCTCTTGACACAAAGTAAGGGGAAATGTTTTGTAAAGAGTGGATAATTTTTTTATTTTTGTGTTTTTGTTATTGTTTCAGAGAAGTACCTCCTTTCTCTTTCTCTAGTGAGTACATGTCAGGATTATTCACCCAGAGGTGTGTCAAATGATTTCCTTTTTTTCTGTGGAAGCCTTGGGAACAGATATAAGATGATGATGGGGTTTTTAGGAGCCTGTGTTTGACTTTAAATAAAGATATTAAACTATAGTTTCTCTAATCAGCAGATAAAATGTGATATGTCTGGGTGGGAAAGGGAAAGGAGAAAAGATTGATGAGCCAATGTGGGAACTTCTGACATAGCTAAAAGTAACGTTGAGCCTGGGGCATTGGGACTGAGGGAAGTAGAGGGGAAAGCAACTCTGTCCTCAAAAAGTGAGAAAAGGAGGTATTATTGCTCAATCTGCCTGCCAGTGAGAGGTTCAGACAATACTCAGCTTATGCAGGATTAAAGAAGCAGTATGGCAAATAAAAATTGTACATAGGTATATAACTTATTGTTTTATTATAGGTATTCATTGTTAAATGATTACCATAATCAAACTAATTAATATATCTATCACCTCACATAATAACTTTAATTTTTTTGGTAGTAAAAATATGTGAGGTCTGCTTTCTTAGCAAATTTTAAATATACCTAAATAAAGCTGGGAGGGAAAAGATAATACAGAACATTAATCTAGTTAATTGTGTTATATTACTACTAAATAAACATATAATTGATAAATTAAAAAAAAACAGGAGTAGGAATACCAGATAGGGAAAATAAAGCTGAGAAACAAATGTATGGAACAAATAATTGTTGAATTTCTACCGTGTGTCAAGTATTGGACTGGGGCATTATATACACCTCATTTTTTGGGAAGAATCCTTAAAATAGCTGTTTGTCTTGTCTGTTTTCATATTGAAAACTGAGTGCTTTCACTTGATTCACTCAGTTGCTTTTGTGGTATATGAGATGATCTGTGAGTTTCAGAGGGGATAAAAATCTAAAACCTTTGCCTCATCCCTGCAGCCATTCACCCTCTTCCAGGGTCTCTGTCATAGAATAGACTTGAGTTTTTATTAATGAGAAACTAATTCTCAAAGTCTCAAACTCTGCCGCATAAACTGATGGCTCTATGCAGACACCTCAGCAGGAGCCCATTCAGATGTTAACTTTCATATATTCTCTCACCTTCCCTTTGGCTTTTTTCCTTCACTTTTCCTGACACTCTTTTCTGTCTCAAGCACTTAGTATCTCCATCCTTTTTTTACCCCCTTACCTTTGGCTATTATCCTTTCTGTGATGGTTAATATTGAGTGCAAACTTGATTGGATTGAAGGATGCAAAGTATTGTTCCTGGGTGTGCTGTAAGGGTGTTGCCAAAGGAGATTAACATTTGAGTCAGTAGACTGGGAGAGGCAGACCCACCCACCCTCCGTCTGGGTGGGTACTATCTAATCAGCTGCCAGGGCGGCTAGAAGAAAGCAGGCAAAAGAAGATGGAAGAGTAGTGGATGCCTGTTACACAATATAAACCTTTCCAGGTGCTAAAGTCACACAGGCTATGTGAATCTGTACCCCTGATCCAGAGGCACACATAACCCAAGCTCCGTCCAAGCTTAATTTTGAATTGGTTTATTAGTCATATGGTCAGATAGTGACTTTTTTTCTAGAAAGTATTTGAACCTCTGATGATTACAGAGGTATACCTCCTCAAGAATTTGGAAGAGTTGATTCTATATTTGGCACTTATCTGGACTTCTAAGGTAAAAGACATGGGGTTGGGGGCAGGGGGACTCTCAGGGTTAGAATGGAAGCCAGAGAGATTAAAGAATCAGTCAGGTGGAGAGAAATTACTACAACCCCATAATTCATGCCTGAGTCAACACCCATGCTCTGGTTTGTTCGTAGAATTGTTTGCCTTATGTGTTCCAGAATCTATCCTTCACTTTTTTATATTTGAAGAGGTAACTCTCAAAGAAACCAAGTTTTAGAGATGTCAGGGAGTCTTTAGGACCCATGCCTACTACATATATCTACTCTTAGCAGACAACACTATTACTTTTCTCTTGCTAAGAAATCAGCTTCGATCTCTCTGTTTTTTTTTTGCCTTGGTTCCTGCAATGAGATCTTACAGAGGAGATTCATTAAATACCCTCACTGACCTGAAACTTTGTTCCCTTCCATTCTTCAGTTCCATAGTCATGTATCTCACATCTTTAGCCGTATGAAAGATTTGGGCATCATCTTTTCAGAATCTGCACATGAGCCTGGCTGGTAGGAACATTTATTTTAGAAGCTCCTCCCCAGAGACCATTCCTGATTTAGATAATTATTGTTCTTCCCTCCCTCCCTCTTCTGCTCCCTCCTCTCTTCCCTCTCTCCCTACCTCCTTCCTTCCATCTTTTTCTCTATTATTTGTGCCCTCAGCCTTGTGGGTATTGGGCTTTGAACAGCACAACTCAAGATCTCTGTCTCTGTCCTGGCTTTTACTGGAGGTTTTCCTCTGTTGGAGGTTGAATATTTTGTCTACATTGTGGCTTTGGCTCTTGCTGTGCTACTTTGGAATTATTTTATCTCATTGCATTTCATAGTCCTTACTGTAAAACGCATATAATAATTGCCATCACAAAGTGATGTGGTGTGCTTGGCTGAAGCACCATGTGATGAGTATGCCTGCTGCATCCCCTGGAAAAGAGAAAACTTCTGGTAGGCTAAACTCAAGAAGGGAATAGTTAGTGATAACTGCAGAATGTGCGTTCACGTTGGGTACTAGAGAAGGCTGCCTGAATTTTATTATATTGACTCTAGTCTATCTAGCTCTCTGCTTTCAAGCTTTCTCTGATCTAAACCAAGCAGGAAATATAGTAGAAATTCAGGTTACATAGGCCAAGAAGATATATAGGCTTTCTCTTGAGATAAACTGGGAAAGATTTGACTGTTGAAGTAAATGTAGGGAATAAATTACCTCCCAGAGGTGATACCAGAGTCTGCTGGGGCTATGAAGACAGGCTGTCTGATTCCCCACACATAAAGGTCCTACCAGTGGCTTGATTCAGCCAGTAACTTATTTGAAAAAAGAAAGATTATTTAAAAGCTTGGGGGGACTAATTAAGTGTTCCAGCTCCCTCTAAGGAGGAGTTAATACAGAGTAAATATTTCTTAAGATCCAAGTTGGCTATAAAAGGGAGACATCTGGGAAGGTGCTATCTTTATTAATAACCACAGTGACTGCTTCTCTTCACAGATGTTGAGAAGGAACAACATGATCTAAGTCTTTAGGTAAGACACAAGAACCCTGCTCTTCCTCACCATCAAACAAGTTATGGTACCTGGGAGTATGGTGAAATACTCCTAGATATATAAAGAGTGTACTAGGAGACTCCTCTATAAGCTCTCCAGAGAAAGATACGGAGAAGAAGTGAAGGATCTCAATAGTCCACAGCTTTGGATGTGTGCACAGATTTCAGTCTGAAGTTGATAGAACTTCAAAAGCAATTCCAAGTGCTACCAACCAACTACCTAAGACCTTCTGTACTCAGTGATGTGAATATGATTGACCCTCTCATATGTCTTCTTTCCTTTCTAAAAGATGAACAGGAAGGCACCTCTTATTCTACTACATTTTACTTTTTAAACAAAGCAGAGAAAAATTATGGCTGTAAATGTTAGAAGTTTATCTGATTTTCTAGGTGTTCCATTATAGAATCTTCTTGCTTCTATCCTCAGTCTTTATGATCTCTTTCCTTCCCTATATTTTTTTTCCTCAGCTTTTATCTCTTCTCTCATTGTCTTTCTTCTCAGAAACCAAGAGCCACGACTAGCTGAGGACACAAGAATTTTCACAAAACAAAGTAGAGTGATTCCATAGATCACTATTATAGCTGCATTACCAGGTATGTCTGCATGGAATTCTTGGGAATGGAGAAGGAGGAAACTTTAAGTTGCAGGTTATTATTGGCAAAATACAATCATTGCCTTACAGTTTGGTTAGCTTTCCCTGTAGTGATTCATCACTTGTGCTGCATATTCTCTGATAAGAAGGAATTTTTCACAAAGTTGAGATACAGTGAAAGATTAGGTTAAAGGAGATTATTGCTGAAACGTCAGAGAAGTAAGAGTGTTGACAGAGAAATGAAGTACATAGAACACAGAAGGGGAGGAGCTAAGCTGGATTATCTTTGCGTCTAGTAACTGAAGAATATACATCACTCATTGTATGTTCAGTAGGCACTGAATTCTGGTTTATGTCTCTCAGTCCTAGGACAGAATATGGATGCTGAAAAATGATTCTTTCAAAGTGCTGAGTTGTTGCCTCACGCCCAGTTGTCTGGCATCTCTTCACTGAAACTATTACAGTTAGATCTCATCTCTATGGGTGGAAGGTAAGAGGATCGTTTCCTTTGGTGGCATCTTTAGGGTAGTGCCTTACACTGACAAAGTAACTCTGAAGGGGTATATTTGGATACGACCATCTTTTTAACTTAGGATAAAAACAACTTCAAGAAGTTGTTCTGGCATGTGACAAGAAAAAAAAGCAAGGGATGCATTTGCTCTAATTCAGCTATATTTACTAATGACTCTTGATTTCCTCACAAGTGAATATGTATCCCCCTCAGACTTCCATTTTGAGTAAATGGCTTCACCATTCTTTCATTTGTTCAAACAGAAATCTAGGGGAAACCTCATTTGATTTTTCCCTCACTCCCATTTTTAATATATCAGCAAATCTTGGCACTACTTCAAAAATGCATCTGTCTCTGTTTAAGTTTTTCTATTTTTCTCTTTTTTTCATTTCCCCTGCTTCTCTCCTAGTCAAGGTCACCATGACTCTTCATATGGATTTTTAAAATAGCTTTCTAACTCATCTCTTTTCTTGTCTCTTGCTTAGTCTTCTTCACATAGCAGTCTAAGTGAGTAATTTAAAAATACAAATCAGAATATATCACCACACTATTTTCCATTGTGATTTTCAAAGTGTCCTAATGTCTTTACTACATTTATAGTAAGAAGAAAACAAAACAAAACAAAAATTCCGTGGTGGTCTGTAAGGCCCTATGACACTTGATTACTACCTGCTTCTTTGACATCATCTATTGTCCCTCTCCTGTTTTCTTATCAAATGCCAGTCATGCTGATTTTCCCTCTGGAACAGTTTTCCTCTAGGTCTGTATACGGTCAGGTTTTCTTTTGTATTGAGGTCTCAGTTCAAATGGGACCTCCTCATAGGTGCAGTTCTAGGCCCCTCAAACTGCTATACTATCTTGTATACAATACCATCCAATTAATCTACATCAAGTAGTACTGTTTTATGTTAAACTTGCATTTATATTTGTTTAAAATTGTCTTATTTATTTTTCAACTTAATTTATGGTTTATAAGATTAGGGACTTTGTCTTATTACCATTTAATTCCAGAGAGCTTTAAATATCATGGCTGTCACATGATGCGTGTTCACAAATATTAGGTGAACTAAGAAATGTTTATCAGTCACATGTTAGATACTTTGCAAGGTGTTGAGCAAAGCAAATAAACACCATGTCTATATGCAAGAAGCCCCTAGTCTAGTGGCAGAAGGAATATTAAAACCTTCTCAAAGGACTAATCTCTTCTCTTCAGTAAAAGACAGCACCACGTTTAAGCAGGGAAATAGCTCTCACTCAGTATTGGGGAGAACAGATTCAGAAGCCTATGGCTGGGGATAAAGGGAAGGAAACCAGGAAGATGGATGTTTAAATATAAATGGAGAACTTGAAATGAGAGAGGTCAGATTCTAGGGAATTACTTCAGTAGGCCTATAGAAAAATAATTTAAAAAGAAAAAGACACTACTTGTAAATAAGAAACAGTAAGATGTTTAAACTGAAGGAGATACACTATTATAAGTGATGTCTTTGGCTGGCCTAATCATTTATTCCAGCCCCAAAGTCTAACTTATAATTAGACTGAGCTATTGTCACAAGTAGTGAGTAGTACTGAAGGATTCTACAAGAGGGTAATTCACACTAATCGTGAATGTCTGTTCCCCATCACTAGTCCATGAAATCTGGAGGCCAAGTGTCTCTTTCTCAATCTGACTGCTCCTTAGCTACAGTGGTAGTGGCAGAGTTTCTCTTCCCACACTTTTCTTTCTTAGGCTGTTGAGACTTTAGCTGATAATTCAGGTAAGTCTTTACATGCAGGAAAATGTGGATTAGGGATCACTACTGTGAAGGCAATTACAGGTTTAGGTGGTAGACCAGAAAAAAATTAGTGTTAGCTTTCTGGAAATCCCCTTGAATGCCCCATAGAATACGAATTCTTTAAAATCTGCATAGTTAAGGGTAACAGTTTAGAAGTTGTAGTTTACATAATTTTTTTTCTGAAGAGAATGCTTAAATGCATATAAACAGTTGAAACTCCAAGAATTTGATTACGTAGGTAGGAGATAGATCCTGGAATGTGCAGTTAAGAATACAAATAGTATGAGTAACCCTGAGAATGTATTTTGAGAAACAATCACTTATATTGATGTCATTATTATCTTTAGGAAAAAATTCTGAGAATGATATAGTCGAAGTGATACCTTGAAGGTAGAACTGTGCACTGTGGTAATAACAGAAACAGAAAGACATTTCTTCTATATAAACCCAGGATGTCGTCCAGCGGCAGCTCCCATCCCTTCCTATTGACTGGTTTTCCAGGCTTGGAGGAAGCTCATCACTGGATTTCCGTATTTTTCTTGTTCATGTATATATCCATCCTTTTTGGCAATGGCACCCTCCTTCTTCTCATTAAGGAAGATCACAATCTTCATGAGCCCATGTACTTCTTTCTGGCCATGCTGGCTGCCACAGACCTGGGGCTGGCCCTGACCACAATGCCCACGGTGCTGGGAGTCCTCTGGCTGGATCACAGGGAGATTGGAAGTGCGGCCTGCTTTTCCCAGGCCTACTTTATACACTCACTTTCCTTTCTCGAGTCTGGCATTCTGCTTGCCATGGCCTATGACCGTTTTATTGCCATCTGCAACCCTCTTAGATATACCTCTGTACTTACTAATACTCGAGTAGTGAAGATTGGGCTGGGAGTTCTGATGAGGGGATTTGTATCCGTTGTTCCCCCAATCAGGCCCCTCTATTTTTTTCTGTATTGTCACTCCCATGTTCTTTCACATGCATTCTGCCTTCACCAGGATGTCATTAAACTCGCCTGTGCTGATACCACCTTCAACCGACTGTACCCAGCTGTGCTTGTAGTCTTTATATTTGTGCTGGATTATCTGATTATCTTCATCTCCTATGTGTTGATACTCAAGACTGTCCTGAGCATTGCCTCCAGAGAGGAGAGGGCCAAGGCTCTCATTACCTGTGTCTCCCATATCTGCTGTGTCCTGGTTTTTTATGTCACAGTGATTGGATTGTCTCTGATTCATCGTTTTGGAAAGCAGGTTCCACATATTGTTCACCTCATTATGAGCTATGCCTATTTTCTGTTCCCTCCACTAATGAATCCTATAACATATAGTGTCAAGACCAAGCAGATTCAGAATGCCATTCTTCACCTTTTTACTACCCATAGAATTGGAACCTGATCTCCAATCATCACAGTCACTCTCACAGAATGTAAAAACTCTAATATTTAGCAGGAGAGCAAAGAAGTCTCATATCTAGCATGCATGCTCATATGACTTGGTAAAATAGGTGTTAAAATACAGCTTCAAGTTTCCCTAAGGTATCTCTTTAAGCCCAACTCTTTAGCTAAATGTAGTTTGTACAAATTTTTGTTGCATTCCTGTAAACGGAATATTTCTCTAAGCTTTCCACTAAATTATTGTGATAACAATACCTTAGGCATCTATTGGTATGTCTATAATGTAACTAACATATGTTTATTTCATGGTATAAAGTTAGCAGATAGGAACAGAATCATAAAAATATAAAATTATTAGTTGGTTCGAGTGAAATGGAATAGAGTTTGGTTTACTATGTCAAATCTAATTTCCAACTCTTATGAATTTCTCTGCAGGTGTCCATACAAACAATGGGAACCTATAAATTTGGTCACTGAAGTCCAGGAATTTTCCTGCAAAAAAGAATATAATCTTCTTTGATCAGTGACCTAATTACTTATCATCTCAACAGTCTAGTTGGTTCCTCCTCCCTCCATCAAATTATAATGAATTTGTCTCAAAAACCATAAACTCATATTTATTCCCCAAGGCAGTACCTTCTGACAAACTTGTAACAAAAAAATGTGAGAAGAGGAATCACGGATAAATGAGAGGACGTAGACACAGTCAGTACCTCCTTCTATCTTGCTCTCATTCTTATTCTACTACCCTAGTTGCTAGCTCCAATGTTGAGGCCATCCTCAGATATCTACGCTGGCTGACTAGTCCAAATTAGTGGAAGAGACAGTTCCTTCACCCTCCTTTTGCTATGAAAAAGGTCTGAAGGAACAAAAAAAAATAGGTTTCTGCATTTTTTTGAAGAATGATTGCTTTCTGTACATACATTCTGATTCCATGTAATAAGTGTAAATTTCCCAAAGAATACAACAATGTCATTCTCATTTGATTAAAATTGTCTGATGAGTTAGGAAGGGACCCATAACTCAATTTAAAATATCCTAAAAAGAGGGAGGTTATGTCTTAATTATACTTTAATCAGAGCAAAAATAATACTTCAGTGAGACAAGAGAGGGGACTATATAGAAGATATTGTTTATGTCTTTGGTGTTTTACCCCGATCATTTTACAGAATTGTGCACCTGTGAATGTTGGCTGCTCATTGTTCATGTTTCTGCTTTCTGCAGGTTGTTGTTCTCAACTCAGCAGGAAATGTCTTATGAAGAAAATGGCCCCTGCTCCTTAGGTAGCAGGCCATAGGCAAATACTGACCCTCTTGCCTTCTGAAGCTAAGCTCCAGCTTCAGTATGCACTTGCTTACCTCCTTCCCCTGTCCACACTGCTTTTACTTGCTCCCTGTCTCCTGAGAGCATTCATTAATAAATTGCACACATTTGAATCCCTATCTCAGGTATTGCTCATAGAGAGTCCAACTTAAGAAAAACTGCAATCCTTATTTATATTCTGTTTCATTAAGAGATGTAATTGTGAAAGAACTGAACATATAAAAAAATCAGCTTTATCATGTTTTTTATCCTTGTCACGCCATGTCACCTGAGCAACACAGTCTGAATACTAAATTGTGAGTGTGAGTGCATATATGTGATGGTAGGTTTTTGTCCTGTTTTCAATCATTCATAAAACCAAACATGTGTCCCTTAATTATGCTCTACTACATCCACAACTTATTTTATTCATAAAAATATTGTGGGGTAGATATTATCACTGTTTTCTTGATGGGGAAATTTAATATAAAAAAGTTAAATATTCCCTCCAAGGGCATAACATTTTTAATTGGTATAGTCATGATTCAAATTTATATCTTCTAACTATAAGGCCAGTGTGAATGGTACTCCACTACAGTAGACTATCCTTAGTGGCTTCTACTTTTTGCCTTGTATTCCGTCATGCTTGTAGTACCTACTTTCTTTTTCTGAAAATTTCTCCTCCTTCTACTCCAAAAATATTGTTCCCTATGAAAACTGATATTTTGCATTGTATCTCCAAACTCCTAACCGCAGTAGAAGAACTTTTTTAAAAAGAATTTTTCAATATGACATTGCAAAAAAAAAAAGAGTAATGCTTTTGTTGTAGAATTACTAAAATGCAATGCTTAGAATTGTTAATGACAATGTTTTTCATCAGGCAAGTGACTTCAAACTATAATAAATATTTAGAGTAAATTATAGATAAAGAAATGATAATAAATAAAAAGAATCTTCAAATCTCTGATTCCATGTTTTCCTGAGACTCAGTGACAAGGAGGACAGTTTGAATCTTTTTTTTGATTCCACAGCCTAATAAACTCCTCTTCTTGTAATTTGTTTTGTTCAGCCTAGTTTCAGTTGAGTTTCACTTATAACCAAAGGCTATTAATAATTATATCATCTCAGTTATAGATATGTGAATCTTCTCTAACTAATATTTAAAACTGGAAAATACTGTTAGGTAGAAGAGCTGCCTCTTTTTCTAAAATACAGGAAATGGAACCTAAAAATGGCAGGAAAGTTGACCATTTGGTGAATGATTTATGAAGTTATTTCCCTTGTTTAAGAAGTTCATTTCTGACTTGAAAGTAAGTGTGAAACTAAATTCACTGAGAAGATGCTGTAGGATGAATACAGACACAGGACATCGGAGGTGGGGGGAAGACTAAATAATTATCTCAAACTTAGTTATACAGAAGGCTACATGGTGGAAATCCACTCAGACATGTTTTTCTATTCAAAACCCATTGTAACAATCAACATAAACACAGTATGTTAGTATTATCATAAAATTTAGAACTTTCTGTGATCTCCTACAAGTCTTCCTGTGGTAAAATGCTATGTACTATTAGAAGCCTTAGCAAATTAATACAGGAACAGAAAACCAAATACCACGTGTTCTCACTTATGAGTGGGAGCTAAATGATGAGAACACATGGACACATGGAGGGGAACATCACACACTGGGGCCTATTGGAGGATGGAGGGTGAAAGGAGGGAGAGGATCAGGAAAAGTAACAAAAGGGTACTAGGCTTAATACCTGAGTGAGTGATGACATAATCTGTACAACAAACCCTCGTGACACAAGTTTAAATATGTAACAGACCTGCTCTTGTACTCCTGAACCTAAAATAAAAGTTAGTTAGGAAAAGAAGCCTATTTATAACACTATCTCCTAGGAAACACTGCACATGAATTTGTATTCATAAGAAGAGTAGAATTCAGAGTGGTCCAGTGGACTAACAAACTGGTGAACCACCTTCTTACAGCAGGTGAAGCCTGTAATTCAGCTTTTCATCATTCAAGACTGAAAGAAGAATATAACTTATATAGAGAAGGACCTCATGAGGAATAAATTTCATGGTGCCTATTAAGATAAATAAGTACCATGTAGTTATGGGAAATCTAAGGTGTAAAAGAATATACATTAAAAAAAGCCCTTGCCAAATACCATCCTTTCTTTTTCAAATAATAATATACTTGTGTAGTATGGGCTTGAAGGGATAACATACCATAAGAATATTTAATTTGAGTCAGGAAATGAAAGGCTAAGTGTGCATTTCTGTAGACTAAGCCAATCTTAGAAATGATTAAGAAGACGTGGAAGAATCTTAGAGACACACTGAAAAAATATGTATGGTCTAATGAGTTTACAGATCACTTTTCCTCCCATATAAAATGAATTTATACTAGATAAGGGGAAGATGAACTTTATTCCTCTCATTAACAAATAATTGCTGGGTTCCTTCACCAGAGATGCAGATTTTTATAGGGTAAATGAAAGGTGATATATTTAAAGATACTTACTAGATTATATGAGTATTAAATTGGGCAGCAAGGATGATTAGAAATGATTAAGGACCCAGAGGTCTCCATGTCCAATTAAAGAATGTAAATCTGTTTTTGATTTTATAGCCTAAATCCTTAGACACAGTCATTGTTATTAATAAACTCATAGACAAAATTTATTTTATGGGAAATTTAGGAGTTTATGTCCCTAGATTTCAAGTACATGCCACCAAACTGACAGATGACAGTGATTAGTCACAAAGTGCCTCAAAAATAGATGGCCCTATGTTAGTCATGGTTCTCCAGAAAAATAGAATCAACAGGATTTACCCAACTTCAAATTATACTACAAGGTGACAGTAACTAACTGAAACAGCATGGTACTGATACCAAACAGACACACTGACTAATGGAACAGAATGGAGAACTCAGAAGTAAGACCGCGCATCTGAAACAATCTGATCTTCAACAAACCTGGTAAAAACAAGTAATGGGGAAGGGATTCCCTATTTTATAAATTGTGCTGGGAGAACTGGCTAGCCATATGCAGAAAATTGAAACTGGACCCCTTCCTTACATCTTATACATAAATTAACTCAAGATGCATTAAAGACTTAAGTGTAAAACCCAAAACTATAAAAACTTTAGAAGAAAACCTAGGCAATACCATTCCGGACATAGACACAGGCAAAGATTTCATGATGAAAATGTCAAAAACAATTGCAACAAAAGCAAACACTGTCAAATGAGATCTAATTAAACTAAAGAGATCGGGCATGGTGGCTCACGCCTGTAATCCCAGCACTTTGGGAGGCCAAGGTGGGTGGATCACTTGAGGTGGGGAGTATAAGAGCAGCCTGGCCAACATGGTGAAACTCCATCTCTACTAAAAATACAAAAAATGTGCTGGGTATGGTGGTGCGTACCTGTAATCTCAGCTACTCAGGAGGCTGAGGCAGGAGAATTGCTTGAACCCAGGAGGCAGAGGTTGCAGTGAGCTGAGATCGCACCACTGCACTCTAGCATGGGTGAAAGAGTGAGACTTCATCTCAAAATAAAGAAAAATACAATTAAATACAGAGCTTCTAAACAGCAAAATAAACTATCATCAGAGCGAACAGGCAACCTACAGAATGGGAGAAAATTTCTGCAATCTACCCATCTGACAAAGGTCTAATATCCAGAATCTATGAGGAACTTAGACATATTTACAAAAGAAACACACAAACAACCCCATTAAAAAGTGGGCAAAGGACATGAACAGACACTTCTCAAAAGAAGACATTTATGTGGCTAAGAAACATACGAAAAAAGTCTCAATGTCACTGATCATTAGAGAAATGCAAATCAAAACCACAATGAAATACCATCTGACACCAGTCAGAATGGTGGTTTTTAAAGTCAAGAAACAACAGATGCTAGCAAGGTTGCAGAGAAATAGGAACACTTTTACACTGTTGGTGGGACTGTAAACTAATTCAACCATTGTGGAAGACAGTGTGGCAATTCCTCAAAGATTTAGAACCAGAAATACCATTTGACCTCACAATCCCATTACTGGGTATATACCTAAAGGAGTATAAATCATTCTATTACTAAGATACATGCACATGTATGTTCATTGTAGCACTATTCACAATAGCAAAGACATAGAATCAACCCAAATGGCCATCAATGATAGACAATTTAAAAAATGTGGTACATATAAACCATGAAATACTATCTAACCATAAAAAGGGATGAGATCATGCCCTTTGCTGGGACATGGATGGAGCCGAAAGCCATTATCTTCAGTAAACTAATGCAGGAACAGAAAACCAAACACCACATGTTCTCACTTAGAAGTGGGAGCTGAACAATGAGAATGAGAACACATGGAAACAGTGAGGGGAAGAACACACACTGGAGCCTGTCAGGGCATGGGGTGTGGTGAAGGGGAGCATTAGAAAAAATAGCTAATGCATGCTGGGCTTAACACCTAGGTGATGGGTTGATAGGTACAGCAAACCACCATTGCACACATTTACGTATGTAATAAACCTGCACATCCTGCACATGTACCTCAGAACTTAAAAATTAAAAAAATTGAATGTACATAAAAATATGGAAATTAATAAATGTAATTCACTGCATTAAAAAAAAATAATGGCAAAAACTGCAATTACTGTTGCACCAACCTAATATAAGGAAATAGCAGATGTGATTATGGAGGAAGGCAAGTCCCAAGATATGCAGAGTGAGTCATCAAGTTGAAAACTCAAGAGAGCCTGGTAGTTTAGTCCCAGTCCAAGTCTGAAGGCCTGGGAAACAGGAGGATTGATGGTGTACTTGCAACCCAAAAGCCATCAGGCTTCAGACCCAGGAAGTTTTGATGTTTCAGTTCAATCTAAAGGCAGAAAAAAAGGTCTAGATTCCAGTTTGAAGGCCATCAATAAGGAATAATTCTCTCTGATTTGGGGAAGGGTCAGACTTTTTGTTCTATTCAGGTTTTCAACTGATTGGAGGAAGCCGCCTGCAATAGGAAGGACCATCTGCTCTACTTGGTCTACCGATTTAAATGTTAATCTTGCCTAAAAACACCCTCACAAAAACATCTAGAATAATGTTTGACAAATATTTGGGCACCCCATGGCCCAGTCAAATTGGCATATAAAATTAACCATCAGAGCCTGTAGAGGATGAGTTAAAGGATGGAATCTTCGGAGATAATTGTGGAATCCAGAAGGCTGACAGATAATAGAATCAAACTACACAGAAAAAAAAAAAAAAGAAGCTGGTATTGTCAGCACAGACTTACTCAACAAACAGCAAAAATCCTAGGATAGAGACCTTCCTGAATCGTTAGCGATATAAGCTTATTATACTTGAATGTTGCCTTCCTATATGCCATATGTAATATAAGGCAGCAGTTAGATATAGACTGTGATGCCAGAGCTCAGACCAAGAGCCAAGGAATAGGAAGACCAGAAAAATATTTTCATTTTAAAAAGTTAGGTAATTTCTAATAATGTGGCTGCCTGAGTATTTTCAGCACAGATATTCTAATAAATATTGTGTTATGTGATTTAGAAAGAGACAGGCACTCAGCGGATGACCCTTGTCAGGAAACACTGCATCAAAGAAGGCTTTTATTACAGGAGATGGAGGTCCTTCCCAATCTGAGATTATGCTGCTGTGACATGATACTTTACTTCACAGGCAATACAGCAGGAAATATGAAAAGAATGAACAAGGTCTTAGAAAATACATGAATGAGAGACACATCAATGGCTATTTAAGGAAATAGAAGATATTTTGGGTGCCCTGCCTACTTCCTCCCAGTGCCCCTAAGCTTGGTGACTTTGAGTGTTGGCTGATAATAGTTGTTCCCATTCTCTGGAGGCTTATCCTCCACCAACAGTGTCACTTCACATGAGATTTTATCCCAACTCTGGGGCAGTCTGCAGGAAATTACTTTATATCTGTTCTAAGATAAGTGATGTTTCCAGGAATAGAGTCATATTTATGGGGCAGAAGATTCGTGTACTGCCAGTGAGAGGGTCAATATACCTACTAATGAAATGGGAGGGCAGCCTGAAATTAAATCAGTTATCTCAGGGTCTTACTACCTCACCTCATTTTAAGTTCAAAGCATGGCTCCCCTAAATCAATCCAGACCTAAATTTTAACTTAGTACAAAGAGGACACACAAATTTTCAGACTTAAGCCATTTCCAGAGACTGACTTTTAATCATGATTTCCTACTACTATTCTGCTTACATTTAGGAAGACCTATGAGCAGAATGCAGTTCAGGAGGAACTTAACTGATGTGAAATGTCAGGCACCAAAATGTGACCCTCATGGTTCACCACATTGCACCCATACTCATTTTAAAATCTCATAGTTGGGCTAAGTTCCAGGATAAATTTAGGATTTAAGACTGATGAGACAATAGAAATTCTCAGATCCTTATTTCTCTGACAGACTATGAGATGATTGTATTCAAGTACAAATTGTCAGACAAAGCCAGGGATTAAAGAATACCTCCACCATGTCCCCTTTTTAACATTACTACAGGACACTTAAATAAAATTTTTTAAACTTGATTTATATTGCTCCAGAAGCAGTAACTCTGATTCTTGGGCAAGACTTACCAAGAGACAGAAAACAAGCTTACTGTTTGAAAGAACTTATCAGCAGCACTCATTTGTGAGTATATATAACAAACAATCTTATTTGAAACCAAGAAAAGATTAAGTGTGAGGGATTATTAAGCTTTGTCTAAGTTGAGTGAGCTTATTGGCTACAGGGTTAAGGAATAACAAAAGTAGGCTTCACGGTATCTTCTTTTTGAGGTGGGGAATCATACAAGGCAAAGGTAGTTAGATAGCATGACTTCCATGTGCTGGATGAAGCTACAATTCTGTTTTCTTTTTGCAAAGAAAATATGGGGCTTTAAGAACACAGTTCTGGAGCCCACTTCCTTCTCCAAAGGAGGCTTGAAAAAAAATATCCCAGTAGCCTAATTATCCAGCATCAAGACAGATACTGGGGAACAATTTTGAATACAAATAACCTCACAAATTAACCCTGTTAGCAGTCTTCAGAGATACCATTTAAACCAATTTCTACACCAGGACTCAGCAATTACCTCTCCCCTTAATTTCTGATACCCCAGGTCAGGCTCTAGTGACTATGGGAGAATGGAATGAAGGTAATTGAGAGGAAAATAAAGACTAATCTTCTTGGATTCTCTTCCACCACATAGTTGTTGCAAGAGGGTAAATAGAGAAAAGAGGCAAGATATCTGTATCTACAGATTCTGCCGGGTGTATCAACCTCCAACATAAAAGTTCAACTTCCTAGCAAATGTTAACTCTGAAATAAAAACAGTAGTTTTATGTGATGGGTGCTTACATGAATAATTAAGAGTTCTGAGTTGATATCTAGAAGTTCTTGTTAGCTCAGCGCTATTAAGAACACTTTTCCTACAATAGAAATTTTCTTTGGAAGAGGCAGGAGAGGAAAGAGACTGACTCTGGGAGTGAATGTGCAGGGTGGGGTCACCATGACACCTGTAGGTCTCTATACTACCTCTCCTCCTCCTCTTGATGCAGTTCTCTAGGCTCAGTTTTCTCTATCTTACATCCACCTATGTTCCCTTTCTGCCTTCTTCCTCCTCTACTTTGTAGCTCCCACATTTTCAGCTTATATATTAGCCAATTAGTATATTAGTAATATTTTGAAGTCACTGTTCTTACCTAAGTCAGTTTAACAATCAGCATACCAGTCAGTTAGTGATCAATGTGTTAATCATAAAGTAATTAAAATTTTATAAATAACCTTACAATCAATATGTCAAACTCTGTCATTGCTTCCAGGGCCATTGGTGTGTTAATACAACACTTAGTAAAGTAAGCAATGTTAGTGTTGGAGTGGGAGTAGAACCGTGTTTTTTACTACAATGAGTTAGAGCCACTAGGTCTGAGAGACTAGTAAAAGAATGTAAACAGTAAAAATTTTGTGCTAAGTTTTATGCTAAAGTCTGGGTGATGCAAAAGAGACATCTGGGGTTTAGTTAGAGAGGGCAAAATAAGAGACAATATAGAAATAGATACAACAAAAGGGTGATGGATATAGGAAGAACGACACAGGAAAACAATAGGATAGGGATGACGTACAGCTGCACCCTATGTACCTGAGCAGATGGTGCAGAAATGATCAGTGCTGCCCAGCCAAGCCCAGCCTAAATAAGTTGAACCATGCATTAGAGTGAAAAATAAATGTTTAATGTTGTCAGCCACTGATGCTATACAGGGCTTTGTGATGTGACAATTCTGTGATAATAGATAAATGATACAATAATTTACATAAACCCTGTAAATATTAGTTTATTATAGAACTCTATAAACTCTTAATAAAATATGGATAATAGTAATACTTTGCATTAGTTTTCTATTGTTATACATAAATTACTGCAACTTGAGCTGCTTCAAACATTATTAGTTTATTATATCACATTTCTATAGGTCTGCACTCTCATAGGCTTAACTGAGTTCTCTGCTTAGGGTATCATAAGGTCAAATTCAAAATATCGGGAGGGCTGGGCTCTTATCCAAAGGCTCTGGGGAAGAATTCGCTTCCACGTTCATTCAGATTGTAGTCAGAGCTCAGTTTCTTTTTTTTTCTTTTTTTTTTTTTTTTTTTTGAGATGGAGTCTCGCTCTGTCACCCAGCCTGGAGTGCAGTGGCACAATCTCTTGCTCCCTGCAACCTGTGCCTCCCGGGTTCAAGCAATTCTCCTGCCTCAGTTTCCCAAGTAGCTGGAACTACAGGCAACTGCAACCACACCTGGCTAATTTTTATATTTTTTGGTAGGGATGGAATTTCACCATGTTGGCCAGGCTGGTCTGGAACTCCTGACCTCAGGTGATCCGCCCGCCTTGGCCTCCCAAAGTGCTGGGATTACAGGCTTGAATGAGCCATTGCACCCGGCTGTCAGAGTTCAGTTTCCTACTGCTGAACTCTGAAGTCCCTGTTTGTTTTTGTTTTTGTTTTTTGTTTGTTTGTTTGCAGGCTGTTAGCTAGGATGCCCGTTCTGTACCTAGGGGCTTCTTGCATTCCTTCTTTTGTGACCTCCTTATATTTCAAACCAGCAACTGACCCATGAACCTTTCTCAAATTTTGAATATGTCTGGCTTCCTATTCTCCTACTACTTGGTGAAAACTCTGCTTTTAGGGGCTCATGGAATTAGACTAGGTTCCCCTGAGTAATTTCCTTTTCAATTAACTCAAAGTCAATAGATCAGCAACTTTAATTACATCTGTATAACCCCAAGCATGATATTGTATCATATTCACAGTCCTAGAAATTAGGATAGGAAATCTTGTGGTAGAAAGGTTTTTAAAATTATGCCTATCACACCATTTAAAAAATAGCTAGTGAGAGAGGAGACTTTCTTTTCCAATATATGTGTTAGTTTTAAAGTATGTGTGAAATAATTTTTATTCTTAACATTTTTTTGATGAAGCACAATGTCTGAAAGGGTGGTAGAAAGCAGCTGGAGTCGAAACTGAGGATGAAGTCGTATAGTCTAGAGCTGTGCTGTCCAAAACAGTAGCATCTGGTTAGCTTGAGTCAGAATTTTCTGTAAGTGTAAACACTCGATTTTGAAGAATTTGTACCAAAAAAAAATCGTGGGAACTATCTCATATATGATTTTTATGCTGATTATCTATTAAAATGATAATATTTTTGATATAGTAGCTTAAATAAGACATACTAATATTAATTTTACCACTTTTCTTTTTACTCCTTTTAATGTGACTACCAGAACATTTAACATCACATATTTAGCTCTAATTATATTTCCACCACATAGTGCTGGTCTAGAGAGCTGTTTTGTTTGTTTGTTTCTCCTCAGGTATCCACCATGTCACCCACCATTACTGCTGCCCCTTTTCTCCTCACTGGCTTTCCAGGTCTGGAGAGATTTCATCCTTGGAGTTCTATCTCCTTCTTTATCATCTATGTCTCTACAGTCCTTGGCAATGGCAGCCTCCTCCTCTTTATCAGAGAAGACTGCACTCTTCATGAGCCCGTGTACTACTCTCTGACTATACTGGCAGCCATAGACCTTGGTGTAACTTTGACAACAATGTCCACTGTCCTTGGTGTTCTCTGGCTAGATCACAGGAAAATGAGCCATGGAGCCTGCTTCCTCCAGGCCTATCTAATCCACTCCCTCTCTATCGTGGAGTCCAGAGTGTTGCTCATCATGGCCCATGACTGTTTTATTGGCATCCATAATCCCCTGAGATACACCTCCATTCTCACCAATGCTAAGGTGGTGAAGATAGATCTGGGGGTTCAAATGAGGGGATTTGTTATGCTAATTGTGCCCATAATCATCACCCTCTCTGGATTCCCCTACTGTCAATCCCATGTCCTCTCCCATGCTTTCTGCCTGCACCAGATGTGATCAAACTGGCCTGTGCAGACATCACCTTTAATAGACTTTATCCTATAGTCCTGGTCTCATCAACTGGTTTCTTGGACTTTGTGCTTATCCTTATCTCTTACATTCTGATCCTTAAGAAGGTCATGGGAATTGCCTCAGACAAGGAGCAGACTAAGGCCCTAAATACTTGTATTTCTCACATTAGCTGTGTTCTGGTTTTTAATGTCACTTGATTGGGCTACCACCCTTTCAGACACTGTGCTTCATCAAAAAAATGTTAAGAATAAAAATTATTTCACACATACTTTAAAACTAACACGTCACAATGCAAATCAAAACCACAAAGAGATACCATCTCACACCAGTTAGAATGGCAATCATTAAAAAGTCAGGGAACAACAGGTGCTGGAGAGGATGTGGAGAAATAGGAACACTTTTACACTCTTGGTGGGACTGTAAACTAGTTCAACCATTGTGGAAGTCAGTGTGGCGATTCCTCAGGGATCTAGAACTAGAAATACCATTTGACCCAGCCATCCCATTACTGGGTATATACCCAACGGATTATAAATCATGCTGCTATAAAGACACATGCACACGTATGTTTACTGTGGCACTATTCACAATAGCAAAGACTTGGAACCAACCCAAATGTCCAACAATGATAGACTGAATTAAGAAAATGTGGCACATATACACCATGGAATACTATGCAGCCATAAAAAATGAAGAGTTCATGTCATTTGTAGGGACATGGATGAAACTGGAAACCATCATTCTCAGCAAACTATCGCAAGGACAAAAAACCAAGCACTGCATGTTCTCACTCATAGGTGGGAATTGAACAATGAGAACACATGGACACAGGAAGGGGAACAACACACTCCGGGGACTGTTGTGAGGTGGGGGGAAGGGGGAGAGAGAGCATTAGGAGATATACCTAATGCTAAGTGACAAGTTAATGGGTGCAGCACACCAACATGGCACATGTATACATATGTAACAAACCTGCACATTGTGCACATGTACCCTAAAACTTAAAGTATAATAATAATAATAATAAAAATACATTATTTTGGATTAACAAAAACCAACAGGCTACCACAGATTCTCTTTGTGTTCAATTTTCTCACATGTTTTGTTATTCTGGCTCTGCTAGAATTCTCTTGATTTGAGTTTGTCATATTTTCTCTTTCCCCATAGCCTGTGTATTTTTTCTTCCTTTATAAACTGTACCCCACTTATACAAACACTATATTTGTTACCTTCCTTGTTTTTCAATTATTAGCTTAAATAATATTTCTTTTGAGAAATTTTCCCCTGCCCCAAAGATGCTTTCTGTGGGCTCCCTTTAGCATGCTACCATCTATGCAGTAATGATAGTGCTATGAAAATTTGTGGTAACTATTTTCTTTATATTACACACTATTTACATTCTGTGAATAAAGACTATGCTCCTCATTGTGTATCTGGCAAAAAAAAAAAAAAAGGGCAATGAGCTACAAGTAATATAATTTTAAGATAAAAAGCTGAATGTCAGCCGGGCGCAGTGACTCACACCTGCAATCCCAGCACTTTGGGAGGCCAAGGAGGGTGGATCACGAGGTCAAGAGATCGAGACCATCCTGGCCAATATGGTGAAACCCCGTGTCTACTAAAAATACAAAAATTAGCTGGGTGTGGTGACGCGCTACTGTAGTCCCAGCTTCTCAGGAGGCTGTGGCAGGAGAATCACTTGAACCTGGGAGGTGGAGTTTGCAGTGAGCTGAGATTGTGCTACTGCACTCCAGCCTGGCGACAGAGTGAGACTCTATCTAAAAAAAAAAAAAAAAAAAAAAAAAAAAGCTGAATGTCATGAATCTGCATGACTATTAACAGATCCATTGAAGTTCCAGTAGATAAGAACAAATTTTACCAAAGTAACAGGAAAGACAAAAACGCAATTGGAATTCATAAGCTCTAGGACCCGTAGAGGTACATATGATCCCTGAAGACAACCGATATCCCCTAACCCTTTCAAATAAACTAAGTTATGATGCTGAGCCTCCTTGGGTCACATAACCAAGCCCTGGTATCCCTATCTTACATCAGCTGGTTTTTGAATTTCAAATTTTCCTCACCCCATTCTTCAGGAAACACCTGAAAATCCCGAGGACATCAGTTGTGGGGCCCTGTTCCTCCCGAACAGAGAAGAGAGGGAAGGGAGATCAAGGGGTCTCCTGAGATGCTAGAAAGATGAAACTCAGGGGAGGTGATTTCCACATGCATAAGCTTTAAAATGAGGCCTCATGAGAGGTCTGTGAGTGAATGATCTGAACTGAGTCCTCAAAGAGGACAGGAATAGGTTCCTATTTTAGCCACAATACTGTGAGTGGGTGAGTGCCAGGAACTTGAATATGGAATGATTCCTCTCTCTTCTGATGTGAGATGCACTCAAGGAAAGCATATAAGAAGGTTTTCCAGAGGTCTGCCTAGAGGTAAAGATCACAGCTGAGGTGGGATATCCTACAGCACAGATTTTTTTTTTTCTTTTTTGAAAGAGTATTTAAGGAACTGTGATAGATTTAGGTTTTCTAATCTGGGACCCTTGGATTGGCATAAGTATAATTGTTAATGCTCAGAACTGCATGTGTCATTGTGCATTCTTACTCATTTTTCTATGTAGATGTTTATAGCTTTTTTTTCAGAGAATATTTCTTCATTCCAAAACAGCTTTGTTATCACTCACCTCCTTTGTTCAGTTATTGGTAAATATATTACATTTATATTTGTAATAGTTCCAGCAATGCAATTCTATTTTTTATTGTAATACATTCATTTTTGAAAATAAGAAGCAGAAAGGAATATGTATGCATAATGTCTTCTATAATGACATGACTATCTTTACTGGTGCTTTTGTCATTTTATGTAGATTCAAATGATCATCTTTGGTCATTTGGTTTCAACTTAGTTGAAATCAACTCAGTTTTTGTTTATCCAGAAAGGGCTTATTTTACGTTTATTTTTTATTGATAACTTTCCTGTTCAGAGGATTTTTTGTTGATAGTTTTTCTCTGAAGAGTAGACAAAAAATTCTGAATCGAGTTGAAAGGCTTAGAAAAGGGCAGCCAAATTAAGATCTAAGAAAGCAAATTGGATTGAAAATGAAATCATATTGATGGCAGATGATAATATATTGGACTGGGTTGGAGAAGGCAGGAGGAATTTAACTTGTGGACAATAGAAATCTGAGAGTTGGGTAGTCCCAACTGTCAGGCCCTCAGGACTGGGGCCAAATGGAGGACTCACTTTTTTGAAGATTAAAGACAATGCGTGAGAGCACGGAGTTCTGAACCTAAACAGGCTGAGCTTCTGCACTCTGCTAAGATCCTGAAATTTATAGAAAGAAAAGTCACCATTTTAACATATAACAATTTAATTTATAAGATCCAAACAACACCCCTTGAAACACACACATGCATGTGTGTCTGTGTGTTTGTTTGAAGAACTGCTCTAAGAGATGGCATGAGTAGTCAGTGGGACTCACTAGAAAAATTCTAGAGACAGGGCCCATCTCCTTAGGAAGGTGCGGGGACACATCTTCCATCCAACTCAGAAGGAGGGCAGAGTAGGAAATGAGAAGATGAGGGAAAGGAGGAATCATATTTTTTCCTCTTTCACTTGTTTATGTAGACTGTATAATAGATTCACTATTTACTACATTTTCTTGAGGCTAACAGATCTTTCCTGTCTGTTCCTTCTTCATACTACAAAGTTCCCTCTGTCTCCTTTACTCCCTTGTATCTGGTAACATTCAAATTATGTTCTCAAAGTGAGCATGACAACTTTTTTCCATGGACCTGTATGTATTTATGCATCTTGGTGAGAGTGTTGCTACAAGTATAGGAATCTTATTCATCTAGAAATATATCATCATGTGAAATTCAGGTCAATAGAACATCTAGAATGAAGCTAGAATGAAGCAGGGCTTAGATCTATGATTTTTCTCAAGTTTTCAGCATTATGGATCCTGTTGAGACATTCAAGGGCAATATTCTGCATAAAATTGAAGGGAGAATATTAAGCACTATTATAAACTCATAGGCCATATTGAGAGCTTCTTAAGAGCAGACTGTGCTTATTACATGGTTATTTAGAACTAAACACAGTGCAGTTGTGTGGCATGTGCTCACCAATTCTGTGCTGACTCAAAATAGTCATTTTCCAACTTGTCCCAGATGGTATTGGTGAATGGAGCTCCTACAGGTTGCTTATATCTTCATATATGATATATCAGTTCAAGGAAAAATCATCACACATCAAGTCAGGACCCCAGATCCTTAGGAAATCACTAAACATTTATGTTCTGAGTTGAGAGCTGCCTATCAATTTCACAGCCATAGCTGCTCCACCTTTATCCAGAAAAACTAGTTCTTGTGCTTCTAGTATAATTTTCTTAACACTTGTTAATAGCTAAGCCATCTGAATGGAATTTTGCCACATAGTGCAGCCTTGGGAGCATGCATACAGTATGGCTTCATCTCTGGTGACACTGCTTATAGTGGGCCTCAGTTTGATGACAGTATCTAGCTCTCCTAGAATCCCCACACGCCTGCCTCTGGGTAAATATCAACGGCTTCCCAGTGTTGGGCAGGCTTCTTTTGTGTTTCTTTTTATTCCCAAAATCTCAGACATGATTTACCTTTCATTTTCTTTGAGGTACCATAACCTTCCCTGTCTTACTTTTAATGACCCAAGCTTAGAGATGGAGGGAGATATGACTGTAAACATTTTTTTCTGCTCATAAATATAATAAAAAACTTTCTTTTTTGGTTTCAAGTGTTTTATGGCCAATTTCTCTAAAGACGTTATTGTTTTTTAAGGAAAAGCTCACAAACATTTTAAAAAGTACTTGTGCTCTGGAAATCTAGTTTGATCCTTACACAATTTTTTTTAAAGGAATCCCAGATTTTATGGCTTTCTTTTTAAAAATTTTTTATTTTTAAAATTTTTTAAAACTTTAATTAAAAAAAATTTTAATGTGACTTTCTTCTATGTTTACCCTTCAGAATATGTGTCACCAATTTGTCCTTTCTCTAATCTGCCATTCTCTTCCTCCTATACCTCATTCCGTACATCCTCTTATTCCTCAATCTGTGTTTTTAAGCATGAAGGATCTTTCGAAGGTAGAACAACATTTGTGTAATAATTATAATTCAGTCTTCTATATGAATTCAATGTGATTTAATTTTAGGGATTCCCTAGTGTTGGTGATTTCAATCTCAGTAAGTTAGTAATCCTGACTCACAGGAGCTGATACAGAGGTAGCATCAGAACATTTCCTTATACAATATGAAATGCTTTGTGATTTCTTCTGATTCTGATTTATTTTTGATACTGAGGCCATTTTATGAAGAAAACTGCTAGGTGCTAAAGACTTGCCTCCAGGATTCTGAATTTCTCGTTAAATAAGACTGCAGCAGAGCTGGTAATAAGCTTCTTCTTTCTCCCATACCCCTCTTGGATCGTGGCAACCAAGAAAACAGAAACAGTAGTGATGGCTGGCATCCTTAGGCTGTGGAAACATTATAATTTTACCTGTTACAGAACTGCAACAGTTCCTCAGGAGTTTGGAGTTGATGGAAAAGCAGAGAGAGGTAAGAAGGACAGAAAACCAGCTAAGTATTTAATTATGGGAAATAATGTTGGAAAGGGCAAGTGGCAGAAAGAAAGCCAGTAAATGGTGAAAGAAACATAAAAAAGATAATTGTATGAAGATATTTGGAGAAAATGAGAAAATCAACTGGATGGAAGCATTAAAAGGTTTCTATCTCGAAAGATGGATTAGGTATGAAATGCTTATAGCAGTGATGCCCAGACATTGTTTTGCACTGGAATCACCTGAGGACCTGAAAAAAGCGAATTTGATTCAGAATGTTGGAAGGGGCAGAATCTGAGGCTGCATGCCTAACAAGCCCGCTGCTTGTTAGCTGCGTCTAGTCTGTGATCCACAACTCTGGTGGCCAAGCTCAAGTAACTGTTAGAGTGACAAAGCCGTTCATTGGTAGTGATGGTGATGCACGCTATAGTGCATAAAACACTGACATTCAATTTCCAAAAAAAATGAGAAAAACTGCATTAACTGAAAAAACTGTCTTCATCATAATCGTGAAATGTAAAATTACAACAATCATTTCCAAATGGTCAGTAATCACAGCAAGAAGACAACTAAGCCAGATTATTATCCATTTATGTATATTTATGTTATGTGTTTTTGTTATCACTGTTGTTGCAAATATTTATAAGTACCCTCAAAATAGTTGCGGATAATATATTTAAAATTAATGAAAAATTTTTGAATTTGAGAAAAATCGAACCATTAACTCAGTATTTTTTCTAATTAGGGAAAAAACCATAGTCTGTACATGCTATTCTTCTTCAGGAAAATAGTTGCAGAGTCAAATTTATCACACCAGTTAATCATCTCCAAGCAGGAAGATTGGAGGCTCCTGGTTTCAAGGTTTCAAGAAATCTGATCTTTACCGGTGGATACACTATGTGGCCCAATATTACTGCAGCCCCTTTTTTGCTGACTGGCTTTCCAGGGCTGGAGGCAGCTCATCACTGGATCTCCATCCCCTTCTTTGCTGTTTATGTGTGCATCCTTCTGGGCAATGGCATGCTCCTCTACCTCATCAAGCATGACCACAGTCTTCATGAGCCCATGTACTACTTCCTCACCATGCTGGCAGGCACAGACCTCATGGTGACATTGACCACGATGCCTACTGTAATGGGCATCCTATGGGTGAATCACAGGGAGATTAGCAGTGTGGGCTGCTTCCTACAGGCTTACTTTATTCACTCCCTTTCTGTTGTGGAATCAGGTTCCCTCCTGGCAATGGCATATGATTGTTTCATTGCCATCCGCAATCCTTTGAGATATGCTTCCATTCTCACCAATACTAGAGTCATAGCGTTAGGAGTGGGAGTGTTTCTAAGGGGTTTTGTATCCATCCTGCCTGTAATTTTGCGTCTTTTTTCATTTTCATATTGCAAATCTCATGTTATCACACGTGCTTTCTGCCTCCACCAAGAAATCATGAGACTGGCTTGTGCTGACATAACTTTCAATAGACTTTACCCTGTAATTTTGATCTCTTTAACAATCTTCCTAGACTGTCTGATCATCCTCTTCTCCTATATTCTAATTCTTAATACTGTCATAGGCATTGCTTCTGGTGAAGAGAGAGCCAAAGCCCTCAATACCTGTATCTCCCACATTAGTTGTGTTCTTATCTTCTATGTTACAGTGATGGGTTTGACATTCATTTACAGATTTGGGAAGAATGTGCCAGAGGTTGTCCACATTATCATGAGTTACATCTACTTCCTCTTTCCTCCTTTAATGAACCCTGTCATCTACAGCATCAAAACCAAGCAAATACAATATGGCATTATCCGCCTTTTATCTAAACATAGGTTTAGTAGTTAAACTCGGATCTGGAGAATCAGACACAGACATAAAAATGAAGCCAGAATGAAAAATGAAAGCCTGGAGTTCTTTCTTAGCAAAGAGCAAGGGTATACTGGAAGACAATGTTGTCACTCACAAGGACTTAAGTACTTTACCATAGGGTTGGGGGCATATCTTAGGAGAAGTCTGGTGACAGAACACTGAATAGACCATATGGAACTGAAAAAGTCTATATTTAAATTCTTCTTTCAAATGCACCTGAAATTAGCCACCTCAGTGAAATTTGAGGAAAAGGCAGAACATATAATCTCTATGAAAAACTTTTGCCTCAGTGTGCACATTTGTGCATACATGTTTATGTGTTTGCATAGGCTAATGCACACAAGTGTAAAAAAAAAAGTTGATCATCATTCTCTAGAAATAAATTCTTATTTAAAATTTTCATTATTCTCATGGCAAATATAGTGATAAGAAACTAACATTTTAAATTTACTTTTAAATAAGTAAGTGTTGGTTATCTTTTAACTGTCCTCTACCCTGAGTTAGGGTACTCTCTAGGGCCATGATTTGCATTTAATATTTTCTAAATACAGTCGTAAGTCACTTACAGAGTATTTCAATAAGAGCTTTTTAATTTTCAATACATTCCTTGCAGGATGTCTGGATTTTATAAAAGTGTATTTCTTTACCTCATTCTTCTATAAATATTCTTTTGCCCAAAAAAATCTTAGAAGGAAAAACCTAGACAAGCTTCTTGTCAGCTCGTAAAAAAGTAAAAAGTGAGTTTTTAAGAGTATGTTTGCTCTTCAGATGATTTTAACATACTTTTCCCTTGGCCTAATAATAGGAAGGGTCAAGGCTCTATTCAAAAATAGAAAATATAGCCATTCTAGAATGAAAAATATGAGACATCATTACTTCACAAGTTATATATACTTTATATATGTTCAGAGGGAAAAATTAGAAATGGTGATTCTTTTGCCATAAATACTTTCTCTGACATCTACTGTAAACTCTCTATATTAGGAAGACCAACAATGTTGAGAGAAATGGATTTCAATTCATCCAATGACTAAAAAATTGTGGTGGGAGGAGTTTTTGTGTGACTGTGTACTAAAAGCTTCTTTTAGACTGATTTAATTGTGAAACAGGATTTTCATCCACAAATTTCAAAAGGGGAAAACCTATCTCAGAGTATAATGTTCAAGTTATTGATGCTGAATATAAACTCAAATCCTAAAAGTCAGTTATCTACCAAAGACTTTCTCTGTTCCTTATATGTGACCATGAGGTCTATAATACATCTAGGCATCTTAATGGAAAAATCTCATTTCGGATAATTCCCATCTTGATTTGCTATCTTGATGCAGAACCTCTTGTAGCTGAGGAAAGCCTGCCTTTGTTTCCCATCTTTGTAGAACAGAAGCTGTGGGACATCACAAGTTGCTGTGGTAATCACAAGTTACTGCGATATTATATCCCCATCTGATATCTAAATTTTGAGGATAGGCTATCTGTTTTACAGTGATACATTTGATGGAAGGACTCTTAGTTTAACTGGCCAAGGCCAGGACTTCAAGCCATAGTTTAATTACCTGCCACATGTGTGAGAAATAAGGAAGTTTCAAACCATGATGGAGCAGCATCACTGGCATGCCTTTTGTGTATATGGTGGGTTGAGGATATGGCAATATTGCAGCCTCACTGAATAGGTATAAGGAGGTGCTTACTTTGGATAAGCAGTGTTGTTTCCAAGATGAAAGAAGCCCAAATTATTGGGAAATATGTTTATTATTAATGACGTTGTCCTTAAACTGGTTTAGACGTTGAATTCTCTGTTCTTGGTGCCTTCATGGTTGTTTAAAGAAAATATTTTTCAAATTGATTCTAAGAGGGTGATCTGAATCCACTAGCATTTTATTTCATTGAGACTTTTCATCTTTTACATAGAAGGAAACTAAGTTATTAGTGCTCTGAAATATCAACTTTCATGATAAAAGATACACAGTCCCTTCTGAGGGCACAAGCCAATACTTCATTAAACCAAACCAGCTATCACTCTTCTGTCATATTTTTAATAAGGAGGACAGCTTCCTTTAAATTCTCTAAAAACAAAATAATATCCTTATTCAGCCTTCCCACTTTACCACATGACCTGATTAACCTATTAATGACACTGTACTATGTCAATTATGATATCCTGTCTTTACCTATATGTTAATGAAACTGTTAGAAAAGAAAATGATATGAGTAATTTTCTCCAGGGTATCCTTTGTGCAAAGCACTTCATTGAAACTGATTCTCTTCATCTTTTCTACAAAGTCAGCATGTAAAACACTCATTAATGTACAATGACCAATCAATAAATAACTGTTGATTAGTGAATAAAGTCATTATCTTCTTGTGATAACTATGGAAGTCAATGGAACTACTCTCCATTCAGCAAAACTCAGAAATTCAGGTGGCATTACTTACGCTTCTTTCTCTTTAATCTACTACCTTCAATCACTCAGTTCTATTCTAAGTCATAGAATCTCTCTTCTATTCAAGCCTTTCTAATGCTACTGATAACAACTAGTCAAAACCACACCAACACAATTTGACACGTGTATTGTCATATCCTGATACTTCTTTTACCTGTTCTCCCCCTTTTCCAACATGTTTCTCATACTGTAGCCATAGTAACTTTAAACAATAACTACTTGATTATAAGTACTCATCATACCTCTTGTTTTATATTCATTCCCTTATGGTAATGTCAAAATGTTTTACATGATTTGCAAGATATATTGTGATCAGAACCTGCTACTACTACAGATTCATTTTCTCTCAAGCTTTTTTTCATGTATTGTTGTTCAAGAGATATTATACTTCCTTAATGTATATTTTGAATAAAATTATTTTTATTTGAATTTATAGTATTTAATCTTGCCCCATTACCAATGTACATTTTACAAACTTTAATTTGTTTACTTGTTTCGTTTTGTGTTTGTTCTTTTCACCTGTACGCAATGATTGCACTACCCCACCAAATACTACTACACTACTAATATAGTAGCATTTAATTCTCAGCTTAAGTAGCATTTCTTCTGGAAAATGTTCCCTGATCCCAGAAATTTATTTGATGTGTCTCTCATAGCACACTAATATTCACGTAGTAATGATAGTGTTGTATGAATTCATGGTAAATATTTTCTTTCTAGTGCCTGCTTGGGTTTTAAATTTCAATAAAAAGAACAAGTCCTAGGTATTTCATTTTCTTTGTGGCTGTTCTTAATGGGATTGTGTTCTCGATTTGACTCTCAGCCTGGGCCTTATTGGTGTATGGAAATGCTACTGATTTTTGTATGTGATTTTGTATCCTGAAACCTTGCTAAAATTGTTTATCAGTTCTAGCAGCCTTTTGGAAGAATCTGTAGGATTTTCTAAGTATAGAGTCATATCATCAGCAAAGAGAGATAGTTTGGCTTATTGTCCTATTTTGATGCCATTTCTTTCTTTCTCTCGCCTGATTGCCCTGGTTAGGACTTCCAATTTTATGTTCACTAGGAGTGGTGAGAATGGGAATCCTTGTCTTGTTGCAGTTTTCGAGGAGAATAGTTCCAGCTTTTGCCCATTCAGTATGGTTTTGGTTATGGGTTTTTCATACGTGGCTTTTATTCTTTTGAGGTATGTTCCTTTGATGCCTAGTCTGTTGGAGGTTTTTATCATGAAGGGATGTTGAATTTTATTGAAAGGTTTTTCTCAGTCTATTGAGATGATCATATGGTTTGTGGGAGGTGAAAGATCTCTACAAGGAGAACTACAAAACACTGCTGAAAGAAATCAGAAACAACACAAATAAATAAATAAAAGCTTTCCAGGCTCATGGATTGGAAGAATCAATATGAATTTAAATGGCCATACTGCTCAAAGCAATTTAGACATTCATTGCAATTTCTATCCAATTACCAATGTCATTCTTCACAGTATTAGAAAAACTAGTTTAAAATTCATATGGAACCAAAAAGAGCCTGAACAGGCAAAGCAATCTTAAGCAGAAAGAACAAAATTGGAAGCACCACACCACCTGACTTGAAACTACAGGCCAGGCACGGTGGCTCACGCCTGTAACTCTAGCACTTTAGGGGGCTGAGGTGGGTGTATCACCTGAGGTCAGGAGTTCAAGACCAGCCTGGTCAACATGGTGAAACACTGTCTCTACTAAAAATACAAAATTAGCCGGCTGTGGTGGTGGGGGCTGTAATCCCAGCTACTCGGAAGGCTGAGGCAGGAGAATTGCTTGAACTCTGGAGGCAGACGGTGCAGTGAGCCAAGATCGCACCACTGCACTCCAGCCTGGGTGACAGAGTGAAACTCTGAAAAAATAAAAAAAGAAAGAAAAGAAAGAAAGAGAGGGAAGAAAGGAAAGAAACTACATTATAAGGCCACAGTACCCCAAACAGCATGATATTGTTACAAAAATAGACACATTGACTAAGGAAACACAATAGAAAACTCAAAAATAAAGCTACATAGTTACAACCATCTGATCTTCAACAACACTGACAAAAACAAGCAGCGGGAAAAGGACTACCTATCCAATAAACTGTGCTGGAATACGTGGCTAGCCATATGCAGAAGAATGAAACTAGACCCTTACCTTACACCATTTAGAGAAATCAACTGAAAATGAATTCAAAACTTAAATGTAAGATCTCAAATCTTACCTGCACTGGCAGTGCATTTTTGGCTAAGCCCCCAAAAGCAATTGCAATGCAAAGAAAAATTCACAAGTGGAACCTAATTAAACTAAAGAGCTTCACTATTCACAATAACAAAGACTTGGAACCAACCCAAATGTCCAACAATGATAGAATGGATTAAGAAAATGTGGCACATATACACCATGGAATACTATGCAGCCATAAAAAATGATGAGTTCATGTCCTTTGTAGGGACATGGATGAAGCTGGAAACCATCATTCTCAGCAAACTATCACAAGGACAAAAAACCAAATACCACATGTTCTCACTTATAGGTGGGAATTGAACAATGAGAACACTTGGACAGAGGAAGGGGAACATCACACACCAGGGCCTGTTGTGGGGTGGGGGTGGGGGGTGGAGAGGGATAGCATTAGGAGATATACCTAATGTAAATGATGAGTTAATGGGTGCAGCACACCAACATGGCACATGTATACATATGTAACAAACCTGCACGTTGCGCACATGTACCCTAGAACTTAAAGTATAATAATAATAATAAAAAGAGCTTCTGTGCAGCAGAAGAAACTATCAACAGAGTAAACTGACAATCTACAGGATAGGAGAAACTATTCACAAACTGTGCATCTGGAAAAGGTCTAATATTCAGAATCTATAAGGAATTCGAACATATCAGCAAGCAAAAAGCAAACAATTCCATTTAAAAATGGGCAAAATCCACGAACAGACTCTTCTCAAGAGAAGACATACAGGCAGCCAACAAATATATACAAAAATGATCATCATCACTAATGAGAGAAATGCAAATCAAAACCACAAGAGATACTATCTCATACCAGTCAGAATAGCTATTTTTAAAAAGCCAAAAAACAGATTCTCATGAGGCTATGGAGAAAAGGGAACACTTATACAATGATGATGGGGATGTAAATTAGTTCAACCACTGCAGAAAACAGTTTGGAGAGTCTTCAAAGAACTTTAAGCAGAGCTACAATTTGACACAGCAATCCCGCTACTGGGTATATATCCATAGGAAAACAGAGCATTAGACCAACTAGACACATGCACTTGCATGTTCACTGTAATGCTGTTTAGAATAGCAAATACAAATAACTGGCCTAGGTGTCTATCAAAGGCGGACGGGATAAAGAAACTGTGGTACATATACACCACCACTATGTGGCAATAAGAACAAATGAAATCATGTCCTTTTCAGCAACATGGGTGGAGCTGGAGGCTATAATCCTAAGCAAATTAACGCAAGAACACAAAAGCAAATACCATATATTCTCATTTATAAGTGGAAGCTAAACATTGAGTACACGTGGATATAAACATGGGAACAATAGCCACTTGAAACTACTACAAGGGGCAGGGAGAGATGCGGGAGAGGGTTAAAAAATCTATTGGATAGTATGCTCACCACTGCATGCAATATATCCATGTAAAAAACCTGCACAAGTACCCACTGTATCTAAAGTAAATGTTGAAAATTTAAAAGAAAAAACAAATAAATAAAAACAAGTCTATCCTGAACCTGGTATGAAATGGGCAGTGATTTTTATATAAACAAAGTTATTTTAAGACAAAATATAATAGGCCCTTCATTTACTTGGCTATTAATAGATCCATTGAGGTTCCTGTGGATCAGAACTGATTTTCCCAAAGTATCAGAAAAGACAACAATGCAATTGAAATGCATAAACTCCAGGACAAAGACACATGTGACCCTGCATTCAACTAGTATCTCTCAATACTTTGCATTGTATTGAGACAGACAATGCAAAGTACACACATGGATATACTGTGTACTGATGCTTAGGGTCCTGAAGGGTCACATAATTAAGTCCTGGCATCCCAATGTAGAGGTGGCATTGGAGTATGCAGCTTTTCTCATCCATCCTTGGAGAAATACCTGAAAGTTCCGAGGACATTGGTTGAGCGTCCCTGCTTCTCCCAGACAGAGGAGGGAGGGGAGATCAAGGGTTCTTCTGAGTATTTGGAAAGAGGAAACTCTGGGGAAGTGATTTCCACATACATAAACTCTCTAATTTGGCCTCTTGAATAGTCTTTGAGAAGTGAGTGTCTGAACTGAGTCTTCAAATAGAGCAGGAATGGGTCCTTATTCCAGCAAGAAAATGACAGCATAGGTGAGTGCCAGGAACAGGAATAAGGAATGATTCCTCTTCCTTCTTATGTTAGATGCAGCGAAGAGAAGATAGGAAGATTTTCAGAGGTCTGCATAGGAGAACATACTCCATCTGGGATGACCAACACCTAAAGCACAGACTTTTTCATCTCAACACATGTTTCAAGGCAGGCTTGAAGTTTCAAATGTGGTGCTCATGGATTAGCTTCAGGAAAACGTGTGAATATTTTTAGACTAAATGTGACGTCACCTGCTTTTGTCCATTTTTCTCCACAGAGGGCTCATGGCTTTTGTTAGAATTCCATAAAACATTAACATTCTATTTCAAAACTAAACAAAGAAAAGTTTTCTAACAAAACACTATGTCTATATCATGATTGTGAAACATAAAATAAAAATCAAGTTTAAATGTATCCAAATATGCAATTAAGCTAAGCAGCAGGTTAACTATGTACAATTATTATCTAATTGCATATATTTGCCTTCTTTTTTGTTACTATTGGTTCAAACATTGTGCAGCAAGCACACCACAGAGGGGCATGATGCATTTTTTAAAATGTGTTTTTTAGATTAAGAATGCTTAACTACTTAATTATTCATAACTGAAGAAATGATCATCATTCCTTATCTCTAGCACAGTCTATAAATGTATTGCTCTTCTATAAGAAAATTGTTGCACATTCATGCATATACCAATAAATTATTGCTAAATATGAATATTAGGATTGAGGCTGCAGAAATACAGTTTCACAAGAAGGTAGTAAAAACTGATAAGGCAGGGATTTCAGTGTAATAGTTTCTATAAAGCTACTTGCCACTTGTGAACACACAATGCGGCTCCTTTTTTGCTGCCTGGCTTTTCAGTACTGGAGGCAACTTATCACTCGATCTCCATCCCCTTCTTTGCTGTTTATGTGTGCGTCCTTCTTGGCAATGGCAAGCTCCTCTACCTCATCAAGCATGACCACAGTCTTCACGAACCCATGTACTGTTTCCTTGCCACACTGAGGCAAGACCTCATGGTGAAATTGACCATGATGCCCACTGTAATGGGCGTCTTGTGGATGAATCACAAAGAGGTTATCCATGGGGCCTGCTTCTTGCAGGTTTACATTATCCACTCCCATTATCCACTTGCAGAATCAGGTATTCTCCTGTCAATGGCCTATGACCGTTTCATTATCATCCACATGCTTCTCAGGTATAACTATTTCTACTAAATCTTGGGTGAAGATAGAACTGTGGCTATTTATGAGGGACTTTTTATCCCTCGTGCCTCCAATTCTGCCACTCCATTGCTTCCCATATTGTCATTCCCATGTTCTCTTCCACACCTTTTTTCTCCATCAAGATGTCCTGAAACTTGCCTGTGCTGATATTACATTCAATCACTTATACCCAGCTATTCTGGTTGCTTTGATTTTCTTCCTAGACGCTCTGATCATTGTCTTTTCTTATATCCTGATCCTTAAAACAGTTAAAGGTATTGCCTCCAGAAAAGAGCAAGCCAAAGCTCTCAACATGTGTGTCTCCCATATCAGCTGTGTCTTGGTATTTCACATCACCGTGATCAGTGAGACTTTCATTCACAGGTTTGGGAAACATGCACCACATGTGGTGCACATTACCGTGAGCTAATGACTCATTTCTTTTTCCTCCATTCATGAACCCTATTATATACAGCATCAAACCAAGCAGATCCAAAGAAGCATTGTTCGCCTATTTTCTGGGCACAGAATGGCTTGAGCCCTTTTTTCAGAATTTTGTGATCTTCATGATTTCTGGGCCTTTTGAGTAATTGGAAAGGAGCTTATTTTATACCCAATATCTCTTGTATCAGTGTTAGATAGGCTTTAACTATTATCTAAAGTGAAAAGCTACATGGAACAATAATACAATGAATGTATCCATCAATTGATCAATTGATAAATACATAAATATATGTATAAATGTATTCATATGTAGATGTAAAGCTTTATCGAGGGAGATATATCTATAATTTACCTATCTATTGAGAGATACTAGGAAAGTGGAATACTATTGAATATGGAGATAAAACATGTAGATAAATACCCTAATAATCAGGGAAAATATGGTTATTCATAACCTGTATTCATAAGAACTGAAAGTACCATTTTAGGAAGAGTCAAGTGGCCAGTCTAGTTCAACCAAAGCCTACAGAAGGAAAAATGTGCAATTGCAGATCTAGTTTTGGCCATATAAAGATGAATTATAGCATGTGAATTGAGGTCATGGAACTCTACTATAATCTCAAAACTACTCTATTTCAGGGTAGATTTTCCTTTTTTTTTTTTTTTTTTAAAATAGATTTTATTTTCCTTCAACTTATTAGGTAGGTGCAAAGGTAATTGCAGTTCACAGAAATTACTTTTGTACCAACATAATATATTTTAAGTTCCAGGGCACATGTGCAGGATGTGCAGGTTTATTACATAGGTAAATGTGTGCCATGCAGGTTTGCTGCATTCGTTAGCTATTCTTCCTGGTGCTCTCCCTCTCCTCCCCACCCACTACCGGACAGGCCCCTGTGTGTGTTGTTCCCCACAAGTGTCCATGTGTTCTCACTGTTCAGCTCCCATTTCTGTGTGAGAACATGTGTGTTTGGTTTTCTGTTCCTGTGTTAGTTTGATGAGGATAATGGCTTCCAGCTCCATTCATGTCCCTGCAAGGAACACAATCCTTTTCCTTTTTATGGCTGTATAGTATTCCATGGTATATATGTACCACGTTTTCTTTATCCACTCTATCATTGATGGACATTTGGGTTGATTCCACATCTTGGCTATTATGAATAATGCTGCAATGAACATAAGCATGCCTGTATTTTTATAATAGATTGATTTATATTCCTTTGGGTATATACCCAGTAATGAGATTGCTGAGTCAAGTGGTATTTCTGCTTCTACATCTTTGAGGAAAGGCTACACTCTCTTCCACAATGTTTGAACTAATTTACTCTCCCGTTAACAGTGTAAAAGCATTCCATTCCTTTCTCTCTGCAACCTTGCCAGCAACTGTTGTTTCTTGACTTTTTAATAATTGCCATTCTGACTGGTGTGAGATGGTATCCCATTGTGGTTTTGATTTGCATTTTTCTAATGACCAGTAAGGTTGAGCTTTTTTTTTTTCATATGTTTATTAGAAGCATGAATGTCTTCTTTAGAGAAGTGTCTATTCATGTCATTCCCCACTTTTTAATGGGGTTGTTTTTTTCTTGTAAATTTGTTTTAGTTCCTCATAGACTCCAGATATTAGACTTTTGTCAGATGGAGAAATTGCAAAAATTTTCTTCTATTCTGTAGGTTGTCTGTTATCTCTGATGATAGTTTCTTTTGCTGTGCAGAAGCTCTTTAATTTAATTAGATCCCATTTGTCAATTTTTTTTTGCAGTTGCTTTTGGTGTCTTGAGTTTTCTTTCAAAATGATACAATGTCATCTATAAAGTTTTACAGTAGAGACTCTCTAAATTCATAAATTTCCTAGTTGCTCATTTCATGAGTTAATGTATTTCTTTTGATCTTGTGTTCTCTCTAAATGCTGGATAGAAACATTTCTGATATGTCCAATAGATGAAATATAATCTGATATTTTCCTTTTTGTATATTCAATTTATTTTTTATTCTAATAAATCACAAGTGATCTCAATTTGTTGCAGCAACTTGGAAATCTCACTAGGATTTATTTGATCATATATTTTGCTAATTTTCATCCTTTTATAATTGATTTTAAGAAGTTTATTATGTATTATCTCTAGTGTTTTATTTTTAGTGTACGTATTTTCCCAGTTTTCTGTTTGTCTTGCTATATACACAATTTAAAAGCTTACATATACATTATTTTATTATTTACTTTATCTACTGAAGTATTGGAGCCATACTATCAAAGCCCTTGCTGACTTCAGGTTTATTTATATCTTTTTCTTATACTTTTGCCTAATTTATTTGTACATATCCTATGTTTAAAAGGGTTTGTGTTTGGAGGAGAGTAGGACTTTAAATCATTCCTCATGTGCCTATTTTCGTGGAAACACCACTAATATTTAATCATTCCTTTGGTTAATTTTTTAAGGGCACTATTATGGGTCACCTTGCTAAGCAAAAATGATATAAGAGAGCAAATAGACAAACTTTTCTTCTTAAAGTCTTCAAATAAGTGGGGACTCAAAGAATAAAAGAAATCCAAATTTAAAACAAGTGCTGTGATTAATCATAAAGCAGAAAGAAGACACTGAATGGAGAGTGTGGGTCTCAAAAAAGGCTTGAGGTTATGGCTTGAAATAAGGGTAAGATTCCCTGAGAAAGTGTCCCTTCAGCTGAGACCTGAAAATGGATTAGAAACTAACTGGTGAAAATACAGACAAGAATATTCTAAGACTGAAGGAGTGTGTGTGGAGACCTCAGCTAGGTTGGTTTATATTAGGGAAGGTGGCTACTGGAAGAGGGTGTTTGCTTTGAGAAGAGGCTGAAGAGGGAAGGAATGGCCTTATTGGTCATCATAAGAGTTTGAGTCTCTACTCGGAGTCATGGAAAGCTACTGAAAGAAGCTGCATAATTCATTGATGTTTTAAAATTACTTCAATATTATTTATAAAATGGAATTGAGGGAGGCAGGGAAAGGGCAGAATATTAGAGTAATTTGAAGAAAGATAATAGTAACTCAATTTAGGAAAGTGGAAATGGTAATGGAGAGATATGACAAATATTTAAGGTCTAAATATAATAAGGTTTACAGGTTATTTAGAAAAGCAGAGGAAAGAAAGAGTTGGAAAGGAGCAAAAATCACCATCAATTTCTGACATGTTCTTGGAAGAAAGGCAGTGCCAAAAGAAAGGCAGTCACTGATTATGTATTGTCTATAAATAAGAAGAATCATTATAATTTTTAAAGTTGTGGGACACTGAGAATGAGTCAAAATAATAAACATGTGATTTAAGAAAGCAATTGAAGGAAGTATTTCAAACTGTAGAACTAGACTTTTAAAAACAAAATATTAGCTTAATAATTAAAAAAATCATTCATTCAAATCATTTCAGTATGTATTTCTTTTTGCCTGATCATGAAGAGTCATAGTAAAGGCAAGACATATGTCAGAAAATGATGAGAATTTACAGATGCAAGACAACAGAAACAAACTGAAGCAGATGACACCCAAAGAAGGTCAGAGAATAAGTGAAACAGTGGCTCACTATCCTAGGAGAAAGCAGGATAGATCCGGGTTTTTCTTGGGTGTCATTCACTGAAGTAGACCCAGTTTTAAAATAGCAGTCCAAAAAATACTGCCAAACGTGAGATAATATATCAATTATATGATACAACTGGTTAGAGCCAGATAATCTGATACAAACATAAATAGGAAGATGGATTAACTAAATTCTGAATTACCAGATGAGTAAATAACAAGAATTTATTGAAAAATGAAGTTTTTTCATGAGTGCTTATGTTAGTTACCCTAGATTTGCGGCATGCCTTCACAGATGTCCAATCATAGATATTTGAGGAGGACCATATGGAACTGAAAATAATCTATGCTTGATTCTTTCTCTCAAGTGAAATTGTTGAGTCAACCATCCTATTCTATTTATTAAAATCAAATAAATGGTCTTTAAGATATAAGAGACTTTATCCTAGTATGTATATATATAGTTGTGTTTGCATGTGTGTGTGGACACCTGCACATGTGGAATAAATCTTTTAATATTTTATCTTAGACATAATTTTTAACCTCAAACTCTTGTTTTTAAACCTTTCACAATAAATTTAATGAATTGAAATACATTTATTGTTTTATTTTTATAGTGGTAATATATACAATTTGCCACTTTAGCCTTTTTATAATGTATAATGCAGTGGCACTTATTACATTTGCCATGTTGTGCAATCACCACCACTATTTCTAAAATTTTGTATTACACCAAATAAAAACTCTATATTGATTAATCAGTTACTCCCCAATCCATGTTCTTCCTACACTCTGGTAACTTCTAATCTACTTTTTGTCTCTATGAATTTGCCTATTCTAGATAGCTCATGTAAGTGAAATCAGACAATGTTCTTTTGCGTATGACTTATTGCACTTAGGATAGTTTTTTAAGGTTTATTCATGTTGTAGCATGTGTCAGACCTACTTTTTATAGATAAATAATATTCTATCACATATATAAGACATTTTGTTGATATACGCATCTGTTGATAGATACTTGTATTGTTTCTATTCCTTGGCTACTGTGAATTATTGATGTCTTCCCTTCAATATGCCCAGATTCTACCTAAATATATCTCTCTACTTCCTCTCACTCTGAATATTCTGCTTTTCAAAGAATATTCCTTGGAATATTCCATGGAAGAAGAAAATGAGACAAGCTTTCTGGAGAAAGGAAGTTTTCAGTGCCTTGATCTCGGCTGACTGCAACCTCTGCCTCCTGGGTTCAGTTTTCAGTTAAAGAAATGATTTAACAAATTTTTTCACTCAACTAGAGATTTTATGATAATGCAATACAGATAAAAGATAATGCAATCCTTCCAGACCTAAAAATATGTGGCATCCACATTTTACAGGTACATTTTCACGGAGAAAGATAAGAACTGGTGATTTGTTTGCAACAAATCTTTGCTCTGGACTTCACTGAGTAAAGTTTTTTTTGCTTTGTTTTGTTTTGTTTTTGAGATGGAGTCTCGCTCTGTCGCCCAGGCTGGAGTGCAGTGGCGTGATCTCAGCTCACTGCAAGCTCTGCCTCCCGGGTTCACGCCATTCTCCTGCCTCAGCCTCCCGAGTAGCTGGGACTACAGGCGCCCGCCACCACGCCAGGCAAATTTTTTTGTCTTTTTAGTAGAGACGGGGTTTCACTGTGTTAGCCAGGATGGTCTCGATCTCCCGACCTCGTGATCCACCCGCCTCGGCCTCCCAAAGTGCTGGGATTACAGGCGTGAGCCACCGCGCCCGGCCTGAGTAAAGTTTTATATTGGGAAGACATAAAAATGTGGAGAGAAATGAGATCCAATCTATGGAATGCTTAAAAAAATAGGTGTAGGCGCAAGTTTTCTGTATGTCCTTGTATTAAAACTTTTTCATACTGAATCAATTGTAAAACCGATTATTTACCCAATGCATGCTGTAAGCAAAATTATATGCTATTGAGTACAATGTTTAAGCTATTGATACTGAGTATAAACACAAATCTTAAAATCTGGTTATCCCCCAAAGACTCCTCTGTTTCTCATAATGTGCCCAGTAAGTTCCTAATGTTTATTAGTGTGTTGGTAGGAAATTTCAACCCCGATCATTTCCATCTTGATTTGCTGACCTGGGTGCAGGTTCTTATGACAGAGGAAAGACTGTCTTTGTAAGTTATTTTGGAAGAATAGAAACTGTGAAAAATATATGGCTTCTTTGGTGCTCATGAGGTATTTTGATACTGCATGCTGCTCCAATATCTAAATTATACATCTGCTCCTCTTTTACAGCTTTATCTTAGGTGGAAGGGACTTCAGCTAAGTTGGCTAAGGCCCTTCAAATTAAAACTCTGTTAGTTTTTCTCATGCTTAGTGAGAAAGATGCCAACTTTCTGCTATGAAACTTCAAGTTATAGTTTTTTCAATAACCTGCAATTTACGTCCAAGAAGAAAGGAAGATTCAATCTATCTTCAGTGATGACCAGCATCACTGAACGGTTATCTGGGCCTGTTGTGGATTGTGAATATGACAATATTTGAATCTCTCTGACGAGGTATAAGAGAGGGACACTCACTTTTGAATATGCAGGGCTGTTTCCATGATGGAGGAAAGAGATTGGAGGAATGTAGATTTATGGGTGAAGTTGTTTGGCTTGGAAGTTGGATGGTCAGTTCCAGGTGCTACCATTGGTGCTGAAGGAGAACGTTTCCAAAATGTCTTTGGGGAAATACAATTTCCTATCGTTTTGTTTAGTTGACACAAAATCTTACTCAGCAGGGGCCCAAAGTGCAATTGGTCTATATTATCAACTCCTCTATACATATTTAGACACTTCGCAGGTATCAAGTCATTACCAGGAGCACCAGCTTAGTTGTTTCATCTTCTACAACCTCATTAGATTGACTGACTGTAACTTCTTTCAACGTAATCTCCAGAAAACAAGTTTTACTGCATACCTTCAACCTTAAAATGTCTCCTTTCAGCCTTGTCCCTGTACTATTAGTCCTATTTGCCTTGCATAGATGTGAGATGGTACACAGTGATTTCACTTATAATTTTCTTTCTCTTCCTATATGGTAACATAACTGATAAGACACAAAGAAGATAAAAAAGACATATAATGTCTGATATATTATTGTTGGGGTACAGTTCTTTATTGAGAATAAGAGTTTCTTTTCATGTATTGGTCTAGCTATTTAGTAGTATAGATAGATCACAGGAAATTGTAGACTTGGTGTATTTAGACATCAACAAAAACATTTTCAAAGTAGTCTTTTCATTGGAATGGGAGAATATAAGTTCCATAAGTGGTTAAAACATCTTACCTTGAGACTCACTTGCAGCCAAAGTACTAAGAAGGAAAAAAACACATAAATGTCTCTTCTCATGTGGTCACAGCTATTTGGGAGGCTGAGGTGTAAAAATCACTTAAGCCTAAAAGCTTGAGGCTGCAGTAAACTATGATCTCACCACTGCACTCCCTCCTGGGTGACAGAGCAAGACACTGTCTCAAAAGAGAGGAAAGAAAAGAAAAGAGAATAAAAGGAAAGGAAAGGAAAGGGAGAAAGAAAGGAAGGAAGGAAGAAAAAGAGAGAGAGAAATAAGGAAAGAAAGAAAAAAGAAAGGAAGGAATGAGGGAAGGAGGGAAGGAGGGAAGGGGGAAGGGGGAAGGGGGAGGGAGGGAGGGAGGAAGGAAGGAAACTTCAAAAAATCTTTCTTCTTGATGTTGTTATGGATTTTTCTCTGAACCATGATTGATGTAAAAATTAGAGACATCGAAGTACTAAACAATAAAGAAAAGGAGATAGCATTGTTTGGCATGCTTGAACTAGTAATCTTATTACAAACAGATGTAGAGGTTGTAAAGGTCTACAATTTGGCTACAAAACCAATGGCTTGATCACAAGAATAGCATTCATTTGCTTAACTAGTACTTACTGAGCACCCACTATATGTTAAGCTCCATTTTAAGCACTGAAAATGTCACTCACTTAAAATCTTTCAGAAGTTTTGTTTTACTGTGAGTACAAAGAGAACTGACTTTATGATATGGTTATTTACCAAGCCGTCACTTCTTAGCTACAAGTCTAGAATCAACAGGTTCTGCAAAATGAATTCTGGAATGCATTTATTGCTGTATGACCTAAAATCACGTTTTGGCAAAATCTTACCTGAATATATGAGAGGATATTTAGGTTTTTTTCCCCTAAGTATAAACAGGTGATAGTAAATAGAGTAACTTGCTGCGAGTGTCACATATATTATGTAGAATATGCATTTTATCACTATTTTAAATCTGAAAGACTGAATTTGACATGTTTTGAGATAAGAGTTTAGGGTAGAGTTGTGTATCTGCACGATCTTAGACTACTTAAATAGAAACTCAGCACATAATCCAATGAAAAAAGAGATTTCAGAATGGGACTAATATGACAACATCTGGATTATTATGTTCAATAAGGTGGAGCATCATAGGAAATAAATCAGGATTAGGAATAATTACATGATAAACATTTAAAGGACTGTTGATATTGGTTCACCCATCAGGAAAGAAGTCTTAGGGTTTTTAATGCAGATATCTTTATACATCTAGAAAAAAATTATGTATGAATATAATGGCTAATATATGGTTATTTTATTCTGGAGATCAGACCTAAATATAAGGAGTAGATATTATATGTTTCAGAGAAGTATATGTCTCTCTCTCTCTCTCACTGTCTCTGTCTGTGAATATATATATACACACACACATACACACCTATGCATACATATATTGATAGTAAATACCATATATACATATACTAAATAATTAAATGAAACCCACATATATATGAATGAGATAGCTCAGGGTAGGGTAGTGAGTTTTGAATCAATAGAAAGAATAAATAAATGTCTGATGAATAATCATCAAGACGAAAAGGTTTGGTGGTGGCTCAAGGATTTTGTAAAGGGTTGAATTAGAGAATATAATACAGTTTGAAAAGGGGCAATGTTCTTCAAATGTTAACATTTACAAAGACAAAGTGACTGGTCTTCCCACTCTAAGACCAATGGAACACTTGAGAGTGACTCATTTCGGTCATGCCTCATCTGATGTTAGAGACACAACTTCTCTTAGAGACTCTCCTTCCAAAGAAAAAATAAAGGCCATGGGGACCAGTTTCAATGGCCCAGATCTTTCCCAGGTTGGGGAGGAAAAGAGAATTATTTGGTACACTATTCCCAAATATCCTATGTGGAAATGAGCTAGAATAACCCCTTGAGAGTTGTTTGTGTAACAAATATATCTCTCATCAGAATTAAGAGTAAATACTGAGGATATAGCAAACAACCAATATTCAGGTCATGCTCAGAAACCGCAAAGAGAAAACTGTGGCTCAGGTAAGAAAAGCCAAGGATTCAAATACGGGAAGCAAGTTTAACCATTTCCATTTGATGGACATTGGTTGAGAATATGAGCTTGGGTTTTGGGTTAGATAAACCTGTGTTTGAATTCCTTTATGACACATATTAGTTGCGTGATCTTAGGCTAATTGCTTAACTTGTCTAAGGCTCAATTTCCTCACCATAACAATATAAATAAAATAATATATTGTCTTTACTTTCTTGTTTTTTACTCACTTTTCTTTTCTCTCTCTCTCTTTAACAGATTTTTCTCTGTTGCCCAGGCTAGAGTGCAGTGGTGCGATCTCAGCTCACTGCGACCTCCTCCACCAGGGTTCAGGGGATTCTCATGCCTCAGCCTCCAGAGTAGCTGGGATTATGATCATGTGCCACCACACCTGGCTTATTTTTGTAATTATAGTAGTGATGGTGTTTTGCCATGTTGGCCCAGCTGGTCTCGAACTCCTGAACTCAAGTGATCCACCCTCCTCGGCCTCCCAAAGTGCTGGGATTATAGGCATGAGCCACCGTGCCCAGCTGTTTTTTACTCACTTTTTGTCTCACAGTCATTAGGCATTCATTTCTGCCATTATGTTGAAATTGTCAATATTACCAAAGACCTAGTTGCCCCAAACAATCAACACCTCTATGTTTATATTAATTGATAATTCTATATTTTTCACTATTAACCTACCATAGTATCCACTCCTATAAACTTCCCTTTTCATTGTTTTTTTGTAAATACAGATCAACTTTGCTATCCTCTTACATCTGTGCCTGCTTCTTTGTCTATCTCCTTTGAGATCTTTCTTTTTACTGAGAGCAAAATTTGTCCTAGTTTCCCAATGTTTCTCTCCAAACCTTTTTTTTTTTTTTTTTTGAGACAGAGCCTTGCTTTGTCGCCCAGGCTGTAGTGCAGTGGCACAATCTTGGCTCACTGCGACGACCTCTGCTCCCCAGTTTTTTTAAAGCAATTCTCCTGCCTCAGCCTCCCGAGTAGCTGGGATTACAGGCGCTCACCACCACACCCAGCTAATTTTTGTATTTTTAGTAGAGACAGGGTTTCACCATGTTGGCCAGGCTAGTCTCAAACTGCTGACCTCGTGATCCACCTCAGCCTTCCAAAGTGCTAGGATTACAGGCATGAGCCTCTGTGCCTGGCCACCTCTTCCATTTTAATTTGTACTTAAGGTAAGATATAAAAAAGTCACTTAAAAGCTGAGATTTTTCAGATATTTTGTCTTCATCTCATGGCTTCCCATTGTCAGTTGACTTTAAATATTTATTTTGGTATATTTATTAATTTCTTCTATAGGAACACAATTTTGGGGCAATATGTGGAGATGAAAAAGTGGATTCAGGGGACACTGATTGTACAGGGCACTTGCAGATTATCTGGAACTAAACGGAAGACTGTTCTTTTTTAACACGATCTTAATATTCTCTTTTTGTCTTCTCATTTTAGTTTATGTCTTTATAAATGGTTTCCTGAACAGTTCCTAAGCTTTTTGTCAGCATGGCAAGTTGAAGAAGCTCTGGATGATGGATCTATGTTACCTTCAGAAACTCTTGAGGACTCTGGGATAGTTGCTGTCAAAGAATCAGTCCAAAGGCACTCAGAAAGGGGCAAGAGAACAGTGAGCCAGTCATTTTTGCATCCCTCAGGGGGCCTCTATGCTTGCCTGAGAGTGATAAATTCCACTAAAGTTATGACTCTCACTTTTGTCATGTATCACATTCTAGGAGACTCCCTAAACTATTAGGGCAACTATTCTCCCTGGAATATTTGGGTATGTGGACAGTTTCTGGTACTACCAAATTTGCCACAATTAAATGCCAGCGTAGCTGTTTTGCTAGAGACTGCAGATGTTAAATAGAGGGCTATCTTTAGGTCAATAAAATATACTTATAAATTGTATTAACTATTTCCCCAGTAATTACCACACAGTTTTAATAAAACCCTGTGCATCCGCATGTCCCAAACGCAGCTCAGGTTTTGAAAACACGACTATAGTTTAAGAATAATCAGGCCTCCTCCGGCTTCCTCCATCTGGTCCATTATCTGGGTGACAGTAGATCCAAATAAGTGGTTAGCTCTTATCCTGTACAACAAATTTTGGCATTAATCCATTCTCTTATAAGGCAACATTGGAAGGTTAAGAGAACTTATAATGATATACACATCACTCCTGTGGCGGTAGATAAGTTCTGCCACATTAAGCACTATGCAGGTCATAATTCAGTGGATCAAGTTAGTTAGCAGTGTTTTTAGTATCCATATGAACATAGTCTCTGCTACTGCAGTGCCTAGACTGACATTTTTGTTATCAACAGTGTCCCCTGAAGTAGCAGCCCTTTCAAAAGTCCTTTCACCTTTCCTCTGTCCATCTCTCTCCACCAATAATTGCTTATATTAGAGATGTTACTATGTGCCAAAATTCTGAAACATATAATTATTATTGTTTCTATAGGTTTTTATAAAATAAAAAAGGTGCAAAGATTGTTATCACTTCATTTTTACTGAATTACACTTCAAAGGTGTCGGTAGTAATATTTATAATATTGAATGATATTTTAAAAGACTCTGGACACATACAGAATCAATTGAATTTGGGAGAAACTGAGTTTCCCTTGTAGTTCTCTTTGTTTTCCCAATAAACCTGCTACAAAATTTCTTGGTATCACAACAACAAAAATCTTGACTTTGTAAAAGTGTAATTATAAATATAAATAAATATTAATTATAAATAGACTTCATAGTTCCCTATGAGGATCCTTGTGAATTTTTCTCAATACGAGTCTTACAGATTCATAATGATTAGAGGGTCTGTAAGATTGTCTCCATCAGCAACATAGTTGCCGTATTTTCTCTCTGGGAGTGCTTATCTTTTCCCTAGAACTGGTTGTGTGAAGTTTATTAACTCAATTACCAACTTCCGATATTACTATTGCCCTTCAGATCAACATACTTACGAATCTATGACTCTAACAAGTATTAGGCTTTTGTGGAGGCCCTCATTGTAGAAGTATGTCCTTAAAATATTTCCGTTATGAGCTTCCAACATGAGTCTCCTATTTTCATGTTTGTCCCTAATGTGCCAAAACTCAGACTTTTTGCAGCATAGGGAACTTGCTGAGTCCCAAGTCCACTGAGTAATTACACCTTTCTAAAATGAGTTTACTAACTTTACCCACTTGTTCAGGTGTTCAGATTTCTGTGGAAACTCACAATAGATGAGTTATTTTCTTTCGTTTTATTTTATTTTATTTTTTATAGAGACAGAGTCTGACTCCGTTGCCCAGGCTGGAGAGCAGTGCTGCAATCATAGCTCCCTGCAGCCTCACAGTCCTGGGCTCAGGTGATGTGTGCCCCTGTGCCCAGCTAATTTTTATCTTTTCTTTTTTTTTTGGTGGAGGCAGGGTCTAGCTATGTTGCCCAGGCTGGGTTCTCTTCTTATTCACAGTCCACTTGAGATAGCAACATTGATCACAATATTTCTCAGTCATTTCTATTGAATAAGCATTTTCCTCAGTGGTTAATCCTAAATACAGCTGTCCCATTAGTTTCAAGAGAAAAAATTTGAACTGACTCAACTTGGATAGTAACACAGTAAGGGCCCATATGATAAATAATAGGAGGAGGAATAAAAGAGTAAAGAGAATAAAAGGGAACAAAGGAGTCCTATTTGGGACCAAGAGTCAAGGCTATGAGCACAGACGTAAGATGAGTGTTGAAAAAATAAAGGTTGTATGCTTCATAGTGAATTGGAATTATTATTCTGACCATGATTTTTGTTATTTGTTATTCTAGGGAAAGGCCTTGTGAGTACAGGCTTACAATTAATTAAGTATGAGACAATCCAGAAAAATATTTAAGTTTTGAGGTAAAAAATGGCCTGATGATGTGCTACAAGAAGATTGTGAGAGAAAAAAGAAAACTGCATCTTTGGAGGTCATCACCCCTAAAAAATATCTTCTCCACCTGCAAAACCTACCATGTGGTATAACAACAGTGCTGGCCCCTTCTTGCTGACTGGCTTCTTGGGCTCAGAGGCAGTTCACTACCGGATCTCTATGTCCTTCTTTGTCATCTACTTCTCCGTCCTTTTTGGAAATGGCACTCTTCTTGTCCTCATTTGGAATGATCACAGCCTCCATGAGCCCATGTACTACTTCCTGGCTATGCTGGCAGACACGGACCTTGGGATGACATTCACTACAATGCCCACAGTCCTGGGTGTCCTGCTGCTAGACCAGAGGGAGATTGCCCATGCTGCCTGTTTCACCCAATCCTTCATTCATTCACTGGCCATTGTAGAATCAGGTATCTTGCTTGTTTTGGCCTATGACTGTTTCATTGCCATCCGCACACCACTGAGGTACAACTGCATTCTTACCAATTCCCGAGTGATGAACATAGGACTGGGGGTACTGATGAGAGGTTTTATGTCCATTTTGCCCATAATTCTTTCACTCTACTGCTACCCATATTGTGGTTCCCGTGCCCTCTTGCACACATTTTGCCTCCATCAAGATGTCATAAAACTCGCCTGTGCTGATATCACGTTTAATCACATATATCCAATTATTCAGACTTCTTTGACTGTCTTTTTAGATGCTCTAATCATCATCTTTTCTTATATACTAATCCTCAAGACAGTGATGGGCATTGCGTCTGGACAAGAGGAAGCTAAATCTCTCAACACTTGTGTCTCCCATATTAGCTGTGTCCTAGTATTTCACATCACTGTGATGGGACTGTCATTCATTCACAGGTTTGGGAAACATGCACCTCATGTGGTCCCCATTACCATGAGCTATGTCCATTTTCTCTTTCCTCCATTCGTGAATCCTATCATTTATAGCATCAAGACCAAGCAGATTCAAAGAAGCATTATTCGCCTATTTTCTGGGCAGAGTAGGGCTTGAGCCCTTATTTCAGAATCTCAAGATCTCTAGGATTTCTGGGCCTCTCCCATTACTGAAAAGGAACCCTGGTTTTATATCCACACTTTTTTTTCCTCAGAGTTAGATTCAATTTTAATTATCACATGAAAAAGCTGATGTGAGCGAGAAATTTTTATACATATGTGTGTGTGTGTGTGTATATATATATATATATATATATCACCTAATAAAGAGGGAATGCCAGTGATGCTGAAGAAAAAGAATACAGGAAGCAGAGGAGATATAACAATCCAAAAGAAGAGTAACTATGATTTCAGAAATAGTCAAGATAAGTGGACTAAAGCAGCTTGGGTCAAATACAGTTCATCTAAAGAAAAATGTGCAGTTGGAGGTACATTTTATGTGTCTTATAAAGGTGAATTTGAATAATACATGATCATATTTTCATCTCCATACTTTGAAACTAGTTACTCTGAAAAGGATCTTGCTTGATTAGTAAGCAAACTTGTGTGAGGCTAAACAGCAAATATCTAGAACTTTAGGAAGCTTACTCATGAAATGTAATTTCCCTTAGTAGACTGGCATATTTTACTACTAAAAGGCGTGTGATACAGACTAACAGCTAAATAGCAGCAAACACATTTCTTATCATCTCGTGGAAGCCAGATATCCCAGCCCCGTTTTCCTTCTTCCCATTGTCTGCTGAAACTAACTTAATACTTTTTCTTCTTTCCAGCTTTCTATTTTGTCTCCTGACATTTTTCTTCTGAAAAAAATAACCAACTATAAATTTAGATATCACCACCCATTTCTATTTCCCCTCTTGCTTCTCACATAAAAAATCTCGAGACTTTTTCACTTCATGAAATAGTTTTGATAATTAATGCAAAAACTTGGCAAAGGTAATGTTATATTTTAGAAATTTTTCACTGATGGAATAGTTTCTTCCTTCAATCTTCTTCAAAGTGTTTGTAAGTCTTTATGCTGTTCATTGGGTCTGAACCGCAGTCTACCACTTGCTATTAGTGTAACAGGGGATGACAATTTCTTCATCTACTGCTAGTTCTGCGCTAGTATTTGCAGCTGATCTCCTTATAGGAAACTAATCTCAAAAGTTGCATTCATTCCTCTCTGAAGACTGCTGTTTCTTCCAATTTTTAAGTTCTCGTTGAGCTTGCTTCTAATATTTTCTTTTCTGATTGAAAGTCCATGTTCAGAACCCAGTATATAATTATTCCATTCTAAATTCTCTCTGCTTCACTTAAGAAATCTTTCATATTTATTTTACATCTGGACAGTGAGCACTCTGAAAATATTCCAGAGATTTGATAAGAAAATACTTACTGAAAACTAAAGCTAAATAATGCAGTATTTCTCCAAATTAGAAGGCCCATTTGGATGCAGGAAAAATAAAAACTAATAAATGACTACTCCTGAAGGATTCAGTTATTGTGCGAATTGTTTGTGAGAGTTCTTTGAAAGTAGGACGTGGGGGGTTTATTCATTGTCATTTTAGTTGTTATTCTCTGTGTAAAATTTATTTATTTGTTTTTCCAAAGTTGGCATACAGAGTTTATTCTATTTAGAAACGTCGTTTTCTGGTTGCCTTTGTTGTTTGGTCTAAAATGCACATTGTGCTAACATACAAACTACATTTAGGAAAGCTGCATCTCTATTGACCACTGAAAGGATGTCTGTAAGAGTAAAAAACATAGCGGTATTAAAATTTTCAGGCGAATAAGGGTTTTTTGTAAAAATGGCAAATGTATTTGTCAGTAGGGGATTGCGATGCTGTTTTCTTGATTGTTATAAGAAGACAGCCTACAACAATGTGTAAATGTGTAATGCAAACTTAGGGGCGATGTGCTGAAAATAAGGTATGATAGCGAAGTCTAAGAAACAGAGGTATCTAATTATAAATAAGAAGAAGTGGGAAGATCAAGTTGAGAGCTCAAGTTTACTCATATGTTAGCAAGGGATGACATAATATGATATTATAGCCTATTGATCTTTAAACAGCCTGTATCAATAGTCAAAAATCAATTAAAAAGGATAAATTTTAAAAATCACTCATTTTCTTAAGTAAATGTATATTTATGCGTTTTAATTTTAATTATATTCATAACCTATATATTATATTTTACAACTTCTTAGTTTGAAAATCCTTTCAATTATTAAGTCAGCATCCACCTGCTGATCCAGTGATATATAAGGACATTTATTGCACCACTGAAGTAAAATCAGTGTCCTTTCAAACAAGTGCAGCTTCCAGACAAGTCTCTTAGACCTCATCCTCAGTCTCACCCTGACTGACAAGTTTGCCATACTTGAGAACCTTGTGAAGCAGGCGTTGTGTCTATAAGCTCTCTTAGAGATCTGCTCTGAGGAATTATCAAGTCAGCACAGTTAATTCTCTGTCATACTGTGAGTTTAGTCAGGGCAGTAATTATATTTCCCCATCAGCATATTGTCTTCCCAAGGATAACTACCTGCCATTCTGTAAACCCCCAAATTTATTAATGCAGTCCTTTAAAAATACACAATGTTACTTGTCTGGTGTGGCTAAAGCTTATTTATTTATTTATTTATTTATTTTTATAGACATGATCTTGCTCTGTTGCCCAGGCTGGAGTGCAGTGGTGCCATCACAGCTCACTGCAGCCTTGAAATCCTGGGCTCAAGCAATCCTTCTTCCTCAGCTTTTTGAGTACCTAGGACTACAGGTTTATGCCACTGCACCTAGCTAATGTTTTTATTTTTTGTAAATATGGGATCATGTTATGTTGCCGAGGCTGCTCTCCAATTCCTAACCTCAAGCAATCCTCCCACCCTGGCCTCCTAATGATAGGGACAGGAGGCAGAGAAATTTTAGGCAGAAAAGGGCGGGGTCCCTGGCATGGGTCCTACCCTGAAGCCTGGAACATGGCCATTCCTGAGATATTTCTCTCAGCCAGAACTGTTTCACATTCACATTTTAAGTGCCAGGTCTTTCTATCTTTCTAGCTGTCTTATTCATGCACTTTCTAGAAATCACTTGTATATTAACATGCCTATATTATATTTACATTCCCTTCATTTCTTTATTCTCTGTTTGTCTCATGAATATTCCCTCAGGAAACACCCTCCCACGCCGTTCCCTTTATCTAGCTTCTTATTCATTCCTCTTGCTGTACTGATTAGCCTTGACTCCTCTTATAGCTCACCCCAGCCTCTTGGCATTATTATCAAGTGTTACCACAGTTGAACAGCTGGATCCAAAAGTATTGACCAATAAGGAACAGAAAATAAAACTTGCAATGTAAATTATAATATGGATAAGCATTGGTACTAAACCTGAAGTTAGTATTTTACTCTATACCTACAAGGAAGATATACAAGTATTTCTCTAAGGTAGTTTGAAAAGCCTAGATATAGAAACTGGATCCTCACATGAGTTCAGTATATAATTGTAACAGAATAAAAAATCAATTATGTATTCAAGTTGCTAGTGTCTTAAGAGGTTCACATTTTTATCTAACTGATTATCACAAAAATACTTCGAGTTACTTTTCATTATAATTCCTGACTACACATGAAGAGACTGACACGTAGGTGCCTTACTTAGGTAGGTTAAGTAATTTATCCAAAACCACACAATGTAGAACCTAAGCTGATTCGGCCATAGAAACACAATATGTGGTATAAATGAGACAGAGGGATTTCTCTCCTTCCTATGCTGTCAGATGAATACTGAGATAGAATATTTAGTTCATCTATCACACATTAAACGGGACTTTACATTTCTGTCTGTTGAAGATTTGGGTGTGGGGATAACTCAAGGTATCATATCCAAGGGATGGATGAAGGCAGGTGACTCTAACAGAAAGGGAAAGGATGTTGGCAAGGCTATGTTCATGAAAGTATATGTAAAATCCACATTAAGCTTCTTTCTGCATGCATTGGCAATGTTTATGAATAATGTGTATGTAAAAGTGTGCTGTATATTCAAAAGTGTTTCATGTGCCTAGGGGTGTCAAATACTTTGAGTTTGTAAGTATATACTTCTCTGTAATGTGTCTGAATATCTCTATTTACTTGATTCTCAATAAGTAGGTATCATAGTGAACATCTGACAAATGTTTGAGGAACAATTTAGTGTTTACCTATTCACCAAAATTTATTAAATGCCTAATCTGTATCAGATATACAATTATCTGGCGAAATCTGTAATTCCTAATTTAAACAGCTGTGTAGCCTAATTAGGGATAAAGGCATGCAAACCCATAATTTGTGTAGGTTGAAATGAGCTATAGAAAAATGCAGTATATTTATCAGAAGTCTTTAGGGTCATGAAAAGGAATGGTCAACTGACACTGCCAGGGACTCATATGTAAGAGATAACTAATGTGAAGTGACTTTAAAGGAGAAATTAGCAGAAGTTTTCTTTCCATGTCTCCTCATCATGTTACAATAACGGAAGAGATTAAAACAACAAATACATTTAGACAGCAATGTTTATCCTGGTTAGATGTTTTAATCTAAATCTATCTTGGAGTGTTAAAATGCATTTGCTCACCTACTTTAAAATATAAATGAAGGTAGGAACCTGTAGATACAAAAAGTTGGAGAAAAAAAGACAATAAAGATGACAAAAATCTATTAATCCTTGATAGAAAATGAGAAGAGATAAAACACTGGTTTACATAAAGAAAATAAGATGGATAGATAGCAGATCCTTATAAAAGTGATAATTTGAGAAAAAAAATACTCCATATTCTGAGTTTCTTCACATAAAATAATACAAATCTGCTGTGGTAAGTTACAAAGAGATAGATTTTTTATCATTATATAAAAGATATTTTAAACAGAGTTATACAACAAAGGAACAGACTATGTCATATATTCTCACTTATCACTATAAACATCTCAGAAAAATCTGCAAAATCATTTCATAGCATTTTAAATAGTTAGGAATAATGTAGAAAACTGAAACAGTTCTAAGTTTCCCACAAACTTAGAGTCTCAAATGTTGCATTACCTAACTTACCTGCAAATATTTTATACAAATTTGCACATGCTACTCTAGTCAAAAATATATGTACATTATGGGTATTTTCTGTGTGTAACTTGGTTCTAGTTGCTTCTTTCAGAAATAGCCTCTATTTTTGATTTACCTGATAAAATCACATTCCTCTCCAAAGCCTTCTAAATACTTCCAGACTAACTACTTTTTAGTACATCTAAGAAGAAAAGAGTTTTGTCTCTTATCCACCTCTGAGTCAAAAAGCAGCATGTCCATCAATTGGTACATAGTTCCCACAGCCCCACTTAGCTCTGGATTGGAGTTCTACTTGGCATTGTTTGCAACTACATGGACGTAAAATGCATGGATTCTCTTGAAAAAATGTTTCTGCCATGATGTTCTCTGAAAGAGACTAACCTTCCCTCGCTTTGCAGAGAAAGACTCGTGTAATCCTTGACAATGTCATCTCATCTATTTATTCCCATGTCTACCCATATGTGACCTTCATGTCTTTGCTCTAAGCCCCTACATCCTCAATCTACACACTAGGATAGTATAAAAGTAATAGTAATAATAGTAGTAATAGTAATAACAATACAATGATTATGGCTTATACTATACACAAGACACTGTTGATATATTATTTCATTTAGTATTCACAGTAACTCTGTGCCTCAAGTACTATTGTAATACCCTTTAAGAGGAGGAAACTGAGGCACAGGGCCCTAAAGTAATATTCCAAGATGAAGTGGCTACTAACTGACAGAGGGCATAATTCAACTCATGATATTTGGCTCTAGAATACATGCTCTGAATCATTATACAATAATAATTCATGAGGAAACATTTTTTAAAGCCTAAGTTATTTGCTCTGAAATAAGACATAATTTGGGGTGAGAAAGCTTAGATTCCATGAAGTATTACAGCATTTGGTAGTCTTTTTGCACTCCAGGTCTTATTTTTACTGCTTAAACATAATAAAACATATGGTTCAGTATGCCTTTGATTTTACAATAATATTCCTGTTATTTTTGGAAGCACAGGGTGTGGGATAATGCTAATTACTAGTGATTAGTATTGAGAGGTGACAGCGTGCTGGCAGTCCTCACAGCCCTCGCTCGCTCTTGGCGCCTCCTCTGCCTGGGCTCCCACATTGGTGGCACTTGAGGAGCCCTTCAGCCGGCCGCTGCACTGTGGGAGCCCTTTTCTGGGCTGGCCAAGGCCAGAGCCGGCTCCCTCAGCTTGCCAGGAGGTGTGGAGGGACAGACGCGGGCAGGAACCGGGCTGTGCGCCGTGCTTGAGGGAGTTCCGGGTGGGCATGGGCTCCGAGGACCCCGCACTCGGAGCCGCCAGCCGGCCCCACCGGCCGCGGGCAGTGAGGGGCTTAGCACCTGGGCCAGCAGCTGCTGTGCTCAATTCCTCGCCGGGCCTTAGCTGCCTTCCTGCGGGGCAGGGCTCGGGACCTGCAGCGCGCCATGCCTGAGCCTCCCCACCTTCATGGGCTCCTGTGCGGCCCGAGCCTCGCCGACGAGCGCCGCCCCCTGCTCCAGGGCACCCAGTCCCATCGACCACCCAAGGGCTGAAGAGTGCGGGCGCACGGCAGGGGACTGGCAGGCAGCTCCCCCTGCAGCCCAGGTGCGGGATCCACTGGGTGAAGCCGGCTAGGCTCCTGAGTTTGCTGGGGATGCGAAGAACCCTTATGTCTAGATAAGGGATTGTAAATACACCAATTGGCACTCTGTATCTAGCTCAAGGTTTGTAAACACACCAATCAGCACCCTGTGTCTAGCTCAGGGTTTGTGAATGCACCAATCAACACTCTATCTAGCTACTCTGGTGGGGCCTTGGAGAACCTTTATGTCTAGCTCAGGGATTGTAAATACACCAATCGGCAGTCTGTATCTAGCTCAAGGTTTGTAAACACACCAATCAGCACCCTGTGTCTAGCTCAGGGTTTGTGAATGCACCAATCAACACTCTGTATCTAGCTACTCTGGTGGGGACGTGGAGAACCTTTATGTCTAGCTCAGGGATTGTAAATACACCACTCGGCAGTCTGTATCTAGCTCAAGGTTTGTAAACACACCAATCAGCACCCTGTGTCTAGCTCAGGGTTTGTGAATGCACCAATCAACACTCTGTATCTAGCTACTCTGGTGGGGACTTGGAGAACCTTTGTGTGGACACTCTGTATCTAGCTAATCTGGTGGGGACGTGGAGAACCTTTGTGTCTAGCTCATGGATTGTAAATGCACCAATCAGTGCCCTGTCAAAACAGACCACTGGGCTCTACCAATCAGCAGGATGTGGGTGGGGCCAGATAAGAGAATAAAAGCAGGCTGCCCGAGCCAGCAGTGGCAACCCGCTCGGGTCCCCTTCCACACTGTGGAAGCTTTGTTCTTTCGCTCTTTGCAATAAATCTTGCTGCTGCTCACTGTTTGGGTCTACACTGCCTTTATGAGCTGTAACGCTCACCGCGAAGGTCTGCAGCTTCACTCTTGAAGCCAGCGAGACCACGAACCCACCGGGAGGAACGAACAACTCCAGAGGCGCCGCCTTAAGAGCTGGAACGTTCACTGTGAAGGTCTGCAGCTTCACTCCTGAGCCAGCGAGACCACGAACCCATCAGAAGGAAGAAACTCCGAACACATCCAAACATCAGAACGAACAAACTCCACACACGCAGCCTTTAAGAACTGTAACACTCACCACGAGGGTCCCCGGCTTCATTCTTGAAGTCAGTGAAACCAAGAACCCACCAATTCCGGACACAGTATGTCAGAAACAATATGAGTCACTAAATCAATATACTTCTCAACAATTTCCAACAGCCCTTGCAATTAACTTGGCCATGTGACTGGTTGTGACTAAAATAATGTGGAGATAATAATGTGTTACTCCCTAAGGCAGAGTGCCCTTCTATCATTCTCTTTCCCTTCCTCTATGTGGCAGAAAGTAAAAGATTCTGAAATGATAAAGTCAATCACAGGAAGGCACCTGGACTCCTGGCCCACTGCTTGGAGGAGAGCACTCAGGACCATGAACATCTGACTGTGACGTAGCAATAAAGAAACCCACGTTTCATATGAAACTGCTTAAAATTAATGGCACAAGTCATGTTTTTGATGTTGCACATTTGTCTTTATTTGTGGCTTGTTTTGCTTCCACATCAATCCACTCAAGGCCTACATTCTGCTATAATGCAATTTCAAGTTCTTTACAGGCCGAGAAAAATGAATCTGAATTCCTGACCTCCAAAAGTGATCAAGATATTTTTAGTTCAGGCTCCAAAATTTTCTCATTTTCATAGGTTTTCCTCGATTGATCATTATTCATGATTTGCAAGGAATCATTCAATGTTTTCTAAATCTATTACTGCATCCTGACACATATGACATTTTAACTATGTTCCAGATTTTTGAATGAAGAGTGTAAATTTTAAATGTTTTCACCACAAAAAATAAGTATGTGAAGTGGTGGATTTGTTAATTAGCCTTATTTAACCATTTAATATTGTACACGTACACCAAAGCATCATGTTGTACCCCATGAATACACACAATTATTATTTGTCAATTTAAAATGAAATAATAAAAAATAACAAAGGCATTAGCCTCTGCATTGCCTTTACCGGTCATCCTCACGGTGACTAACGCAAAAAACGTTCTATTTCATCCTTACAAACATCCCTATCTTTGATGCCTCTTTGTCTAGATCTCTATCCCCTCCTGTTTTCTCTACGTTATTTATATGGGTATCATCACCATCCTGGACAACATCAGGACAGATATCCCTCACCAAGCCAATGTTCCTCTCTATGTTGGCTCAAATGTCCTTGAACTTTCCTTTCACCACCCTTTCCACAGTCAAAAGGATATTGTAGTTTAATGCCTCAGAGTTCAGCTTTTAAGCTTCTGACAAATTATTCTTCCTCTTTAGGTTCTCCTTTATGGAATCTTCTGTACTGATGGCCATGTCCTTTAACTACTATGTAGATATCTGCTACTACCTGTATTATGCCTCTACCTTTATTAGCAGAGTTATCTGTACTGTTGGCATGACAATCATTTGTTAATATGACTTGCCTTTCCTTTTTCTGCTATTCTTGATCAAATGGCTCCTCTTTCTTGCTCCTCTCATTTCTCCTGCCTTCACTTGGACGTGCTTCACGTAGTCTGTGCTTATGACTGGATTAAAAATTGATATGGACTTATCCTAATGTTGTTCGTCATAATATGGGTTTTATGGTCCATTATTATTTCCTATGCATTGATCTGGAGAAGGCTTCAATCCTTTTACTCTTTGTGGAAAATATCTGTAAACCTTCTGGTTCACTCTGCTATAGCAATTTCAGTTTAGGCTAGTAAGCATGAGGATGCCTCCTTCTCTGATTTTTCCCACAGTCTGTTGGTCACAGAATAACCTGAGTGATTACTGATGAAAGAGTGAGAATGTTATTGATAGTCACAATGACAAAAAACAAACAACTACAGTCAAAATGTTTCTCTTTTTATTAGTGGATTATATTTCCTGACCTATATCTGGCAGGACTCTTTAGAGAGGTAGCTGAAGCTGCTGTTATGACCACTAGAGGGAAGAAGATACCTGTGGAGCTAATGGTCCAAGATGGTGGAGCCCCAAGCAAGGAAGTTGTTAAGGAGCCCTTTTGATTGAAGGTGGGTGCCCCCACCTTACAGGGACAGGACATCTGGATACTCCTCCCAGTTTCTCCAGTTTCCCTTTTTCCTAATATATCTCCTGATAAAATGTCTATACTCACTTCCCCATTTCTAATAATAAAGCAAAGGCTAGTTAGTAAGACATCACCTTGCATTTTGAAAATGCCATAGACTTTCAAAATTATTTCATACATCGGTCTTTCTTTATTTCAAGAGTCCAGAAATGGCAACATTACCTTTGATTCAATGTAATGGAAAGAGCTCTTTCAAGAGACAGAGAAAAGAATAATTTAATTTCTTTCCCCACACCTCCTTCCCTGTCTCTTACCCTATCTTCCTTCCTTCTACCCTCCCCATTTCTCTCTCTCATTTCTCAGAAGTATATTTTGAAAGGATTCATAGCAGACAGCTAAGGCTGGTTTTTTCTAAGTGAAGAAGTGATATTGAGAAGGTAGGGTTGCATGAGCCCTTTCAGTTTTTTAGTTTATATACATCTGTATTGTTAGAATGTTTTATAATATAAATAAAATTATTTCTCAGTTATATACTAGCTATGTAACCTGTGGATATTTCCTTAAGTATTACAAGCTATACTTAACTCACTTGGAAAACTCAAATAAATACCTGCTTCATAGTTATTAATAAGGATTAAGTGAGATAATGCCCATAAGATTCCTATTAATAACAGATAAATACATACACACACACACACATTGAAAGGATTCTTACTTTGTGCTAGGAACTATAATAAGTTCATTGATGCATTATATCATTAAGTTCTAATTTCAACACTAGAAGGCAGGTATTATCTAAATTTCATACTGGATACCTCCAAACTCATAAAGATAATTAAATTGCCTTTTGTCATATATTTATTCAAAAGGGTAAACTCAAACTATGGCTTGTCTAATTTTATATATCACCCTACTGAACATGACCCTATTGTGATATTTTATAAAATTATTCTCAAGTTATTATGAGGATGTTGAAAGACAGAGAGGATGGGGTGCTATGCCCCAAATCAGCCTCACAATTAAGCTAAGCAGCTAAGAGTCTTGCAGGGTAGTGTAGGGACCACAGGGTTAAGGGGGCAGTAGAATTATACTCCCACTTTAGTTTCATTTCAAACAATCCATACACACACAGCCCTGAGCACTTACAAATTATACTACGCTCTATACTTTTTGTTTAAATGTATAAATAAGTGGATGAAAGAATAGATAGATAGATAGACAGATAGATGATAGATAGAATAAATGCTTGCCTTCATAGCTGTCTCCCTACCTTGTTCAAAATGTTCCTGTCCAGACCAAAGTACCTTGCCTTCACTTAAGTAATCAATTCCTAGGTTATATTCTGATGTCAAAGGAAGTCAAAAGATGTGAAAAACAATTTCTGACCCACAACTCATGCTTTGTAGATGACTAGATCAAAAAATTTCAGCCATATCTTAACAGTGAGTGAACAGGAAATCTCCTCTTTTCCCTACATCTGAGATCCCAGCTTCTAAGACCTTCAATTCTCACTCTTGATGCAACAGACCTTGGAAGCATACAGGAGAGCTGAACTTGGTCAACAAAGGAGAAAAGTTTGTTGGCCTCCAAAGGCACAGCTCAAACTTTTCAAGCCTTCTCTAATCTTAAAGGTAAACAAGGGTCTCATTTCTTTGAGAACTTCAGGGAAAATAGACAAGGACTTGCCTGGTGCTTTTGGTAGGGGAGCTTGCACTTTCCCCCTTTCTGGAGGAAATATTTATCCCCAGGTAGTTCCCTTTTTGCACCAGTGGTTCTTTGAAGAGACTTCCACCTGGGAACAGTTAAACAGCAACTACAGGGCCTTGAACTGCACACTTTCAGTCCGGTCCTCACAGTTGAAAAGACCTAAGCTTGTGCCTGATTTAAGCCTTTTTGGTCATAAAACATTGAATTCTAATCTCCCTCTCAACCCTACAGTCACCCATTTGGTATATTAAAGATGTGTTGTCTACTGTCTAGTATCCCTCAAGTAGTGTCAGGAATTAGTCATTTAAATAGTCTGCAAGCCAGGAGTGGTGGCTCATGTCTGTAATTCCAGCACTTGAGAGGTAGAAGTGGGAGGACTGCTTGAGCTCAAGAGTTTGATATTATCCTGGACAACATAGCAAGACCTCGTCTCTACTTAAAAAAAAAAAAAAAATTAGCCAGGCATGTGATGTACACCTGTAGTCCCAGCTACTCAGGAGGCCGAAATGGGAGGATCCCTTGAGCTCAGGAGGTCAAGGCTGCAGTGAGACATGATCTTGCCACTGCACTCCAGCCTGGACAGCAGAGTGAAACCTTGCCTCACGAAACAGAATACAAAAACAAACAAACAAAAAACTGCTCCGCAATGCGCTTCCTTGATGCTCTACCACATAGGTCTGGGTACTTTGTACACATTATCTCATTGCTGTTCATAATTGTTAGATTAATTTTGTAATATTGATATTATTCCTAGAAAGCTGAGGCCTCAAGATGATAACTTTTATTTTCTGGACTTGTAATAGCTTTCTCTTGTATTCACCATGTTGTAACTTTCTTAGAGTAGTAACAATATAAAGTTATTGTGAGTTTTTGCAAACACAGCAAACACAACGACCCATATAGACATTGATGTGAAATTGTCTATTGTCAATTTATGGGAAAACAAGTATGTACTTTTTCTACTAAGCCATTGAAACAGGAATAACAGAACAAGATTGAAAGAATACATTTTCCGAAATTACTTGAGTATTATACAAAGACAAGCACGTGGACCTGGGAGGAGGGTTATTGTCCATGACTGGTGTGTGGAGACAAATGCAGGTTTATAATAGATGGGATGGCATCTAGCGCAATGACTTTGCCATCACTTTTAGAGAGCTCTTGGGGACCCCAGTACACAAGAGGGGACGCAGGGTATATGTAGACATCTCATTCTTTTTCTTAGTGTGAGAATAAGAATAGCCATGACCTGAGTTTATAGACAATGAGCCCTTTTCTCTCTCCCACTCAGCAGCTATGAGATGGCTTGCCCTGCCTCTCTACTAGGCTGACTCACTCCAAGGCCCAGCAATGGGCAGGGCTCTGTCAGGGCTTTGATAGCACTATCTGCAGAGCCAGGGCCGAGAAGGGGTGGACTCCAGAGACTCTCCCTCCCATTCCCGAGCAGGGTTTGCTTATTTATGCATTTAAATGATATATTTATTTTAAAAGAAATAACAGGAGACTGCCCAGCCCTGGCTGTGACATGGAAACTATGTAGAATATTTTGGGTTCCATTTTTTTTTCCTTCTTTCAGTTAGAGGAAAAGGGGCTCACTGCACATACACTAGACAGAAAGTCAGGAGCTTTGAATCCAAGCCTGATCATTTCCATGTCATACTGAGAAAGTCCCCACCCTTCTCTGAGCCTCAGTTTCTCTTTTTATAAGTAGGAGTCTGGAGTAAATGATTTCCAATGGCTCTCATTTCAATACAAAATTTCCGTTTATTAAATGCATGAGCTTCTGTTACTCCAAGACTGAGAAGGAAATTGAACCTGAGACTCATTGACTGGCAAGATGTCCCCAGAGGCTCTCATTCAGCAATAAAATTCTCACCTTCACCCAGGCCCACTGAGTGTCAGATTTGCATGCACTAGTTCACGTGTGTAAAAAGGAGGATGCTTCTTTCCTTTGTATTCTCACATACCTTTAGGAAAGAACTTAGCACCCTTCCCACACAGCCATCCCAATAACTCATTTCAGTGACTCAACCCTTGACTTTATAAAAGTCTTGGGCAGTATAGAGCAGAGATTAAGAGTACAGATGCTGGAGCCAGACCACCTGAGTGATTAGTGACTCAGTTTCTCTTAGTAGTTGTATGACTCAGTTTCTTCATCTGTAAAATGGAGGGTTTTTTAATTAGTTTGTTTTTGAGAAAGGGTCTCACTCTGTCACCCAAATGGGAGTGTAGTGGCAAAATCTCGGCTCACTGCAACTTGCACTTCCCAGGCTCAAGCGGTCCTCCCACCTCAACATCCTGAGTAGCTGGAACCACAGGTACACACCACCATACCTCGCTAATTTTTTGTATTTTTGGTAGAGATGGGGTTTCACATGTTACACAGGATGGTCTCAGACTCCGGAGCTCAAGCAATCTGCCCACCTCAGCCTTCCAAAGTGCTGGGATTATAAGCATGATTACAGGAGTTTTAACAGGCTCATAAGATTGTTCTGCAGCCCGAGTGAGTTAATACATGCAAAGAGTTTAAAGCAGTGACTTATAAATGCTAACTACTCTAGAAATGTTTGCTAGTATTTTTTGTTTAACTGCAATCATTCTTGCTGCAGGTGAAAACTAGTGTTCTGTACTTTATGCCCATTCATCTTTAACTGTAATAATAAAAATAACTGACATTTATTGAAGGCTATCAGAGACTGTAATTAGTGCTTTGCATAATTAATCATATTTAATACTCTTGGATTCTTTCAGGTAGATACTATTATTATCCCCATTTTACTACAGTTAAAAAAACTACCTCTCAACTTGCTCAAGCATACACTCTCACACACACAAACATAAACTACTAGCAAATAGTAGAATTGAGATTTGGTCCTAATTATGTCTTTGCTCACTATCCAATAAATATTTATTGACATGTACTTCTTGGCAGTCTGTATGCTGGATGCTGGGGATACAAAGATGTTTAAATTTAAGCTCCAGTCTCTGCTTCCAAAGGCCTCCCAGGCCAAGTTATCCATTCAGAAAGCATTTTTTACTCTTTGCATTCCACTGTTTTTCCTAAGTGACTAAAAAATTACACTTTATTCGTCTGTGTCCTGCTCTGGGATGATAGTCTGACTTTCCTAACCTGAGCCTAACATCCCTGACATCAGGAAAGACTACACCATGTGGAGAAGGGGTGGTGGTTTTGATTGCTGCTGTCTTCAGTTAGATGGTTAACTTTGTGAAGTTGAAAACTGTGGCTCTCTGGTTGACTGTTAGAGTTCTGGCACTTGTCACTATGCCTATTATTTAACAAATGCATGAATGCTTCAGAATATGGGAATATTATCTTCTGGAATAGGGAATCAAGTTATATTATGTAACCCAGGATTAGAAGATTCTTCTGTGTGTAAGAATTTCATAAACATTAAGCTGTCTAGCAAAAGCAAGGGCTTGGAAAATCTGTGAGCTCCTCACCATATAGAAAGCTTTTAACCCATCATTGAATAAATCCCTATAGGGGATTTCTACCCTGAGCAAAAGGCTGGTCTTGATTAATTCCCAAACTCATATAGCTCTGAGAAAGTCTATGCTGTTAACGTTTTCTTGTCTGCTACCCCATCATATGCACAACAATAAATGCAGGCCTAGGCATGACTGAAGGCTCTCTCATAATTCTTGGTTGCATGAATCAGATTATCAACAGAAATGTTGAGACAAACTATGGGGAAGCAGGGTATGAAAGAGCTCTGAATGAAATGGAAACCGCAATGCTTCCTGCCCATTCAGGGCTCCAGCATGTAGAAATCTGGGGCTTTGTGAAGACTGGCTTAAAATCAGAAGCCCCATTGGATAAGAGTAGGGAAGAACCTAGAGCCTACGCTGAGCAGGTTTCCTTCATGTGACAGGGAGCCTCCTGCCCCGAACTTCCAGGGATCCTCTCTTAAGTGTTTCCTGCTGGAATCTCCTCACTTCTATCTGGAAATGGTTTCTCCACAGTCCAGCCCCTGGCTAGTTGAAAGAGTTACCCATGCAGAGGCCCTCCTAGCATCCAGAGACTAGTGCTTAGATTCCTACTTTCAGCGTTGGACAACCTGGATCCACTTGCCCAGTGTTCTTCCTTAGTTCCTACCTTCGACCTTGATCCTCCTTTATCTTCCTGAACCCTGCTGAGATGATCTATGTGGGGAGAATGGCTTCTTTGAGAAACATCTTCTTCGTTAGTGGCCTGCCCCTCATTCCCACTTTAATATCCAGAATCACTATAAGAAGAATATAATAAGAGGAATAACTCTTATTATAGGTAAGGGAAAATTAAGAGGCATACGTGATGGGATGAGTAAGAGAGGAGAGGGAAGGATTAATGGACGATAAAATCTACTACTATTTGTTGAGACCTTTTATAGTCTAATCAATTTTGCTATTGTTTTCCATCCTCACGCTAACTCCATAAAAAAACACTATTATTATCTTTATTTTGCCATGACAAGACTGAGCTCAGAAGAGTCAAGCATTTGCCTAAGGTCGGACATGTCAGAGGCAGTGCCAGACCTATGTGAGACTCTGCAGCTACTGCTCATGGGCCCTGTGCTGCACTGATGAGGAGGATCAGATGGATGGGGCAATGAAGCAAAGGAATCATTCTGTGGATAAAGGAGACAGCCATGAAGAAGTCTATGACTGTAAATTTGGGAGCAGGAGTCTCTAAGGACTTGGATTTCAAGGAATTTTGACTCAGCAAACACAAGACCCTCACGGTGACTTTGCGAGCTGGTGTGCCAGATGTGTCTATCAGAGGTTCCAGGGAGGGTGGGGTGGGGTCAGGGCTGGCCACCAGCTATCAGGGCCCAGATGGGTTATAGGCTGGCAGGCTCAGATAGGTGGTTAGGTCAGGTTGGTGGTGCTGGGTGGAGTCCATGACTCCCAGGAGCCAGGAGAGATAGACCATGAGTAGAGGGCAGACATGGGAAAGGTGGGGGAGGCACAGCATAGCAGCATTTTTCATTCTACTACTACATGGGACTGCTCCCCTATACCCCCAGCTAGGGGCAAGTGCCTTGACTCCTATGTTTTCAGGATCATCATCTATAAAGTAAGAGTAATAATTGTGTCTATCTCATAGGGTTATTATGAGGATCAAAGGAGATGCACACTCTCTGGACCAGTGGCCTAACAGTTCAGGACAGAGCTATGGGCTTCCTATGTATGGGTCAGTGGTCTCAATGTAGCAGGCAAGTTCCAGAAGATAGCATCAACCACTGTTAGAGATATACTGCCAGTCTCAGAGCCTGATGTTAATTTAGCAATGGGCTGGGACCCTCCTCCAGTAGAACCTTCTAACCAGCTGCTGCAGTCAAAGTCGAATGCAGCTGGTTAGACTTTTTTTAATGAAAGCTTAGCTTTCATTAAAGATTAAGCTCCTAAGCAGGGCACAGATGAAATTGTCTAACAGCAACTTTGCCATCTAAAAAAATCTGACTTCACTGGAAACATGGAAGCCCAAGGTTCTGAACATGAGAAATTTTTAGGAATCTGCACAGGAGTTGAGAGGGAAACAAGATGGTGAAGGGACTAGAAACCACATGAGAGACACGAGGAAATAGTGTAGATTTAGGCTGGAGGTAAATGAAAGAGAAGTGGGAATTAATACTTACTGAAATCTTTCTATATGTCAGGTGCCATTTTATGATATTTAATAATCTCATTACATATGGTAATTCTGTGAGATATGTATTATTGAACATACTATAATTAATACTAATGATAAGTAACACCTCTTGAGTACTTAGTATATGCTAGAATCAAATTTAAGTTTATCATATGAGGCCGGGCACGGTGGCTCATATATGGGATTACATGCCTGTAATCCCAGCACTTTGGGAGGCCAAGGCAATTGGATCACCTGAGGTCAGGAGTTCCAGACCAGCCTGGCCAACATGGTGAAACCCCTTCTCTACTAAAAAATACAAAAAATCAGCCAGGTGTGGTGGCACGCGTCTATAATCCCAGCTACTCAGGAGGCTGAGGCAGGAGAATCACTTGAACCCAGGAGGTGGAGGTTGCAGTGAGCTAAGATTGCACCACTGCACTCCAGCCTAGGCGACAGAGTGAGACTCCATCTCAAAAAAAAAAAAAGAAGTTTATTATATGAATTAACTTAGTTTTACTCACACCAATACTCAGAAGTAGATTATTACCTCATTTATTGATGAGGAGCCCAATGTACTTGTAGTGTAGATCAACTTATTGAAAGCACAAGCTAATAAGTAGACAATTAGTAATTAGAAGTCAGATGGTCTGAGCTCTCCTACTGTCTACATTACATGAGCTCTTATTAACTGGGGACTCGAAAATCAAAGACATGAAATAATTTGTCCAAGCTTACAGAACCACCAAGTAGTAAGGCTAGGATGTAGACCCAGTTCTGCTACCTCTGAAGACAGTGTTTTTTCCACAGCAAAACACAAACTCAGATATTGTGGATGCGAGAAATTAGAAGTAGATATTCCTGCCCTGTGGCCCTTGCTTCTTACTTTTACTTCTTGTCGATTGGAAGTTGTGGTCCAAGCCACAGTTGCAGACCATACTTCCTCAACCATAATTGCATTTCTTCAGGAAAGTTTGAGGGAGAAAAAGGTAAAGAAAAATTTAGAAACAACTTCAGAATAAAGAGATTTTCTCTTGGGTTACAGAGATTGTCATATGACAAATTATAAGCAGACACTTGAGAAAACTGAAGGCCCATGCCTGCCCAAATTACCCTTTGACCCCTTGGTCAAGCTGCAACTTTGGTTAAAGGGAGTGTTTATGTGTTATAGTGTTCATTTACTCTTCTGGTCTAACCCATTGGCTCCGTCTTCATCCTGCAGTGACCTCAGTGCCTCAGAAACATACATATGTTTGTCTAGTTTAAGTTTGTGTGAAATTCTAACTAGCGTCAAGAACTGAGGGCCCTAAACTATGCTAGGAATAGTGCTGTGGTGCTGTGATAGGTACACAAGAAATGAGAAGAAACTGCAGATTCTCTGCATCTCCCTTTGCCGGGTCTGACAACAAAGTTTCCCCAAATTTTACCAATGCAAGCCATTTCTCCATATGCTAACTACTTTAAAATCATTTGGGGCTTCACATTGTCTTTCTCATCTGTAAAAAGAATGGAAGAACTCATTCCTACAGAACTCCCTATGTCTTCCCTGATGGGCTAGAGTTCCTCTTTCTCAAAAATTAGCCATTATTGTATTTCCTTCTAAGCCAAAGCTCAGAGGTCTTGTATTGCCCAGTGACATGCACACTGGTCAAAAGTAGGCTAAGTAGAAGGGTACTTTCACAGGAACAGAGAGCAAAAGAGGTGGGTGAATGAGAGGGTAAGTGAGAAAAGACAAATGAGAAGTTACAACATGATGGCTTGTTGTCTAAATATCTCCTAGGGAATTATTGTGAGAGGTCTGAATAGTGTTGTAAAATAAGCTGAATCTGCTGCCAACATTAACAGTCAAGAAATACCTCCGAATAACTGTACCTCCAATTATTCTTTAAGGTAGCATGCAACTGTAATAGTTGCATGTATATATTTATCATAATACTGTAACAGAAAACACTTACTGAATATATACTGTGTCCCTAGTTCTTTACACAATAAACTAATCTCATCCTCATAATTCTATTAGCTAATACATATTATCATCCTATATTTCAGAGACTTCAAGAAGTTAAGCAACTTGCTCAAGATCATCTAAGAAGTAGGTGGTATTTCTGGGCTCATTTGGCCCCTCCTAATCTCTCATGGCAACATGGCTGCCTAAAGTGTTGATTGCCTTAATTCATCAGGGATGGGCTCATACTCACTGCAGACCTTAACTGGCATCCTCTTTTCTTATGTGATCTGCCTGACCCTAGTAGACTTATGAAATTTCTGATGAGAAAGGAGAGAGGAGAAAGGCAGAGCTGACTGTGATGAGTGATGAAGGTGCCTTCTCATCTGGGTACCAGTGGGGCCTCTAAGACTAAGTCACTCTGTCTCACTGTGTCTTAGCCAGTTCCTTACAGCTTGCCCTGATGGGAGATAGAGAATGGGTATCCTCCAACAAAAAAATAAATTTTCATTTCTCAAGGTCCAACTTATGTTTTCTTAATTTTTAAAAAAATCTTGACCATTCTCCACTCTCTAAAATAATCCACAGTGAGAGAAACATTCTTTTCCCCCATCCCATAAATACCTCTATTAAATATGGAAAATCTGGGCATGGTGTCTCACACCTGTAATCCCAGCACTTTGGGAGGCTGAGGTGGGTGGACTGCTTGGAGCTCAGGAGTTCAAGACCATCTTGGACAACATGGTGATACCCTGCCTCTACAAAAAGTACAAAAATTAGCCTGGCATGGTGGTGTGCACCTGTAATCCCAGCTATTAGGGTGGCTGAGGCAGGAGAATTGCTTGAACCCGGGAGGCGGAGGTTGCAGTGAGCTGAGATCGTGCCACTGCACTCCAGCCTGGGGGACAGAGCACATTATAATTAACTGTTATTTTTTACTTGGACTCTTGTGGGGAATAAGATACATGTTTTATTCTTATTTATGATTCAAGCACTGAAAATAGTGTTTAGCATCCAGCAGGTGCTTCAAAACCATTTGCTGAATGATTACTATACTTTTTACAAGCTCAGCTCCCTCTATCCCTTCCAGCATCCTCATCTCTGATTAAATAAGCTTCAGTTTTTCCTTAGTTCCTGTTACATTTCTGTGTGTCTCCATTAGTGACCTCCCATAGTCCAAGCATGAGCAGTTCTGGCCAGGCCCCTGTCGGGGTCAGTGCCCCACCCCCGCCTTCTGGTTCTGTGTAACCTTCTAAGCAAACCTTCTGGCTCAAGCACAGCAATGCTGAGTCATGATGAGTCATGCTGAGGCTTAGGGTGTGTGCCCAGATGTTCTCAGCCTAGAGTGATGACTCCTATCTGGGTCCCCAGCAGGATGCTTACAGGGCAGATGGCAAAAAAAAGGAGAAGCTGACCACCTGACTAAAACTCCACCTCAAACGGCATCATAAAGAAAATGGATGCCTGAGACAGAATGTGACATATTCTAGAATATATTATTTCCTGAATATATATATATATATACACATATACGTATATATATATATATATATATATTTGTTGTTATCAATTGCCATAGAATGATTAGTTATTGTGAATCAAATATTTATCTTGCAGGTGGCCTCTATACCTAGAAGCGGCAGAATCAGGCTTTATTAATACATGTGTATAGATTTTTAGGATCTATACACATGTATTAATATGAAACAAGGATATGGAAGAGGAAGGCATGAAAACAGGAAAAGAAAACAAACCTTGTTTGCCATTTTAAGGCACCCCTGGACAGCTAGGTGGCAAAAGGCCTGTGCTGTTAGAGGACACATGCTCACATACGGGGTCAGATCTGACTTGGGGTGCTACTGGGAAGCTCTCATCTTAAGGATACATCTCAGGCCAGTCTTGGTGCATTAGGAAGATGTAGGCAACTCTGATCCTGAGAGGAAAGAAACATTCCTCCAGGAGAGCTAAAAGGGTTCACCTGTGTGGGTAACTGTGAAGGACTACAAGAGGATGAAAAACAATGACAGACAGACATAATGCTTGTGGGAGAAAAAACAGGAGGTCAAGGGGATAGAGAAGGCTTCCAGAAGAATGGCTTTGAAGCTGGCTTCTGTAGGAGTTCACAGTGGCAAAGATGTTTCAGAAATGTGACATGACTTAAGGAACTATACAAAAAGGAACAAATTTAAGGAGAGGCAGATAAATTAGTTCAACAGACATGCAAGGAATTTTCAGATGAATGTTATGTCTCCACTGAGCTTCTTGAGGTTAGCAGCTGTGAGGGTTTTGCAGGCCCAGGACCCATTACAGGACCTCACGTATACTTGACACTGTTTTTTGTATTCATTTGTGAATGAATGACCTCTTGTCAGTCTACTCGGTTTCGCTGTGAATGAATGATGTCTTGTCAGCCTACTTGGTTTCGCTAAGAGCACAGAGAGAAGATTTAGTGATGCTATGTAAAAACTTCCTTTTTGGTTCAAGTGTATGTTTGTGATAGAAATGAAGACAGGCTACATGATGCATATCTAACATAAACACAAACATTAAGAAAGGAAATCAACCTGAAGAGTATTTATACAGATAACAAAATACAGAGAGTGAGTTAAATGTGTAATAACTGTGGCACAGGCTGGAATATGAGCCATTTAAATCACAAATTAATTAGAAAAAAAACAGTGGGGAAAAAATTCCATGGATGGGTCTAGAAAGACTAGCATTGTTTTAGGTTGAGTGGCAGTGTTTAAAGGGTGATATCAGACTAAACTTGAAATATGTGGCTAAATAACTAGAATACTCTTTATTTTTTCGTATCATGAATAGCAGATATAGCTTGATGGCCCCATGCTTGGTTTAACATCCTTGCTGTTCCTGACATGAAATCCTTAATTTTTGACAAAGGGGCTATTCATTTTCATTTTATATTGGGCCTAGAAATTATGTAGATGGTCCTGAGGAAAAGTTTATAGCTTGTCTATTTCTCTCTCTAACATAGTTGTCAGCACAATGCCTAGGCTATAGGAAGTACTCAAAGCTTGTTAAATTGAATTCTATCCTTCTTATTCAATTCTACACATGGAGGAAAAACTCATCAGGGATGGAGGCACGCCTCTAAGGAAGGCAGGTGTGGCTCTGCAGTGTGATTGGGTACTTGCAGGACGAAGGGTGGGGTGGGAGTGGCTAACCTTCCATTCCTAGTGCAGAGGTCACAGCCTAAACATCAAATTCCTTGAGGTGCGGTGGCTCACTCCTGTAATCACAGCAGTTTGGGACGCCAAGGTGGGCAGATCACTTGAGGTCAGGAGTTGGACACCAGCCCAGCCAACATAGTGAAACCTGGTCTCTGCTTAAAAATATAAAAATTAGCTGGACGTGGTGACGGGAGCCTGTAATCCAACTACTTGGGAGGCTGAGGCAGGAGAATCGCTTGAACCGGGGAGGTGGAGTTTGCACTGAGCAGAGATCATGCCATTGCACTCCAGCCTCCAGAGCGAGACTCTGTCTAAAGAAAAACGAAAACAAACAAACAAACAAACAAACAAAACCCATCAAATTCCCTGACCGAACAGAATTCTGTCTGATTGTTCTCTGACTTATCTACCATTTTCCCTCCTTAAAGAAACTGTGAACTTCCTTCAGCTAGAGGGGCCTGGCTCAGAAGCCTCTGGTCAGCATCCAAGAAATACTTGATGTCACTTTGGCTAAAGGTATGATGTGTAGACAAGCTCCAGAGATGGTTTCTCATTTCCATATCCACCCACCCAGCTTTCCAATTTTAAAGCCAATTCTGAGGTAGAGACTGTGATGAACAAACACCTTGACAAAATTCAACCCAAAGACTCACTTTGCCTAGCTTCAAAATCCTTACTCTGACATATACTCACAGCCAGAAATTAGCATGCACTAGAGTGTGCATGAGTGCAACACACACACACACCAATTCCATATTCTCTGTCAGAAAATCCTGTTGGTTTTTCGTGAAAGGATGTTTTCAGAGGCTGACCCCTTGCCTTCACCTCCAATGCTACCACTCTGGTCTAAGTCACTGTCACCACCACCTAAATTATAGCTGTTGACTCATAACAATCTTCCTGCTTCTACCACTGCCCCACTACAATTTCTTCCCAATATACTATCCAAATTAGTCTTTTCAAAATGTAAGTCATATATGGTCACCTCTTTGTTCAAAGTCTTCTGATAGTTTCCTATATCATTTATAATAAAACCAAATCCTTACAATTCTCTACAATAGTTGTTCATGCATATATTATGTTTATTACAGATACATATATATAGCTCTCATATAAATAAATATATATATTTATGTGTATGTGTGTAGAGTGTTTTTTCTTACAACTCTATGATGTAGGTATTATTAGTGTCCCAAATTTTATAATTTAGGACTTCTATGATCTCATCTTTTATTCTCCCCTTCACCGAATCTCATCCTACATTGGCCTTATTGATATTCCTTGAAAATTCTAAGCATCTTACATCTTTAGGGTATTTACATTTGCCATTCCCTATGCCCTAAATATTTAATCATAGTTTCATATAAATGGGTTCCTCATCATCTATGGGTACTCTCTCAGGTGTTAACTTTATAGTGAGGACTTTCCTGCCATACTACTTAAAGTAGCGATACCCTTTCACCCTGTCCTAATCACACTCTGGCCTTCATTTCAGTTTTTTTTTTTTCTCCATAGCACCTAATCTCATTGGTATATAACATGTTTCATTTGCTTATTTAATGTCAAGCTCTTTCCACTATCAAGTCCATGAAAACAGGAACTTTATTCCTCTATTCTGTTTTTGTGCTGTATTCTTAGCAATTTTACAATTTTGAATGAATGAATGAGCAGTCAAACACATATACAACTATAATTAAAAGGATGTATGCTGACACATCCACTGCTATGCACACACAAAGAAATCAGTGGAGTAGAGCTGGAAGTGCTAAGCCTGCATAGAGCTAGTTAGCCCTCCGCAGGCAGAGCCTTGATGGGATTACTGAGTTCTAGAATTGGACTCATTTGTTTTGTAGGCTGAGATTTGCTCTTGAAAACTTGTTCTGACCAAAATAAAAGGCTCAAAAGATGAATATCGAAACCAGGGTGTTTTTTACACTGGAATTTATAACTAGAGCACTCATGTTTATGTAAGCAATTAATTGTTTCATCAGTCAGGTAAAAGTAAAGAAAAACTGTGCCAAGGCAGGTAGCCTAATGCAATATGCCACTAAAGTAAACATTATTTCATAGGTGTCAGATATGGCTTATTCATCCATCTTCATGGGAAGGATGGCCTTGGCCTGGACATCAGTGTTATGTGAGGTTCAAAACACCTCTAGGCTATAAGGCAACAGAGCTCCTTTTTTTTTTTTCTGTGCTTTCCTGGCTGTCCAAATCTCTAATGATAAGCATACTTCTATTCAATGAGAATATTCTGTAAGATTATAGTTAAGAATTGTGGGAGCCATTCCGTCTCTTATAGTTAAATTTGAGCTTCTTTTATGATCACTGTTTTTTTAATATGCTTTAAGTTCTGGGGTACATGTGCCATGGTGGTTTGCTGCACCCATCAACCCGTCATCTACATTAGGTATTTCTCCTAATGCTATCCTTCCCCTAGCCCCCCACCCCCAACAGGCCCCAGTGTGTGATGTTCCCCTCCCTGTGTCCATGGATCACTGGTTTTTTTTTGTTTTTTTTTTTTTTTTAAAGTCTCAGTTAAATTTTTGGAATGTAATTTATTTTCCTGGTATCCTAGGACTTGCAAGTTATCTGGTCACTTTAGCCCTCACGTTTTGATGATAATCACATATTTGTAAACACAACACACACACACACACACACACACATATATATATATATAAAACATATATATACATAAACACACATAACATATTTATCGGGCATTTCTGAGCAACTAATCATGCAGGACTCTCAAACACTAACCTATAGCCTTTTCTATGTATCTACTTGTGTAGAAACCAAGCGTGGGGACTGAGAAGGCAATAGCAGGAGCATTCTGACTCTCACTGCCTTTAGCTAGGCCCCTCCCTCATCACAGCTCAGCATAGTCCTGAGCTCTTATCTATATCCACACACAGTTTCTGACGCTGCCCAGCTATCACCATCCCAAGTCTAAAGAAAAAAATAATGGGTTTGCCCATCTCTGTTGATTAGAAAACAAAACAAAATAAAATAAGCCCCTAAGCTCCCAGAAAACATGACTAAACCAGCAAGAAGAAGAAAATACAATAGGTATATGAGGAGACTGGTGACACTAGTGTCTGAATGAGGCTTGAGTACAGAAAAGAGGCTCTAGCAGCATAGTGGTTTAGAGGAGATGTTTCTTTCCTTCACAGATGCCTTAGCCTCAATAAGCTTGCGGTTGTGGAAGTTTACTTTCAGAACAAACTCCTGTGGGGCTAGAATTATTGATGGCTAAAAGAAGCCCGGGGGAGGGAAAAATCATTCAGCATCCTCACCCTTAGTGACACAAAACAGAGGGGGCCTGGTTTTCCATATTTCCTCATGATGGATGATCTCGTTAATGAAGGTGGTCTGACGAGATCATTGCTTCTTCCATTTAAGCCTTGCTCACTTGCCAATCCTCAGTTTTAACCTTCTCCAGAGAAATACACATTTTTTATTCAGGAAACATACTATGTTATAGTTTCAATACTAAATAATCAAAGTACTGAAGATAGCATGCATAGGCAAGAAAAAGTCCTTAGCTTTATGTTGCTGTTGTTTCAGAATTTAAAAAAGATCACCAAGTCAAGGACTTCTCAGTTCTAGCACTAGAGGTGGAATCTTAGCATATAATCAGAGGTTTTTCAAAATTTCTAGACATAAGATTCAAAGCCCTGCACTTAAAATAGTCTCATTTGAATTAACTCTTTATATAAATTGAAAGCACATTCTGAACTACTTCAGAGTATTGTTTTATTTCTATGTTCTTAGTTCATAAATACATTAGGCAATGCAATTTAATTAAAAAAACCCAAGAATTTCTTAGAATTTTAATCATGAAAATAAATGAAGGCATCTTTACTTACTCAAGGTCCCAAAAGGTCAAAGAAACCAGGAAAGTAAAGCTATATTTCAGCGGAAAATGGGATATTTATGAGTTTTCTAAGTTGACAGACTCAAGTTTTAACCTTCAGTGCCCATCATGTAGGAAAGTGTGGCATAACTGGCTGATTCTGGCTTTCTACTCCTTTTTCCCATTAAAGATCCCTCCTGCTTAATTAACATTCACAAGTAACTCTGGTTGTACTTTAGGCACAGTGGCTCCCGAGGTCAGTCACACAATAGGATGTCTGTGCTCCAAGTTGCCAGAGAGAGAGATTACTCTTGAGAATGAGCCTCAGCCCTGGCTCAAACTCACCTGCAAACTTCGTGAGAGATGAGGCAGAGGTACACTACGAAAGCAACAGTTAGAAGCTAAATGATGAGAACACATGGACTCATAGAGGGAAACAACGCATACTGGGGCCTATCAGAGGGTGGAGGGTGAGAGAAGGAGAGGATCAGGAAAAATCACTAATGGATGCTAAGCGTAATACCTGAGTGATGAGATCATCTATACAACAAACCCCCTTGACATTCATTTATCTATGTAACAAACCTGCACATCCTGTACATGTACCCCTGAACTTAAAATAAAAGTTGAAAACAAGAAAGCAACAGTTTGAACACTTGTTATGGTCTATTCTCTCATTCTTTACAATTACACTAGAAAATAGCCACAGGCTTCCTGCAAGGCAGCCACAGAATTTATGACTTGTGATATCCAAGTCATTCCTGGATAATGCAAAATCTAACACAAAATCTAGTAGAATCATTTGCTTACATCTATTTTTGTTCTGAGAATATAGATTTAGATACATAATGGAAGCAGAATAATTTAAAATCTGGCTAATTTAGAATCCTAAGCAGCTCTTTTCCTATCAGTGGTTTACAAGCCTTGTTTATATTTTTCCTATTTTAAAAATAAAAATAAAGTAAGTTATTTGTGGTAAAGAATATTCATTAAAGTATTTATTTCTTAGATAATACCATGAAAAACATTCAGTGAAGTGAAGGGCCTACTTTACTTAACAAGAATCTAATTTATATAATTTTTCATACTAATAGCATCTAAGAACAGTACAATATTTGACTCTTCAGGTTAAACATATGTCATAAATTAGCCAGAAAGATTTAAGAAAATATTGGATGTTTCCTTGTTTAAATTAGGCATCTTACAGTTTTTAGAATCCTGCATAGAACTTAAGAAATTACAAATGCTAAAGCAAACCCAAACAGGCAGGAATTAATCTTCATCGAATTTGGGTGTTTCTTTCTAAAAGTCCTTTATACTTAAATGTCTTAAGACATACATAGATTTTATTTTACTAATTTTAATTATATAGACAATAAATGAATATTCTTACTGATTACTTTTTCTGACTGTCTAATCTTTCTGATCTATCCTGGATGGCCATAACACTTATCTCTCTGAACTTTGGGCTTTTAATATAGGAAAGAAAAGCAATAATCCATTTTTCATGGTATCTCATATGATAAACAAATAAAATGCTTAAAAATGAGCAGGTGAAGCAATTTATCTTGAACCAACAAGCATCGAAGCAATAATGAGACTGCCCGCAGCCTACCTGACTTCTGAGTCAGGATTTATAAGCCTTGTTACTGAGACACAAACCTGGGCCTTTCAATGCTATAACCTTTCTTGAAGCTCCTCCCTACCACCTTTAGCCATAAGGAAACATGGAATGGGTCAGATCCCTGGATGCAAGCCAGGTCTGGAACCATAGGCAGTAAGGAGAGAAGAAAATGTGGGCTCTGCAACTGGCTCCGAGGGAGCAGGAGAGGATCAACCCCATACTCTGAATCTAAGAGAAGACTGGTGTCCATACTCTGAATGGGAAGAATGATGGGATTACCCATAGGGCTTGTTTTAGGGAGAAACCTGTTCTCCAAACTCTTGGCCTTGAGATACCTGGTCCTTATTCCTTGGACTTTGGCAATGTCTGACCCTCACATTCAAGTTCTGAGGAAGGGCCACTGCCTTCATACTGTGGATCTGTAGCAAATTCCCCCTGAAAACCCAGAGCTGTATCTTAATTGGTTAAAAAAAATTATATTATCTCAACGACTGTTCTTCTCTGAGTAGCCAAGCTCAGCTTGGTTCAAGCTACAAGCAGCTGAGCTGCTTTTTGTCTAGTCATTGTTCTTTTATTTCAGTGGATCAAATACGTTCTTTCCAAACCTAGGATCTTGTCTTCCTAGGCTATATATTTTGTCCCAGGAAGTCTTAATCTGGGGTCCACAGAACACTAGGGGGCTGGTGAAGTTTATAGAAAAAAAATCTGTATTTTTACTTACATGTAACTGAAATTTAGCATTTTCTTCTACTTTGAATGCAAAGGACAAACTAGAATGACATCATCAGTACCTATTGCATAGTTATAAAGAGAAACCACAGATATTTTCATACTACACCATAGGTATTGCAGATCTTTTTGTTTTTGTTTTTGTTTGAGATGGAGTTTCGCTCTTATTGCCCAGGCTGGAGTGCAGTGGCATGATTTCGGCTCACTGCAACCTCCCCTTCCTGCATTCAAGCAATTCTCCTGCCTTGGCCTCCTGAGTAGCTGGGGATTACAGGCACCTGCCACCATGCCAGTCTAATTTTTGTATTTTTAGTAGAGATGGGGTTTCGCCATGTTGGCCAGGCTGGTCTTGAACTCCTGACCTCAGATGATCTGCCCGCCTTGGCCTCCTGAAGTGCTGGGATTATAGGTGTGAGCCACCACGCCTGGCCCATTGCAGATATTTTTAATTCACATTTATCTGCATCACTACTTGGATCTTAAGGTAGCTGTAGACCCAATCCTAGATCTAATGCTTTCATAAAGAAGCAAATATAATAAATACTATACCACAAATGTAATGTTTGATGTCTGATAATGATATTTCAGTGTAATTAAACTTAGCACTCCTATGTATATTATTTGATGCAATAAAAACATATTTTTTTAGCACTTACAGTCTGCCAAACTGGCCTGTGACACAAAAAAAGTTTAGGAATTCCTGGTTTTGTCTGTGTTAGCCAATGGTTAGAATATATGCTCAGAAAGATACCATTGGTTAATAGCTAAAAGAAAATGGAGTAGAAATTCAGTGGCCTGGAATAATAACAATTTGGGCAGTCATTAAGTCAGGTGAAGACTTCTGGAATCATGGGAGAAAAGCAAGGGAGACATTCTTACTTGCCACAAGTGTTTTTTTTTTTTTTTTTTTTTATCACAAACATAAGAAAATATAATAAATAACAAAGTCAGGTTATAGAAGAGAGAAACGCTCTTAGTAAACTTGGAATATGGAATCCCCAAAGGCACTTGACTTGGGAGACAGGAGCCATACTGCTAAGTGAAAAAGACGAAGAACCTCTAGGGCCTGAACATACAGGAAATTGTAGGAACAGAAATTCCTAGATCTGGTGGGGCAAGGGGAGCCATAGGAGAAAGAAATGGTAGAAATGGATGGAGACGGAGGCAGAGGTGGGCAGATCATGAGGTCAAGAGATCGAGACCATCCTGGCAAACATGGTGAAATCCCGTCTCTACTAAAAATAAAAAAATTAGCTGGGCATGGTGGCATGCGCCTGTAGTCCCAGCTGCTCGGGAGGCTGAGGCAGGAGAATCGTTTGAACCCAGGAGGCGAAGGTTGCAGTGAGCTGAGATAGTGCCATTGCACTCCAGTCTGGCAACAGAGTGAGACTCCGTCTCAAAAAAAAAAAAAAAAGAAAGAAAGAAAAGAAAAAGAAAAAAGAAAAAATAAATGGATGTAGAACAAGCCAGAAGGAGGAACTGGGCTGGGGCAATGAGATTATGGTGATGTAAGGGACTTTTATAGAATTAACAATGCTGGAATTTGTGGAACTCTGCTTCTATTATTCCCCCAATCATTACTTCTGTCACATTGATAGTTAAATAATTTCTGTGAATTTATTCCTTGATTCTAAAATATGAGGATAATGACAATGGTATTATAAGGGCAGATTAAGTGATATAGCATGAGCAATATTCTTCAGGCACATGGATCGAATTGAATACACTGTAAATCCCAACTTCCAGTTTCAGCTCTACCAAGTAAAGAGCTAGCAAGTCATCAAAATGGGGACATACAGAAAAAAAAAAGGACACTAGAGGAATAATATACCCTGACTCCTAGCCTGATTAATATATCGATTCACTTTTTTCTCTGTTTGATGACAAATTCTGGCTTTAAATAATTTTAGGATTTTAGGCTTCTCAGCTCCCTTCCCAGTGAGAAGTATAAGCAGGACAGACAGGCAAGCAAGAAGAGAGCCCCAGGCAATACTCACAAAGTAGCCAATGTCCCCTGTGGTCATAGAGAAATGAAAAGAGAGAGGATTCTCTGGAAGCACTGGATGTAATCTTTTCTGTCTGTCCTCTCTAGGGAATCACCCCAAGGTACTGTACTTTGGGATTAAGGCTTTAGTCCCACTGTGGACTACTTGCTATTCTGTTCAGTTTCTAGAAGGAACTATGTACGGTTTTTGTCTCCCTAGAGAAACTAAGGTACAGAAGTTTTGTTTACAATGCACTCCTTAAGAGAGCTAGAACTGGGTGAGATTCTGTTTTAACAGCTTTATTTTCTTTTCCTTGGCCCTGTTTTTGTCACTGTCACCACCTTTAAGGCAAATGTTAAATGCGCTTTGGCTGAAACTTTTTTTCCTATTTTGAGATTTGCTCCTTTATATGAGGCTTTCTTGGAAAAGGAGAATGGGAGAGATGGATATCATTTTGGAAGATGATGAAGAGGGTAAAAAAGGGGACAAATGGAAATTTGTGTTGCAGATAGATGAGGAGCCAACAAAAAAGAGCCTCAGGATCCAGCACACATTATCACAAACTTAGTGTCCATCCATCACTGCTGACCCTCTCCGGACCTGACTCCACCCCTGAGGGACACAGGTCAGCCTTGACCAATGACTTTTAAGTACCATGGAGAACAGGGGGCCAGAACTTCGGCAGTAAAGAATAAAAGGCCAGACAGAGAGGCAGCAGCACATATCTGCTTCCGACACAGCTGCAATCACTAGCAAGCTCTCAGGCCTGGCATCATGGTGCATTTTACTGCTGAGGAGAAGGCTGCCGTCACTAGCCTGTGGAGCAAGATGAATGTGGAAGAGGCTGGAGGTGAAGCCTTGGGCAGGTAAGCATTGGTTCTCAATGCATGGGAATGAAGGGTGAATATTACCCTAGCAAGTTGATTGGGAAAGTCCTCAAGATTTTTTGCATCTCTAATTTTGTATCTGATATGGTGTCATTTCATAGACTCCTCGTTGTTTACCCCTGGACCCAGAGATTTTTTGACAGCTTTGGAAACCTGTCGTCTCCCTCTGCCATCCTGGGCAACCCCAAGGTCAAGGCCCATGGCAAGAAGGTGCTGACTTCCTTTGGAGATGCTATTAAAAACATGGACAACCTCAAGCCCGCCTTTGCTAAGCTGAGTGAGCTGCACTGTGACAAGCTGCATGTGGATCCTGAGAACTTCAAGGTGAGTTCAGGTGCTGGTGATGTGATTTTTTGGCTTTATATTTTGACATTAATTGAAGCTCATAATCTTATTGGAAAGACCAACAAAGATCTCAGAAATCATGGGTCGAGCTTGATGTTAGAACAGCAGACTTCTAGTGAGCATAACCAAAACTTACATGATTCAGAACTAGTGACAGTAAAGGACTACTAACAGCCTGAATTGGCTTAACTTTTCAGGAAATCTTGCCAGAACTTGATGTGTTTATCCCAGAGAATTGTATTATAGAATTGTAGACTTGTGAAAGAAGAATGAAATTTGGCTTTTGGTAGATGAAAGTCCATTTCAAGGAAATAGAAATGCCTTATTTTATGTGGGTCATGATAATTGAGGTTTAGAAAGAGATTTTTGCAAAAAAAATAAAAGATTTGCTCAAAGAAAAATAAGACACATTTTCTAAAATATGTTAAATTTCCCATCAGTATTGTGACCAAGTGAAGGCTTGTTTCCGAATTTGTTGGGGATTTTAAACTCCCGCTGAGAACTCTTGCAGCACTCACATTCTACATTTACAAAAATTAGACAATTGCTTAAAGAAAAACAGGGAGAGAGGGAACCCAATAATACTGGTAAAATGGGGAAGGGGGTGAGGGTGTAGGTAGGTAGAATGTTGAATGTAGGGCTCATAGAATAAAATTGAACCTAAGCTCATCTGAATTTTTTGGGTGGGCACAAACCTTGGAACAGTTTGAGGTCAGGGTTGTCTAGGAATGTAGGTATAAAGCCGTTTTTGTTTGTTTGTTTGTTTTTTCATCAAGTTGTTTTCGGAAACTTCTACTCAACATGCCTGTGTGTTATTTTGTCTTTTGCCTAACAGCTCCTGGGTAACGTGATGGTGATTATTCTGGCTACTCACTTTGGCAAGGAGTTCACCCCTGAAGTGCAGGCTGCCTGGCAGAAGCTGGTGTCTGCTGTCGCCATTGCCCTGGCCCATAAGTACCACTGAGTTCTCTTCCAGTTTGCAGGTGTTCCTGTGACCCTGACACCCTCCTTCTGCACATGGGGACTGGGCTTGGCCTTGAGAGAAAGCCTTCTGTTTAATAAAGTACATTTTCTTCAGTAATCAAAAATTGCAATTTTATCTTCTCCATCTTTTACTCTTGTGTTAAAAGGAAAAAGTGTTCATGGGCTGAGGGATGGAGAGAAACATAGGAAGAACCAAGAGCTTCCTTAAGAAATGTATGGGGGCTTGTAAAATTAATGTGGATGTTATGGGAGAATTCCAGGATTCCAAGGAGGATGATATGATGGAGAAAAATCTTTATCGGGGTGGGAAAATGGTTAATTAAGTGGACAGAGACTCCTAGGCAGTTTTTACTGCACCGGGGAAAGAAGGAGCTGTTAGTGGTACCTGAGAAAGCAGATTTGTGGTACATGTCACTTTTCATTAAAAACAAAAACAAAACAAAACAAAACTTCATAGATATCCAAGATATAGGCTAGAATTACTATTTTAATTTACTCTTATTTACATTTTGAAGTAGCTAGCTTGTCACATGTTTTATGAAATTGATTTGGAGATAAGATGAGTGTGTATCAACAATAGCCTGCTCTTTCCATGAAGGATTCCATTATTTCATGGGTTAGCTGAAGCTAAGACACATGATATCATTGTGCATTATCTTCTGATAGAATGTAACATGCACTAAAATAAAGTTAGAGTTAGGACCTGAGTGGGAAAGTTTTTGGAGAGTGTGATGAAGACTTTCCGTGGGAGATAGAATACTAATAAAGGCTTAAATTCTAAAACCAGCAAGCTAGGGCTTCGTGACTTGCATGAAACTGGCTCTCTGGAAGTAGAAGGGAGAGTAAGACATACGTAGAGGACTAGGAAAGACCAGATAGTACAGGGCCTGGCTACAAAAATACAAGCTTTTACTATGCTATTGCAATACTAAACGATAAGCATTAGGATGTTAAGTGACTCAGGAAATAAGATTTTGGGAAAAAGTAATCTGCTTATGTGCACAAAATGGATTCAAGTTTGCAGATAAAATAAAATATGGATGATGATTCAAGGGGACAGATACAATGGTTCAAACCCAAGAGGAGCAGTGAGTCTGTGGAATTTGAAGGATGGACAAAGGTGGGGTGAGAAAGACATAGTATTCGACTGACTGTGGGAGATGAGAAGGAAGAAGGAGGTGATAAATGACTGAAAGCTCCCAGACTGGTGAAGATAACAGGAGGAAACCATGCACTGACCTGGTGACTCTCATGTGTGAAGGGTAGAGGGATATTAACAGATTTACTTTTTAGGAAGTGCTAGATTGGTCAGGGAGTTTTGACCTTCAGGTCTTGTGTCTTTCATATCAAGGAACCTTTGCATTTTCCAAGTTAGAGTGCCATATTTTGGCAAATATAACTTTATTAGTAATTTTATAGTGCTCTCACATTGATCAGACTTTTTCCTGTGAATTACTTTTGAATTTGGCTGTATATATCCAGAATATGGGAGAGAGACAAATAATTATTGTAGTTGCAGGCTATCAACAATACTGGTCTCTCTGAGCCTTATAACCTTTCAATATGCCCATAAACAGAGTAAACAGGGATTATTCATGGCACTAAATATTTTCACCTAGTCAGTCAACAAATGGGAGCAATGTGCATTTTTTGATACATATTTTTATATATTTATGGGGTACATGTGATACTTACATGCCTAGAACATGTGATGATTAAGTCTAGATATTTAGGATATCCATTGCTTTGAGCATTTATCATTTCTATGTATTGAGAAAATTTCAAATCCTCATTTCTAGCCATTTTGAAATATATAATAAATAGTAATTAACTATAGTCACCCTACTCAAATATCAAACATTATGGCTTAATCCTTCTATCCAACTGTGTTTGTACCTATTAACCAACATCTCTTAAATCCCCTCCCATACACACTCACACTTTTTCCAGCCTCTGATAACTATCATTCTACTCTCTACCACCATGAGACCCACTTTTTTAGCTCCCACAGATGAATAAAAACATGTGATATTTGACTTTCTGTATCTGGCTTATTTTATTATCTATCTCTTTGGCATACCAAGAGTTTGTTTTTGTTCTGCTTCAGGGCTTTCAATTAACATAATGACCTCTGGTTCCATCCATGTTGCTACAAATGACAAGATTTCATTCTTTTTCATGGCAAAATAGTACTGTGCAAAAATACAATTTTTTAATCCGTTCATCTGTTGATAGACACTTAGGTTGATCCCAAACCTTAACTATTGTGAATAGTGCTTCAATAAACATGAGTGTAATGTGTCCATTGGATATACTGATTTCCTTTCTTTTGGATAAATAACCACTAGTGAGATTGCTGGATTGTATGATAGTTCTGTTTTTAGTTTACTGAGAAATCTTCATACTGTTTTCCATAATGGTTGTACTATTTTACATTCCCACCAACAGTGTGTAAGAAAGAGTTCCCTTTTCTCCATATCCTCACAAGGATCTGTTATTTTTTGTCTTTTTTGTTAATAGCCGTTTTAACTAGAGTAAGTAGATATCTCATTGTAGTTTTGATTTGCATTTCCCTGATCATTAGTGATGTTGAGAATTTTTTCATATGTTTGTTGGTCATTTGTATATCTTTTTCTGAGAATTGTCTGTTCATGTCCTTAGCCTACTTTTTATTGGGATTGTTTGTTATTTTCTTGATAATCTATTTGTGTTCATTTTAGAGCCTGGATATTATTCTTTTGTCAGATGTATAGATTGTGAAGATTTTCTCCCACTCTGTGGGTTGTCTGTTTATTCTGCAGACTCTTCCTTTTGCCATGCAAAAGCTCTTTAGTTTAATTTAGTCCCAGATATTTTCTTTGTTTTTATGTATTTGCATTTGTGTTCTTGGTCATGAAATCCTTTCCTAAGCCAATGTGTAGAAGGGTTTTTCCGATGTTATTTTCTAGAATTGTTACAGTTTCAGGGCTTAGATTTAAGTCCTTGATCCATCTTGAGTTGATTTTTGTATAAGGTGAGAGATGAAGATCCAGTTTCATTCTCCTACATGTAGCTTGCCAGCTATCCCCGCACCATTTGTTGAATAGGGTGCCCTTTCCCCACTTTATGTTTTTGTTTGCTTTGTCAAAGATCAGTTGGATGTAAGTATTTGAGTTTATTTCTGGGTTCTCTATTCTGTTCCATTGGTCGATGTGCCTATTTGTACACCAGCATCATGCTGTTTTGGTGACTATGGCCTTATTGTATAGTTTGAAATGAGGTAATGTAATGCCTTCAGATTTGTTCTTTTTTTTAGACTTGCTTGTTTATTGGGCTCTTTTTTGGTTCCATAAGAATTTTAGGATTGTTTTTTCTAGTTCTGTGAAGACTAATGGTGGTATTTTGATGGGAATTGCAATGAATTTGTAGGTTGCTTCTGGCATTATGGCCATTTTCACAATATTGATTCTACCCATCTATGAGAATGGCATGTGTTTCCATTTGTTTGTGTCTTATATGATTACTTTCAGCCGTGTTTTGTAGTTTTCCTTGTAGATGTCTTTCACCTCCTTGGTTAGGTATATATTCCTAAGTTTTTGTTTTGTTTTGTTTTGTTTTTTGCAGCTATTGTAAAAGGGGTTGAGTTCTTGATTTTATTCTCAGCTTGGTCATTGCTGGTATGTAAGAAAGCAACTCATTGGTGTACGTTAATTTTGTATCCAGAAACTTTGCTGAATTATTTTATCAGTTCTAGGGGGTTTTGGAGGAGTCTTTAGAGTTTTCTACATACACAATCATATCATCAGCAAACAGTGACAGTTTGACTTTCTCTTTAACAATTTGGATGTGCTTTACTTGTTTCTCTTGTCTGATTGCTCTTGCTAGGACTTCCAGTAATATGTTAAAGAGAAGTGGTGAGAGTGGGTATCCTTGTCTCATTCCAGTTTTCAGACAGAATGCTTTTAACTTTTTCCCATTCAATATAATGTTGGCTGTGTGTTTACCATAGCTGGCTTTTATTACATTGAGGTATGTCCTTTGTAAACCGATTTTGCTGAGTTTTAGTCATAAAGTGATGTTGAATTTTGTTGAATGCAGTTTCTGTGGCTATTGAGATAATCACATGATTTTTGTTTCCAATTCTCTTTATGTTGTGTATCACACTTATTGACTTGCGTATGTTAAACCATCCGTGCATCCCTCGCATGAAACCCACTTGATCATGGGTTTTGATATGCTGTCGGATGCTATTAGCTAGTATTTTGTCAAGGATGTTGGCATCTATGTTCATCAGGGATATTGATCTGTAGTGTTTTTTTTTTTTGGTTATGTTCTTTCCCAGTTTTGGTATTAAGGTGATACTGGCTTCATAGAATGATTTAGGGAGGATTCTCTCTTTCTCTATCTTGTAGAATACTGTCAATAGGATTGGTATCAATTCTTCTTTGAATGTCTGGTAGAATTCAGCTGTGAATCTATCTGGTCCTGGACTTTTTTGTTGTTGGTAAATTTTTATTATCATTTCAGTCTTGCTGCTTATTACTGGTCTGTTCAGGGTATCTAATTCTTCCTGACTTAAGCTAGAGCCCTGTATCTTTCCAGGAATTCGAACGTCTCCTTTAGGTTTTCTAGTTTATGCATGTAAAGGTGTTCATAGTAGCCTTGAATAATCTTTTGTATTTCTGTGGTATCAGTAATAGTATCTCCTGTTTTGTTTCTAATTGAGTTTATTTGCACTTCTCTCCTCTTTTCTTGGTTAATCTTGCTAATGGTCTATCAGTTTTATTTATCTTTTCAAAGAACCAGCTTTTTATTTCATTTAGCTTTTGTATTTTTTTGCAGTTGTTTTAATTTCATTTAGTTCTCCTCTTATCTTAGTTATTCCCTTTCTTTTGCTGGGTTTTGGTTCTGTTTGTTTTTGTTTCTCTAGTTTCTTGTGGTGTGACCTTATATTGTCTGTCTGTCCTCTTTCAGACTCTTTGACATCGACATTTAGGGCTGTGAACTTTCCTTTTAGCACCATCTTTGCTGTATCCTAGAGGTTTTGATAGGTTGTGTCACTATTGTCGGTCAGTTCAAGTAATTTTGTTGTTCTTATTATACTTTAAGTTCTGGGATACATGTGCAGAATGTGCAGGTTTGTTACATAGGTATAGATGTGCCATGGTGGTTTGCTGCACCCATCAACCTGTCATCTACATTAGGTATTTCTTTTAATGTTATCCCTCTCCTAACCCCCTCACCCCCCGACAGGCCCTGGTGTGTGATGTTCCCCTCCCTGTGTCCATGTGTTCTCATTGTTCAACTCCCACTTATGAGTGAGAACGTGTGGTGTTTGGTTTCTCTGTTCCTGTGTTAGTTTGCTCAGAATGATGGTTTCCACCTTCATCCATGTCCCTGCAAAGACATGAACTCATCATTTTTATGGCTGCATAGTATTCCATGGTGTATATGTGCCACATTTTCTTTATCCATTATATCGCTGATGGCCATTTGGGTTGGTTCCAAGTCTTTGCTATTGTGAATAGTGCCACAATAAACATACGTGTGCACGTGTCTTTATAGTAGAATGATTTCTAATTCTTTGGGTATATACCCAGTAATGGGATTGCTGGGTCAAACAGTATTTCTGGTTCTAGATCCTTGAGGAATCGCCACACTGTCTTCCACAATGGTTGAACTAATTTACACACCCATCAACAGTGTAAAATTTTTCCTATTCTTCCACATCCTCTCCAGCACCTTTTGTTTCCTGACTTTTTAATAATTGCCATTCTAACTGGCATGAGATGGTATCTCATTGTGGTTTTGATTTGCATTTCTCTAATGACCAGTGATGATGAGCTTCTTTTCATGTGTTTCTTGGCCACATAAATGACTTCTTTAGAGAAGCATCTGTTCATATCCTTTGTCCACTTTTTGATGGGGTCGTTAGGTTTTTTCTTGTAAATTTGTTGAAGTTCTTTGTAGATTTTGGATGTTAGCCCTTTGTCAGATGGATAGATTGCAAAAATTTTCTCCCATTCTGTAGGTTGCCTGTTCACTCTGATGATAGTCTTTTGCTGTGCAGAAGCTCTTTAGTTTAATTAGATCCCATATGTCAATTTTGGCCTTTGTTGTCATTGCTTTTGATGTTTTAGTCGTGAATTTTTGCCCATGCCTATGTCCTGAATGGTATTGCCTAGGTTATCTTCTAGGATTTTTATGGTTTTAGGTTGCACATTTAAGTCTTTAATCCACCTTGAGTTAATTTTTGTATAAGGTGTAAGGAAGGGGTACAGTTTCAGTTTTATGCATATTGCTAGCCAGTTTTTCCAGCACCATTTATTAAATAGGGAATTCTTTCTCCATTGCTTTTGTGATGTTTGTCAAAGATCAGATGGTCGTAGATGTGTGGCATTATTTCTGAGGCTTCTGTTCTGTTCCACTGGTCTATATATCTGTTTTGGTACCAGTACCATGCTGTTTTTGTTACTGTAGCCTTGTAGTATAGTTTGAAGTCAGGTAGCATCATGCCTCCAGCTTTGTTCTTTTTGTTTAGGATTGTCTTGGCTATATGGGCTCTTTTTTGATTCCATATGACATTTAAAGTAGTTTTTTCTAATTCTTTGAAAAAAGTCAGTGGTAGCTTGATGGGGATAGCATTGAATCTATAAATTACTTTGGGCAGTATGGCCATTTTAAAGATATTGATTCTTTCTATCTATGAGCATGGAATGTTTTTCCATTTGTTTGTGTCCTCTCTTATTTCCTTGAGCAGTGAGTGGTTTGTAGCTCTCCTTGAAGAGGTTCTTCACATCCCTTAGAAGTTGTATTTCTAGGTATTTTATTTTATTCTCTTTGCAGCAATTGTGAATGGGAGTTCACCCATGATTTGGCTCTCTGCTTGTCTATTATTGGTGTATAGGAACGCTTGTGATTTCTGCACACTGATTTTGTATCTTGAGACTTTGCTGAAGCTGTTTATCAGCTTAAGATTTTGGGCTGAGATGACAGGGTCTTCTAAATATACAATCATGTCATCTGCAAACAGAGACAATTTGACTTCCTCTCTTCCTATTTGAATATGCTTTATTTCTTTCTCTTGCCTGATTGTCCTGGCGAGAACTTCCAATACTATGTTGAGTAAGAGTGGCGAGAGGGCATCCTTGTCTTGTGCCGGTTTTCAAAGCAAATGATTTTTAAATTTCCATCTTGATTTCATTGTTGACCCAATGATCATTCAGGAGCAGGTTATTTAATTTCCCTGTATTTGCATGGTTTTGAAGGTTCCTTTTGTAGTTGATTTCCAATTTTATTCTACTGTGGTCTGAGAGAGTGCTTGATATAATTTCAATTTTTAAAAATTTATTGAGGCTTGTTTTGTGGCATATCATATGGCCTATCTTGGAGAAAGTTCCATGTGCTGATGAATAGAATGTGTATTCTGCAGTTGTTGGGTAGAATGTCCTGTAAATATCTGTTAAGTCCATTTGTTCTTTAAATCCATTGTTTCTTTGTAGACTGTCTTGATGACCTGCCTAGTGCAGTCAGTGGAGTATTGAAGTCCCCCACTATTATTATGTTGCTGTCTAGTCTAGTAGTAATTGTTTTATAAATTTGGGATCTCCAGTATTAGATGCATATATATTAAGAATTGTAATATTCTCCCATTGGACAAGGGCTTTTATCATTATATGATGTCCCTCTTTGTCTTTTTTAACTGCTGTTTCTTTAAAGTTTGTTTTGTCTGACATAAGAATAGCTGCTTTGGCTCGCTTTTGGTGTCCATTTGTGTGGAATGTCATTTTCCACCCCTTTACCTTAAGTTTATGTGAGTCCTTATGTGTTAGGTGAGTCTCCTGAAGGCGGCAGATAACTGGTTGGTGAATTCTTATTCATTCTGCAATTCTGTATCTTTTAAGTGGAGCATTTAGTCCATTTACATTCAACATCAGTATTGAGGTGTGAGGTACTATTCCATTCTTCGTGGTATTTGTTGCCTGTGTATCTTTTTATCTGTATTTTTGTTGTATATGTCCTATGGGATTTATGCTTTAAAGAGGTTCTGTTTTGATGTGCTTCCAGGGTTTATTTCAAGATTTAGAGCTCCTTTTATCAGTTCTTGTAGTGTTGGCTTGGTAGTGCCGAATTCTCTCAGCATTTGTTTTTCTGAAAAACACTGTGTATTTTCTTCATTTGTGAAGCTTAGTTTCACTGGATATAAAATTCTTGGCTGATAATTGTTTTGTTTAAGAAGGCTGAAGATAGGGCCATATTCACTTCTAGCTTTTACGGTTTCTGCTGAGAAATCTGCTGTTAATCTGATAGGTTTTCTTTCATAGGTTACCTGGTAGTTTCACCTCACAGCTCTTAAGATTCTCTTTGTCTTTAGATAACTTTGGATACTCTGATGACAATGTACCTAGGCAATGATATTTTTGCAATGAATTTCCCAGGTGTTTATTGAGCTTCTTGTATTTGGATATCTAGGTCTCTAGCAAGGTGGGGGAAGTTTTCCTTGATTATTTCCCTGGATAAGTTTTCCAAACTTTTAGATTTCTCTTCTTTCTCAGGAATGCTGATTATTCTTAGGTTTGATTGTTTAACATAATCCCAGATTTCTTGGAGGCTTTGTTCATATTTTCTTATTCTTTTTTCTTTGTCTTTGTTGGATTGGGTTAATTCAAAAACTTTGTCTTCAAGCTCTGAATTTCTTCTGCTTGGATTCTATTGCTGAGACTTTCTAGAGCATTTTGCATTTCTATAAGTGCATCCATTCATCCATTGTTTCCTGAAGTTTTGAATGTTTTTTATTTATGCTATCTCTTTAACTGAAGATTTCTCCCCTCATTTCTTGTATCATATTTTTGGTTTTTTTAAAATTGGACTTCACCTTCCTCGGATGCCTCCTTGATTAGCTTAATAACTGACCTTCTGAATTATTTTTCAGGTAAATCAGGGATTTCTTCTTGGTTTGGATGCATTGCTGGTGAGCTAGTATGATTTTTTGGGGGGTGTTAAAGAACCTTGTTTTTCATATTACCAGAGTTAGTTTTCTGGTTCCTTCTCACTTGGGTAGGCTCTGTCAGAGGGAAAGTCTAGGCCTCAAGGCTGAGACTTTTGTCCCATGAGGTGTTCCCTTGATGTAGCACAGTCCCCCTTTTCCTAGGCGTGGGGCTTCCTGAGAGCCGAACTGTAGTGATTGTTATCTCTCTTCTGGATCTAGCCACCCATCAGGTCTACCAGACTCCAGGCTGGTACTGGGGTTTGTCTGCACAGAGTCTTGTGACGTGAACCATCTGTGGGTCTCTCAGCCATAGATACAACCACCTGCTCCAATGGAGGTGGCAGAGGATGAAATGGACTCTGTGAGGGTCCTTACTTTTGGTTGTTCAATGCACTATTTTTGTGCTGGTTGGCCTCCTGCCAGGAGGTGGCACTTTCTAGAAAGCATCAGCAGAGGCAGTCAGGTGGTGGTGGCTGGGGGGGCTGGGGCACCCTAGAACTCCCAAGAATATATGCCCTTTGTCTTCAGCTACCAGGGTGAGTAAGGAAGGACCATCAGGTGGGGGCAGGACTAGTCGTGTCTGAGCTCAGAGTCTCCTTGGGCAGGTCTTTCTGTGGCTACTGTGGGAGGATGGGGGTGTAGTTTCCAGGTCAATGGATTTATGTTCCTAGGACAATTATGGCTGCCTCTGCTGTGTCATGCAGGTCATCAGGAAAGTGGGGGAAAGCAAGCAGTCACGTGACTTGCCCAGCTCCCATGCAACTCAAAAGGTTGGTCTCACTTCCAGCGTGCACCCTCCCCCGCAACAGCACCGAATCTGTTTCCATGCAGTCAGTGAGCAAGGCTGAGAACTTGCCCCAGGCTACCAGCTGCGAAACCAAGTAGGGCTGTCCTACTTCCCTGCCAGTGGAGTCTGCACACCAAATTCATGTCCCCCCACCAACCCCCCCACTGCCCAGCCCCTAGATCTGGCCAGGTGGAGATTTTCTTTTTCCTGTCATCTTTTCCCAGTTCCTCTGGCAGCCCTCCCAAATGACCCCTGTGAGGCAAGGCAGAAATGGCTTCCTAGGGGACCCAGAGAGCCCACAGGGCTTTTCCCGCTGCTTCCTCTACCCCTGTATTTTGCTTGGCCCTCTAAATTGACTCAGCTCCAGGTAAGGTCAGAATCTTCTCCTGTGGTCTAGATCTTCAGGTTCCCCAGTGAGGATGTGTGTTTGGGGGTAGACGGTCCCCCTTTTCCACTTCCACAGTTTGGGCACTCACAATATTTGGGGTGTTTCCCGGGTCCTGCAGGAGCAATCTGCTTCTTTCAGAGGGTGTGTGCGTTCTCTCAGCTTTCTTGATTTATTTCTGCAGGTGGTTCTGCAAAAAAAATTCCTGATGGGAGACTTCACATGCTGCTCTGTGCATCCGAGTGGGAGCTGCAATGTACTTCTGCTGCCTCCCATCTGCCATCACCCTCTAATTTGTCGGTAATATGCATTTTTAATCAATCTTTTTTTCTCTCTCTCTCTTTTTCTTCTCCCCCAAAACTATACTGCCCTTTGATATCAAGGAATCAAGGACGTGATGTTGAGGGGTGGGCAGTGGATACACTCTTTACCCCTTAGGGAGCTATATCTAGATTTAGATATTGCCAATTCAAGATAACTTAATTGAAAGCAAATTCATAATGAATACACACACACACACACACATCTGCATGACAAGATTTTTAATAGTTGAAAGAATAACTAATAATTGTCCACAGGCAATAAGGGCTTTTTAAGCAAAACAGTTGTGATAAACAGGTCATTCTTAGAATAGTAATCCAGCCAATAGTACAGGTTGCTTAGAGATTATGTCATTACCAGAGTTAAAATTCTATAATGGCTTCTCACTCCCTACCACTGAGGACAAGTTTATGTCCTTAGGTTTATGCTTCCCTGAAACAATACCACCTGCTATTCTCCACTTTACATATCAACGGCACTGGTTCTTTATCTAACTCTCTGGCACAGCAGGAGTTTGTTTTCTTCTGCTTCAGAGCTTTGAATTTACTATTTCAGCTTCTAAACTTTATTTGGCAATGCCTTCCCATGGCAGATTCCTTCTGTCATTTTGCCTCTGTTCGAATACTTTCTCCTTAATTTCATTCTTAGTTAATAATATCTGAAATTATTTTGTTGTTTAACTTAATTATTAATTTTATGTATGTTCTACCTAGATTATAATCTTCAGAGGAAAGTTTTATTCTCTGACTTATTTAACTTAAATGCCCACTACTTTAAAAATTATGACATTTATTTAACAGATATTTGCTGAACAAATGTTTGAAAATACATGGGAAAGAATGCTTGAAAACACTTGAAATTGCTTGTGTAAAGAAACAGTTTTATCAGTTAGGATTTAATCAATGTCAGAAGCAATGATATAGGAAAAATCGAGGAATAAGACAGTTATGGATAAGGAGAAATCAACAAACTCTTAAAAGATATTGCCTCAAAAGCATAAGAGGAAATAAGGGTTTATACATGACTTTTAGAACACTGCCTTGGTTTTTGGATAAATGGGGAAGTTGTTTGAAAACAGGAGGGATCCTAGATATTCCTTAGTCTGAGGAGGAGCAATTAAGATTCACTTGTTTAGAGGCTGGGAGTGGTGGCTCACGCCTGTAATCCCAGAATTTTGGGAGGCCAAGGCAGGCAGATCACCTGAGGTCAAGAGTTCAAGACCAACCTGGCCAACATGGTGAAATCCCATCTCTACAAAAATACAAAAATTAGACAGGCATGATGGCAAGTGCCTGTAATCCCAGCTACTTGGGAGGCTGAGGAAGGAGAATTGCTTGAACCTGGAAGGCAGGAGTTGCAGTGAGCCGAGATCATACCACTGCACTCCAGCCTGGGTGACAGAACAAGACTCTGTCTCAAAAAAAAAAAAGAGAGATTCAAAAGATTCACTTGTTTAGGCCTTAGCGGGCTTAGACACCAGTCTCTGACACATTCTTAAAGGTCAGGCTCTACAAATGGAACCCAACCAGACTCTCAGATATGGCCAAAGATCTATACACACCCATCTCACAGATCCCCTATCTTAAAGAGACCCTAATTTGGGTTCACCTCAGTCTCTATAATCTGTACCAGCATACCAATAAAAATCTTTCTCACCCATCCTTAGATTGAGAGAAGTCACTTATTATTATGTGAGTAACTGGAAGATACTGATAAGTTGACAAATCTTTTTCTTTCCTTTCTTATTCAACTTTTATTTTAACTTCCAAAGAACAAGTGCAATATGTGCAGCTTTGTTGCGCAGGTCAACATGTATCTTTCTGGTCTTTTAGCCGCCTAACACTTTGAGCAGATATAAGCCTTACACAGGATTATGAAGTCTGAAAGGATTCCACCAATATTATTATAATTCCTATCAACCTGATAGGTTAGGGGAAGGTAGAGCTCTCCTCCAATAAGCCAGATTTCCAGAGTTTCTGACGTCATAATCTACCAAGGTCATGGATCGAGTTCAGAGAAAAAACAAAAGCAAAACCAAACCTACCAAAAAATAAAAATCCCAAAGAAAAAATAAAGAAAAAAACAGCATGAATACTTCCTGCCATGTTAAGTGGCCAATATGTCAGAAACAGCACTGAGTTACAGATAAAGATGTCTAAACTACAGTGACATCCCAGCTGTCACAGTGTGTGGACTATTAGTCAATAAAACAGTCCCTGCCTCTTAAGAGTTGTTTTCCATGCAAATACATGTCTTATGTCTTAGAATAAGATTCCCTAAGAAGTGAACCTAGCATTTATACAAGATAATTAATTCTAATCCATAGTATCTGGTAAAGAGCATTCTACCATCATCTTTACCGAGCATAGAAGAGCTACACCAAAACCCTGGGTCATCAGCCAGCACATACACTTATCCAGTGATAAATACACATCATCGGGTGCCTACATACATACCTGAATATAAAAAAAATACTTTTGCTGAGATGAAACAGGCGTGATTTATTTCAAATAGGTACGGATAAGTAGATATTGAAGTAAGGATTCAGTCTTATATTATATTACATAACATTAATCTATTCCTGCACTGAAACTGTTGCTTTATAGGATTTTTCACTACACTAATGAGAACTTAAGAGATAATGGCCTAAAACCACAGAGAGTATATTCAAAGATAAGTATAGCACTTCTTATTTGGAAACCAATGCTTACTAAATGAGACTAAGACGTGTCCCATCAAAAATCCTGGACCTATGCCTAAAACACATTTCACAATCCCTGAACTTTTCAAAAATTGGTACATGCTTTAACTTTAAACTACAGGCCTCACTGGAGCTACAGACAAGAAGGTGAAAAACGGCTGACAAAAGAAGTCCTGGTATCTTCTATGGTGGGAGAAGAAAACTAGCTAAAGGGAAGAATAAATTAGAGAAAAATTGGAATGACTGAATCGGAACAAGGCAAAGGCTATAAAAAAAATTAAGCAGCAGTATCCTCTTGGGGGCCCCTTCCCCACACTATCTCAATGCAAATATCTGTCTGAAACGGTCCCTGGCTAAACTCCACCCATGGGTTGGCCAGCCTTGCCTTGACCAATAGCCTTGACAAGGCAAACTTGACCAATAGTCTTAGAGTATCCAGTGAGGCCAGGGGCCGGCGGCTGGCTAGGGATGAAGAATAAAAGGAAGCACCCTTCAGCAGTTCCACACACTCGCTTCTGGAACGTCTGAGGTTATCAATAAGCTCCTAGTCCAGACGCCATGGGTCATTTCACAGAGGAGGACAAGGCTACTATCACAAGCCTGTGGGGCAAGGTGAATGTGGAAGATGCTGGAGGAGAAACCCTGGGAAGGTAGGCTCTGGTGACCAGGACAAGGGAGGGAAGGAAGGACCCTGTGCCTGGCAAAAGTCCAGGTCGCTTCTCAGGATTTGTGGCACCTTCTGACTGTCAAACTGTTCTTGTCAATCTCACAGGCTCCTGGTTGTCTACCCATGGACCCAGAGGTTCTTTGACAGCTTTGGCAACCTGTCCTCTGCCTCTGCCATCATGGGCAACCCCAAAGTCAAGGCACATGGCAAGAAGGTGCTGACTTCCTTGGGAGATGCCATAAAGCACCTGGATGATCTCAAGGGCACCTTTGCCCAGCTGAGTGAACTGCACTGTGACAAGCTGCATGTGGATCCTGAGAACTTCAAGGTGAGTCCAGGAGATGTTTCAGCACTGTTGCCTTTAGTCTCGAGGCAACTTAGACAACTGAGTATTGATCTGAGCACAGCAGGGTGTGAGCTGTTTGAAGATACTGGGGTTGGGAGTGAAGAAACTGCAGAGGACTAACTGGGCTGAGACCCAGTGGCAATGTTTTAGGGCCTAAGGAGTGCCTCTGAAAATCTAGATGGACAACTTTGACTTTGAGAAAAGAGAGGTGGAAATGAGGAAAATGACTTTTCTTTATTAGATTTCGGTAGAAAGAACTTTCACCTTTCCCCTATTTTTGTTATTCGTTTTAAAACATCTATCTGGAGGCAGGACAAGTATGGTCATTAAAAAGATGCAGGCAGAAGGCATATATTGGCTCAGTCAAAGTGGGGAACTTTGGTGGCCAAACATACATTGCTAAGGCTATTCCTATATCAGCTGGACACATATAAAATGCTGCTAATGCTTCATTACAAACTTATATCCTTTAATTCCAGATGGGGGCAAAGTATGTCCAGGGGTGAGGAACAATTGAAACATTTGGGCTGGAGTAGATTTTGAAAGTCAGCTCTGTGTGTGTGTGTGTGTGTGTGCGCGCGTGTGTTTGTGTGTGTGTGAGAGCGTGTGTTTCTTTTAACGTTTTCAGCCTACAGCATACAGGGTTCATGGTGGCAAGAAGATAACAAGATTTAAATTATGGCCAGTGACTAGTGCTGCAAGAAGAACAACTACCTGCATTTAATGGGAAAGCAAAATCTCAGGCTTTGAGGGAAGTTAACATAGGCTTGATTCTGGGTGGAAGCTTGGTGTGTAGTTATCTGGAGGCCAGGCTGGAGCTCTCAGCTCACTATGGGTTCATCTTTATTGTCTCCTTTCATCTCAACAGCTCCTGGGAAATGTGCTGGTGACCGTTTTGGCAATCCATTTCGGCAAAGAATTCACCCCTGAGGTGCAGGCTTCCTGGCAGAAGATGGTGACTGGAGTGGCCAGTGCCCTGTCCTCCAGATACCACTGAGCTCACTGCCCATGATGCAGAGCTTTCAAGGATAGGCTTTATTCTGCAAGCAATCAAATAATAAATCTATTCTGCTAAGAGATCACACATGGTTGTCTTCAGTTCTTTTTTTATGTCTTTTTAAATATATGAGCCACAAAGGGTTTTATGTTGAGGGATGTGTTTATGTGTATTTATACATGGCTATGTGTGTTTGTGTCATGTGCACACTCCACACTTTTTTGTTTACGTTAGATGTGGGTTTTGATGAGCAAATAAAAGAACTAGGCAATAAAGAAACTTGTACATGGGAGTTCTGCAAGTGGGAGTAAAAGGTGCAGGAGAAATCTGGTTGGAAGAAAGACCTCTATAGGACAGGACTCCTCAGAAACAGATGTTTTGGAAGAGATGGGGAAAGGTTCAGTGAAGGGGGCTGAACCCCCTTCCCTGGATTGCAGCACAGCAGCGAGGAAGGGGCTCAACGAAGAAAAAGTGTTCCAAGCTTTAGGAAGTCAAGGTTTAGGCAGGGATAGCCATTCTATTTTATTAGGGGCAATACTATTTCCAACGGCATCTGGCTTTTCTCAGCCCTTGTGAGGCTCTACAGGGAGGTTGAGGTGTTAGAGATCAGAGCAGGAAACAGGTTTTTCTTTCCACGGTAACTACAATGAAGTGATCCTTACTTTACTAAGGAACTTTTCATTTTAAGTGTTGACGCATGCCTAAAGAGGTGAAATTAATCCCATACCCTTAAGTCTACAGACTGGTCACAGCATTTCAAGGAGGAGACCTCATTGTAAGCTTCTAGGGAGGTGGGGACTTAGGTGAAGGAAATGAGCCAGCAGAAGCTCACAAGTCAGCATCAGCGTGTCATGTCTCAGCAGCAGAACAGCACGGTCAGATGAAAATATAGTGTGAAGAATTTGTATAACATTAATTGAGAAGGCAGATTCACTGGAGTTCTTATATAATTGAAAGTTAATGCACGTTAATAAGCAAGAGTTTAGTTTAATGTGATGGTGTTATGAACTTAACGCTTGTGTCTCCAGAAAATTCACATGCTGAATCCCCAACTCCCAATTGGCTCCATTTGTGGGGGAGGCTTTGGAAAAGTAATCAGGTTTAGAGGAGCTCATGAGAGCAGATCCCCATCATAGAATTATTTTCCTCATCAGAAGCAGAGAGATTAGCCATTTCTCTTCCTTCTGGTGAGGACACAGTGGGAAGTCAGCCACCTGCAACCCAGGAAGAGAGCCCTGACCAGGAACCAGCAGAAAAGTGAGAAAAAATCCTGTTGTTGAAGTCACCCAGTCTATGCTATTTTGTTATAGCACCTTGCACTAAGTAAGGCAGATGAAGAAAGAGAAAAAAATAAGCTTCGGTGTTCAGTGGATTAGAAACCATGTTTATCTCAGGTTTACAAATCTCCACTTGTCCTCTGTGTTTCAGAATAAAATACCAACTCTACTACTCTCATCTGTAAGATGCAAATAGTAAGCCTGAGCCCTTCTGTCTAACTTTGAATTCTATTTTTTCTTCAACGTACTTTAGGCTTGTAATGTGTTTATATACAGTGAAATGTCAAGTTCTTTCTTTATATTTCTTTCTTTCTTTTTTTTCCTCAGCCTCAGAGTTTTCCACATGCCCTTCCTACTTTCAGGAACTTCTTTCTCCAAACGTCTTCTGCCTGGCTCCATCAAATCATAAAGGACCCACTTCAAATGCCATCACTCACTACCATTTCACAATTCGCACTTTCTTTCTTTGTCCTTTTTTTTTTTAGTAAAACAAGTTTATAAAAAATTGAAGGAATAAATGAATGGCTACTTCATAGGCAGAGTAGACGCAAGGGCTACTGGTTGCCGATTTTTATTGTTATTTTTCAATAGTATGCTAAACAAGGGGTAGATTATTTATGCTGCCCATTTTTAGACCATAAAAGATAACTTCCTGATGTTGCCATGGCATTTTTTTCCTTTTAATTTTATTTCATTTCATTTTAATTTCGAAGGTACATGTGCAGGATGTGCAGGCTTGTTACATGGGTAAATGTGTGTCTTTCTGGCCTTTTAGCCATCTGTATCAATGAGCAGATATAAGCTTTACACAGGATCATGAAGGATGAAAGAATTTCACCAATATTATAATAATTTCAATCAACCTGATAGCTTAGGGGATAAACTAATTTGAAGATACAGCTTGCCTCCGATAAGCCAGAATTCCAGAGCTTCTGGCATTATAATCTAGCAAGGTTAGAGATCATGGATCACTTTCAGAGAAAAACAAAAACAAACTAACCAAAAGCAAAACAGAACCAAAAAACCACCATAAATACTTCCTACCCTGTTAATGGTCCAATATGTCAGAAACAGCACTGTGTTAGAAATAAAGCTGTCTAAAGTACACTAATATTCGAGTTATAATAGTGTGTGGACTATTAGTCAATAAAAACAACCCTTGCCTCTTTAGAGTTGTTTTCCATGTACACGCACATCTTATGTCTTAGAGTAAGATTCCCTGAGAAGTGAACCTAGCATTTATACAAGATAATTAATTCTAATCCACAGTACCTGCCAAAGAACATTCTACCATCATCTTTACTGAGCATAGAAGAGCTACGCCAAAACCCTGGGTCATCAGCCAGCACACACACTTATCCAGTGGTAAATACACATCATCTGGTGTATACATACATACCTGAATATGGAATCAAATATTTTTCTAAGATGAAACAGTCATGATTTATTTCAAATAGGTACGGATAAGTAGATATTGAGGTAAGCATTAGGTCTTATATTATGTAACACTAATCTATTACTGCGCTGAAACTGTGGCTTTATAGAAATTGTTTTCACTGCACTATTGAGAAATTAAGAGATAATGGCAAAAGTCACAAAGAGTATATTCAAAAAGAAGTATAGCACTTTTTCCTTAGAAACCACTGCTAACTGAAAGAGACTAAGATTTGTCCCGTCAAAAATCCTGGACCTATGCCTAAAACACATTTCACAATCCCTGAACTTTTCAAAAATTGGTACATGCTTTAGCTTTAAACTACAGGCCTCACTGGAGCTAGAGACAAGAAGGTAAAAAACGGCTGACAAAAGAAGTCCTGGTATCCTCTATGATGGGAGAAGGAAACTAGCTAAAGGGAAGAATAAATTAGAGAAAAACTGGAATGACTGAATCGGAACAAGGCAAAGGCTATAAAAAAAATTAGCAGTATCCTCTTGGGGGCCCCTTCCCCACACTATCTCAATGCAAATATCTGTCTGAAACGGTCCCTGGCTAAACTCCACCCATGGGTTGGCCAGCCTTGCCTTGACCAATAGCCTTGACAAGGCAAACTTGACCAATAGTCTTAGAGTATCCAGTGAGGCCAGGGGCCGGCGGCTGGCTAGGGATGAAGAATAAAAGGAAGCACCCTTCAGCAGTTCCACACACTCGCTTCTGGAACGTCTGAGGTTATCAATAAGCTCCTAGTCCAGACGCCATGGGTCATTTCACAGAGGAGGACAAGGCTACTATCACAAGCCTGTGGGGCAAGGTGAATGTGGAAGATGCTGGAGGAGAAACCCTGGGAAGGTAGGCTCTGGTGACCAGGACAAGGGAGGGAAGGAAGGACCCTGTGCCTGGCAAAAGTCCAGGTCGCTTCTCAGGATTTGTGGCACCTTCTGACTGTCAAACTGTTCTTGTCAATCTCACAGGCTCCTGGTTGTCTACCCATGGACCCAGAGGTTCTTTGACAGCTTTGGCAACCTGTCCTCTGCCTCTGCCATCATGGGCAACCCCAAAGTCAAGGCACATGGCAAGAAGGTGCTGACTTCCTTGGGAGATGCCACAAAGCACCTGGATGATCTCAAGGGCACCTTTGCCCAGCTGAGTGAACTGCACTGTGACAAGCTGCATGTGGATCCTGAGAACTTCAAGGTGAGTCCAGGAGATGTTTCAGCCCTGTTGCCTTTAGTCTCGAGGCAACTTAGACAACGGAGTATTGATCTGAGCACAGCAGGGTGTGAGCTGTTTGAAGATACTGGGGTTGGGGGTGAAGAAACTGCAGAGGACTAACTGGGCTGAGACCCAGTGGTAATGTTTTAGGGCCTAAGGAGTGCCTCTAAAAATCTAGATGGACAATTTTGACTTTGAGAAAAGAGAGGTGGAAATGAGGAAAATGACTTTTCTTTATTAGATTCCAGTAGAAAGAACTTTCATCTTTCCCTCATTTTTGTTGTTTTAAAACATCTATCTGGAGGCAGGACAAGTATGGTCGTTAAAAAGATGCAGGCAGAAGGCATATATTGGCTCAGTCAAAGTGGGGAACTTTGGTGGCCAAACATACATTGCTAAGGCTATTCCTATATCAGCTGGACACATATAAAATGCTGCTAATGCTTCATTACAAACTTATATCCTTTAATTCCAGATGGGGGCAAAGTATGTCCAGGGGTGAGGAACAATTGAAACATTTGGGCTGGAGTAGATTTTGAAAGTCAGCTCTGTGTGTGTGTGTGTGTGTGCGCGCGCGCGTGTGTGTGTGTGTGTCAGCGTGTGTTTCTTTTAACGTCTTCAGCCTACAACATACAGGGTTCATGGTGGCAAGAAGATAGCAAGATTTAAATTATGGCCAGTGACTAGTGCTTGAAGGGGAACAACTACCTGCATTTAATGGGAAGGCAAAATCTCAGGCTTTGAGGGAAGTTAACATAGGCTTGATTCTGGGTGGAAGCTTGGTGTGTAGTTATCTGGAGGCCAGGCTGGAGCTCTCAGCTCACTATGGGTTCATCTTTATTGTCTCCTTTCATCTCAACAGCTCCTGGGAAATGTGCTGGTGACCGTTTTGGCAATCCATTTCGGCAAAGAATTCACCCCTGAGGTGCAGGCTTCCTGGCAGAAGATGGTGACTGCAGTGGCCAGTGCCCTGTCCTCCAGATACCACTGAGCTCACTGCCCATGATTCAGAGCTTTCAAGGATAGGCTTTATTCTGCAAGCAATACAAATAATAAATCTATTCTGCTGAGAGATCACACATGATTTTCTTCAGCTCTTTTTTTTACATCTTTTTAAATATATGAGCCACAAAGGGTTTATATTGAGGGAAGTGTGTATGTGTATTTCTGCATGCCTGTTTGTGTTTGTGGTGTGTGCATGCTCCTCATTTATTTTTATATGAGATGTGCATTTTGATGAGCAAATAAAAGCAGTAAAGACACTTGTACACGGGAGTTCTGCAAGTGGGAGTAAATGGTGTAGGAGAAATCCGGTGGGAAGAAAGACCTCTATAGGACAGGACTTCTCAGAAACAGATGTTTTGGAAGAGATGGGAAAAGGTTCAGTGAAGACCTGGGGGCTGGATTGATTGCAGCTGAGTAGCAAGGATGGTTCTTAAGGAAGGGAAAGTGTTCCAAGCTTTAGGAATTCAAGGTTTAGTCAGGTGTAGCAATTCTATTTTATTAGGAGGAATACTATTTCTAATGGCACTTAGCTTTTCACAGCCCTTGTGGATGCCTAAGAAAGTGAAATTAATCCCATGCCCTCAAGTGTGCAGATTGGTCACAGCATTTCAAGGGAGAGACCTCATTGTAAGACTCTGGGGGAGGTGGGGACTTAGGTGTAAGAAATGAATCAGCAGAGGCTCACAAGTCAGCATGAGCATGTTATGTCTGAGAAACAGACCAGCACTGTGAGATCAAAATGTAGTGGGAAGAATTTGTACAACATTAATTGGAAGGCTTACTTAATGGAATTTTTGTATAGTTGGATGTTAGTGCATCTCTATAAGTAAGAGTTTAATATGATGGTGTTACGGACCTAATGTTTGTGTCTCCTCAAAATTCACATGCTGAATCCCCAACTCCCAACTGACCTTATCTGTGGGGGAGGCTTTTGAAAAGTAATTAGGTTTAGATGAGCTCATAAGAGCAGATCCCCATCATAAAATTATTTTCCTTATCAGAAGCAGAGAGACAAGCCATTTCTCTTTCCTCCCGGTGAGGACACAGTGAGAAGTCCGCCATCTGCAATCCAGGAAGAGAACCCTGACCACGAGTCAGCCTTCAGAAATGTGAGAAAAAACTCTGTTGTTGAAGCCACCCAGTCTTTTGTATTTTGTTATAGCACCTTGCACTGAGTAAGGCAGATGAAGAAGGAGAAAAAAATAAGCTTGGGTTTTGAGTGGACTACAGACCATGTTTATCTCAGGTTTGCAAAGCTCCCCTCGTCCCCTATGTTTCAGTATAAAATACCTACTCTACTACTCTCATCTATAAGACCCAAATAATAAGCCTGCGCCCTTCTCTCTAACTTTGATTTCTCCTATTTTTACTTCAACATGCTTTACTCTAGCCTTGTAATGTCTTTACATACAGTGAAATGTAAAGTTCTTTATTCTTTTTTTCTTTCTTTCTTTTTTCTCCTCAGCCTCAGAATTTGGCACATGCCCTTCCTTCTTTCAGGAACTTCTCCAACATCTCTGCCTGGCTCCATCATATCATAAAGGTCCCACTTCAAATGCAGTCACTACCGTTTCAGAATATGCACTTTCTTTCTTTTTTGTTTTTTGTTTTTTTTAAGTCAAAGCAAATTTCTTGAGAGAGTAAAGAAATAAACGAATGACTACTGCATAGGCAGAGCAGCCCCGAGGGCCGCTGGTTGTTCCTTTTATGGTTATTTCTTGATGATATGTTAAACAAGTTTTGGATTATTTATGCCTTCTCTTTTTAGGCCATATAGGGTAACTTTCTGACATTGCCATGGCATTTTTCTTTTAATTTAATTTACTGTTACCTTAAATTCAGGGGTACACGTACAGGATATGCAGGTTTGTTTTATAGGTAAAAGTGTGCCATGGTTTTAATGGGTTTTTTTTTTCTTGTAAAGTTGTTTAAGTTTCTTGTTTACTCTGGATATTAGGCCTTTGTCAGAAGAATAGATTGGAAAATCTTTTTCCCATTCTGTAGATTGTCTTTCGCTCTGATGGTAGTTTCTTTTGCTGAGCAGGAGCTCTTTAGTTTAATTAGATTCCATTGGTCAATTTTTGCTTTTGCTGCAATTGCTTTTCACGCTTTCATCATGAAATCTGTGCCCGTGTTTATATCATGAATAGTATTGCCTTGATTTTTTTCTAGGCTTTTTATAGTTTGGGGTTTTTCATTTAAGTCTCTAATCCATCTGGAGTTAATTTTGGATAAGGTATAAGGAAGGAGTCCAGTTTCATTTTTCAGCATATGGCTAGCCAGTTCTCCCCCATCATTTATTAAATTGAAAATCCTTTCCCCATTGCTTGCTTTTGTCAGGTTTCTAAAAGACCAGATGGTTGTAGGTACAATATGCAGTTTCTTCAAGTCATATAATACCATCTGAAATCTCTTATTAATTCATTTCTTTTAGTATGTATGCTGGTCTCCTCTGCTCACTATAGTGAGGGCACCATTAGCCAGAGAATCTGTCTGTCTAGTTCATGTAAGATTCTCAGAATTAAGAAAAATGGATGGCATATGAATGAAACTTCATGGATGACATATGGAATCTAATATGTATTTGTTGAATTAATGCATAAGATGCAACAGAGAGAAGTTGACAACTGCAATGATAACCTGGTATTGATGATATAAGAGTCTATAGATCACAGTAGAAGCAATAATCATGGAAAACAATTGGAAATGGGGAACAGCCACAAACAAGAAAGAATCAATACTTCCAGGAAAGTGACTGCAGGTCACTTTTCCTGGAGCGGGTGAGAGAAAAGTGGAAGTTAGCAGTAACTGCTGAATTCCTGGTTGGCTGATGGAAAGATGGGGCAGCTGTTCACTGGTACGCAGGGTTTTAGATGTATGTACCTAAGGATATGAGGTATGGCAATGAACAGAAATTCTTTTGGGAATGAGTTTTAGGGCCATTAAAGGACATGACCTGAAGTTTCCTCTGAGGCCAGTCCCCACAACTCAATATAAATGTGTTTCCTGCATATAGTCAAAGTTGCCACTTCTTTTTCTTCATATCATCGATCTCTGCTCTTAAAGATAATCTTGGTTTTGCCTCAAACTGTTTGTCACTACAAACTTTCCCCATGTTCCTAAGTAAAACAGGTAACTGCCTCTCAACTATATCAAGTAGACTAAAATATTGTGTCTCTAATATCAGAAATTCAGCTTTAATATATTGGGTTTAACTCTTTGAAATTTAGAGTCTCCTTGAAATACACATGGGGGTGATTTCCTAAACTTTATTTCTTGTAAGGATTTATCTCAGGGGTAACACACAAACCAGCATCCTGAACCTCTAAGTATGAGGACAGTAAGCCTTAAGAATATAAAATAAACTGTTCTTCTCTCTGCCGGTGGAAGTGTGCCCTGTCTATTCCTGAAATTGCTTGTTTGAGACGCATGAGACGTGCAGCACATGAGACACGTGCAGCAGCCTGTGGAATATTGTCAGTGAAGAATGTCTTTGCCTGATTAGATATAAAGACAAGTTAAACACAGCATTAGACTATAGATCAAGCCTGTGCCAGACACAAATGACCTAATGCCCAGCACGGGCCACGGAATCTCCTATCCTCTTGCTTGAACAGAGCAGCACACTTCTCCCCCAACACTATTAGATGTTCTGGCATAATTTTGTAGATATGTAGGATTTGACATGGACTATTGTTCAATGATTCAGAGGAAATCTCCTTTGTTCAGATAAGTACACTGACTACTAAATGGATTAAAAAACACAGTAATAAAACCCAGTTTTCCCCTTACTTCCCTAGTTTGTTTCTTATTCTGCTTTCTTCCAAGTTGATGCTGGATAGAGGTGTTTATTTCTATTCTAAAAAGTGATGAAATTGGCCGGGCGCGGTGGCTCACACCTGTAATCCCAGCACTTTGGGAGGCTGAGGTGGGCGGATCACGAGGTCAGGAGATCAAGACCATCCTGGCTAACATGGTGAAACCCCATCTCTACTAAAAATACAAAAAATTAGCCAGAGACAGTGGCGGGTGCCTGTAGTCCCAGCTACTCGGGAGGCTGAGGCAGGAGAATGGCGTGAACCTGGGAGGCAGAGCTTGCGGTGAGCAGAGATCGCGCCACTGCACACTCCAGCCTGGGTGACAAAGCGAGACTCCATCTCAAAAAAAAAAAAAAAAAAAAGAAAAAGAAAGAAAGAAAGAAAAAAAAACTGATGAAATTGTGTATTCAATGTAGTCTCAAGAGAATTGAAAACCAAGAAAGGCTGTGGCTTCTTCCACATAAAGCCTGGATGAATAACAGGATAACACGTTGTTACATTGTCACAACTCCTGATCCAGGAATTGATGGCTAAGATATTCGTAATTCTTATCCTTTTCAGTTGTAACTTATTCCTATTTGTCAGCATTCAGGTTATTAGCGGCTGCTGGCGAAGTCCTTGAGAAATAAACTGCACACTGGATGGTGGGGGTAGTGTAGGAAAATGGAGGGGAAGGAAGTAAAGTTTCAAATTAAGCCTGAACAGCAAAGTTCCCCTGAGAAGGCCACCTGGATTCTATCAGAAACTCGAATGTCCATCTTGCAAAACTTCCTTGCCCAAACCCCACCCCTGGAGTCACAACCCACCCTTGACCAATAGATTCATTTTACTGAGGGAGGCAAAGGGCTGGTCAATAGATTCATTTCACTGGGAGAGGCAAAGGGCTGGGGGCCAGAGAGGAGAAGTAAAAAGCCACACATGAAGCAGCAATGCAGGCATGCTTCTGGCTCATCTGTGATCACCAGGAAACTCCCAGATCTGACACTGTAGTGCATTTCACTGCTGACAAGAAGGCTGCTGCCACCAGCCTGTGAAGCAAGGTTAAGGTGAGAAGGCTGGAGGTGAGATTCTGGGCAGGTAGGTACTGGAAGCCGGGACAAGGTGCAGAAAGGCAGAAAGTGTTTCTGAAAGAGGGATTAGCCCGTTGTCTTACATAGTCTGACTTTGCACCTGCTCTGTGATTATGACTATCCCACAGTCTCCTGGTTGTCTACCCATGGACCTAGAGGTACTTTGAAAGTTTTGGATATCTGGGCTCTGACTGTGCAATAATGGGCAACCCCAAAGTCAAGGCACATGGCAAGAAGGTGCTGATCTCCTTCGGAAAAGCTGTTATGCTCACGGATGACCTCAAAGGCACCTTTGCTACACTGAGTGACCTGCACTGTAACAAGCTGCACGTGGACCCTGAGAACTTCCTGGTGAGTAGTAAGTACACTCACGCTTTCTTCTTTACCCTTAGATATTTGCACTATGGGTACTTTTGAAAGCAGAGGTGGCTTTCTCTTGTGTTATGAGTCAGCTATGGGATATGATATTTCAGCAGTGGGATTTTGAGAGTTATGTTGCTGTAAATAACATAACTAAAATTTGGTAGAGCAAGGACTATGAATAATGGAAGGCCACTTACCATTTGATAGCTCTGAAAAACACATCTTATAAAAAATTCTGGCCAAAATCAAACTGAGTGTTTTTGGATGAGGGAACAGAAGTTGAGATAGAGAAAATAACATCTTTCCTTTGGTCAGCGAAATTTTCTATAAAAATTAATAGTCACTTTTCTGCATAGTCCTGGAGGTTAGAAAAAGATCAACTGAACAAAGTAGTGGGAAGCTGTTAAAAAGAGGATTGTTTCCCTCCGAATGATGATGGTATACTTTTGTACGCATGGTACAGGATTCTTTGTTATGAGTGTTTGGGAAAATTGTATGTATGTATGTATGTATGTATGTGATGACTGGGGACTTATCCTATCCATTACTGTTCCTTGAAGTACTATTATCCTACTTTTTAAAAGGACGAAGTCTCTAAAAAAAAAATGAAACAATCACAATATGTTGGGGTAGTGAGTTGGCATAGCAAGTAAGAGAAGGATAGGACACAATGGGAGGTGCAGGGCTGCCAGTCATATTGAAGCTGATATCTAGCCCATAATGGTGAGAGTTGCTCAAACTCTGGTGAAAAAGGATGTAAGTGTTATATCTATTTACTGCAAGTCCAGCTTGAGGCCTTCTATTCACTATGTACCATTTTCTTTTTTATCTTCACTCCCTCCCCAGCTCTTAGGCAACGTGATATTGATTGTTTTGGCAACCCACTTCAGCGAGGATTTTACCCTACAGATACAGGCTTCTTGGCAGTAACTAACAAATGCTGTGGTTAATGCTGTAGCCCACAAGACCACTGAGTTCCCTGTCCACTATGTTTGTACCTATGGTCCACTATGTTTGTACCTATGTCCCAAAATCTCATCTCCTTTAGATGGGGGAGGTTGGGGAGAAGAGCAGTATCCTGCCTGCTGATTCAGTTCCTGCATGATAAAAATAGAATAAAGAAATATGCTCTCTAAGAAATATCATTGTACTCTTTTTCTGTCTTTATATTTTACCCTGATTCAGCCAAAAGGACGCACTATTTCTGATGGAAATGAGAATGTTGGAGAATGGGAGTTTAAGGACAGAGAAGATACTTTCTTGCAATCCTGCAAGAAAAGAGAGAACTCGTGGGTGGATTTAGTGGGGTAGTTACTCCTAGGAAGGGGAAATCGTCTCTAGAATAAGACAATGTTTTTACAGAAAGGGAGGTCAATGGAGGTACTCTTTGGAGGTGTAAGAGGATTGTTGGTAGTGTGTAGAGGTATGTTAGGACTCAAATTAGAAGTTCTGTATAGGCTATTATTTGTATGAAACTCAGGATATAGCTCATTTGGTGACTGCAGTTCACTTCTACTTATTTTAAACAACATATTTTTTATTATTTATAATGAAGTGGGGATGGGGCTTCCTAGAGACCAATCAAGGGCCAAACCTTGAACTTTCTCTTAACGTCTTCAATGGTATTAATAGAGAATTATCTCTAAGGCATGTGAACTGGCTGTCTTGGTTTTCATCTGTACTTCATCTGCTACCTCTGTGACCTGAAACATATTTATAATTCCATTAAGCTGTGCATATGATAGATTTATCATATGTATTTTCCTTAAAGGATTTTTGTAAGAACTAATTGAATTGATACCTGTAAAGTCTTTATCACACTACCCAATAAATAATAAATCTCTTTGTTCAGCTCTCTGTTTCTATAAATATGTACAAGTTTTATTGTTTTTAGTGGTAGTGATTTTATTCTCTTTCTATATATATACACACACATGTGTGCATTCATAAATATATACAATTTTTATGAATAAAAAATTATTAGCAATCAATATTGAAAACCACTGATTTTTGTTTATGTGAGCAAACAGCAGATTAAAAGGCTGAGATTTAGGAAACAGCACGTTAAGTCAAGTTGATAGAGGAGAATATGGACATTTAAAAGAGGCAGGATGATATAAAATTAGGGAAACTGGATGCAGAGACCAGATGAAGTAAGAAAAATAGCTATCGTTTTGAGCAAAAATCACTGAAGTTTCTTGCATATGAGAGTGACATAATAAATAGGGAAACGTAGAAAATTGATTCACATGTATATATATATATAGAACTGATTAGACAAAGTCTAACTTGGGTATAGTCAGAGGAGCTTGCTGTAATTATATTGAGGTGATGGATAAAGAACTGAAGTTGATGGAAACAATGAAGTTAAGAAAAAAAATCGAGTAAGAGACCATTGTGGCAGTGATTGCACAGAACTGGAAAACATTGTGAAACAGAGAGTCAGAGATGACAGCTAAAATCCCTGTCTGTGAATGAAAAGAAGGAAATTTATTGACAGAACAGCAAATGCCTACAAGCCCCCTGTTTGGATCTGGCAATGAACGTAGCCATTCTGTGGCAATCACTTCAAACTCCTGTACCCAAGACCCTTAGGAAGTATGTAGCACCCTCAAACCTAAAACCTCAAAGAAAGAGGTTTTAGAAGATATAATACCCTTTCTTCTCCAGTTTCATTAATCCCAAAACCTCTTTCTCAAAGTATTTCCTCTATGTGTCCACCCCAAAGAGCTCACCTCACCATATCTCTTGAGTGGGAGCACATAGATAGGCGGTGCTACCATCTAACAGCTTCTGAAATTCCTTTGTCATATTTTTGAGTCCCCACTAATAACCCACAAAGCAGAATAAATACCAGTTGCTCATGTACAATAATCACTCAACTGCTGTCTTGTAGCATACATTAATTAAGCACATTCTTTGAATAATTACTGTGTCCAAACAATCACACTTTAAAATCTCACACTTGTGCTATCCCTTGCCCTTCTGAATGTCACTCTGTATTTTAAATGAAGAGATGAGGGTTGAATTTCCTGTGTTACTTATTGTTCATTTCTCGATGAGGAGTTTTCACATTCACCTTTAGTGGAAAACACATAAGTACACATCTTACAGGAAAAATATACCAAACTGACATGTAGCATGAATGCTTGTGCATGTAGTCATATAAAATCTTGTAGCAATGTAAACATTCTCTGATATACACATACAGATGTGTCTATATGTCTACACAATTTCTTATGCTCCATGAACAAACATTCCATGCACACATAAGAACACACACTGTTACAGATGCATACTTGAGTGCATTGACAAAATTACCCCAGTCAATCTAGAGAATTTGGATTTCTGCATTTGACTCTGTTAGCTTTGTACATGCTGTTCATTTACTCTGGGTGATGTCTTTCCCTCATTTTGCCTTGTCTATCTTGTACTCATACTTTAAGTCCTAACTTATATGTTATCTCAACTAAGAAGCTATTTTTTTTTAATTTTAACTGGGCTTAAAGCCCTGTCTATAAACTCTGCTACAATTATGGGCTCTTTCTTATAATATTTAGTGTTTTTCCTACTAATGTACTTAATCTGCTCATTGTATATTCCTACCACTAAATTTTAACCTCTTTTATGGTAGAGACATTGTCTTGTAAACTCTTATTTCCCTAGTATTTGGAGATGAAAAAAAAGATTAAATTATCCAAAATTAGATCTCTCTTTTCTACATTATGAGTATTACACTATCCATAGAGAAGTTTGTTTGAGACCTAAACTGAGGAACCTTTGGTTCTAAAATGACTATGTGATATCTTAGTATTTATAGGTCATGAGGTTCCTTCCTCTGCCTCTGCTATAGTTTGATTAGTCAACAAGCATGTGTCATGCATTTATTCACATCAGAATTTCATACACTAATAAGACATAGTATCAGAAGTCAGTTTATTAGTTATATCAGTTAGGGTCCATCAAGGAAAGGACAAACCATTATCAGTTACTCAACCTAGAATTAAATACAGCTCTTAATAGTTAATTATCCTTGTATTGGAAGAGCTAAAATATCAAATAAAGGACAGTGCAGAAATCTAGATGTTAGTAACATCAGAAAACCTCTTCCGCCATTAGGCCTAGAAGGGCAGAAGGAGAAAATGTTTATACCACCAGAGTCCAGAACCAGAGCCCATAACCAGAGGTCCACTGGATTCAGTGAGCTAGTGGGTGCTCCTTGGAGAGAGCCAGAACTGTCTAATGGGGGCATCAAAGTATCAGCCATAAAAAACCATAAAAAAGACTGTCTGCTGTAGGAGATCCGTTCAGAGAGAGAGAGAGACCAGAAATAATCTTGCTTATGCTTTCCCTCAGCCAGTGTTTACCATTGCAGAATGTACATGCGACTGAAAGGGTGAGGAAACCTGGGAAATGTCAGTTCCTCAAATACAGAGAACACTGAGGGAAGGATGAGAAATAAATGTGAAAGCAGACATGAATGGTAATTGACAGAAGGAAACTAGGATGTGTCCAGTAAATGAATAATTACAGTGTGCAGTGATTATTGCAATGATTAATGTATTGATAAGATAATATGAAAACACAGAATTCAAACAGCAGTGAACTGAGATTAGAATTGTGGAGAGCACTGGCATTTAAGAATGTCACACTTAGAATGTGTCTCTAGGCATTGTTCTGTGCATATATCATCTCAATATTCATTATCTGAAAATTATGAATTAGGTACAAAGCTCAAATAATTTATTTTTTCAGGTTAGCAAGAACTTTTTTTTTTTTTTTCTGAGATAGAGCATTGCTATGGTTGCCCAGGCTGGAGTGCAATGGCATGATCCAGGCTCACTGCAACATCTGCCTCCCAGGTTCAAGCGATTCTCCTGCCTCAGCCTCCCAAGTAGCTGGCACTACAGGCATGTGCCACCACCATGCCTGGCTAATTTTCTATTTTTAGTAGATAGGGGGTTTCACCATGTTGGTCAGGCTGATCTCGAACTCCTAACATCAGGTGATCCACCCTCCTCGGCCTCTGAAAGTGCTGGGATCACAGGCGTGAGCCACCACACCCAGCCAAGAATGTGAATTTTGTAGAAGGATATAACCCATATTTCTCTGACCCTAGAGTCCTTAGTATACCTCCCATACCATGTGGCTCATCCTCCTTACATACATTTCCCATCTTTCACCCTACCTTTTCCTTTTTGTTTCAGCTTTTCACTGTGTCAAAATCTAGAACCTTATCTCCTACCTGCTCTGAAACCAACAGCAAGTTGACTTCCATTCTAACCCACATTGGCATTACACTAATTAAAATCGATACTGAGTTCTAAAATCATCGGGGATTTTGGGGACTATGTCTTACTTCATACTTCCTTGAGATTTCACATTAAATGTTGGTGTTCATTAAAGGTCCTTCATTTAACTTTGTATTCATCACACTCTTGGATTCACAGTTATATCTAAACTCTTAAATACAGCCTGTATAATCCCAATTCCCAACTCTGATTTCTAACCTCTGACCTCCAACCTCAGTGCCAAACCCATATATCAAACAATGTACTGGGCTTATTTATATAGATGTCCTATAGGCACCTCAGACTCAGCATGGGTATTTCACTTGTTATACTAAAACTGTTTCTCTTCCAGTGTTTTCCATTTTAGTCATTAGATAGCTACTTGCCCATTCACCAAGGTCACAGATTAAAATCATTTCCCTACCTCTAATCAACAGTTCGATTCTGCTTCAATTTGTCCCTATCTATTAATCACCACTCTTACTGCCCAGTCAGGTCCTCATTGTTTCCTGAACAAGAGTAGATGCTATTCTTTCCACTTTTAGACCTTATCCTGGCTGGATGCGGTGGCTCAGGCTTGTAAACCCAGCACTTTGGGAGGCCAAGGCAGGCAGATCACTTGAGGTCAGGAGTTCAAGACCAGCCTGACCAACATGGTGAAACCCCATCTCTACTAAAAATACAAAATCAGCCGGGCGTGTGGTGCATGCCTGCAGTCCCAGCTATTCAGGTGGCTGAGGCAGGAGAATTGCTTGAACCCAGGAGGCAGAGGTTGCGGTGAGCCTAGATTGCACCATTGCACTCTAGCTTGGGCAATAGGGATGAAACTCCATCTCAGAAGAGAAAAGAAAAAAAGACCTTATTCTGTTATACAAATCCTCTCAATGCAATCCATATAGAATAAACATGTAACCAGATCTCCCAATGTGTAAAATCATTTCAGGTAGAACAGAATTAAAGTGAAAAGCCAAGTCTTTGGAATTAACAGACAAAGATCAAATAACAGTCCTCATGGCCTTAAGAATTTACCTAACATTTTTTTTAGAATCAATTTTCTTATATATGAATTGGAAACATAATTCCTCCCTCACAAACACATTCTAAGATTTTAAGGAGATATTGATGAAGTACATCATCTGTCATTTTTAACAGGTAGTGGTAGTGATTCACACAGCACATTATGATCTGTTCTTGTATGTTCTGTTCCATTCTGTATTCTTGACCTGGTTGTATTCTTTCTGAGCTCCAGATCCACATATCTAAGTACATCTTTTTGCATTTTACAAGAGTGCATACAATACAATGTATCCAAGACTGTATTTCTGATTTTATCGTACCACTAAACTCACAAATGTGGCCCTATTCTTGTGTTCACGACTGACATCACCGTCATGGTCCAAGTCTGATAATAGAAATGGCATTGTCACTTTCTTCCCTACTGCAACAGAAGCCCAGCTATTTGTCTCCCATTTTCTCTACTTCTAAAATACATTTCTTCACTAAGTGAGAATAATCTTTTAAAGACACAAATCAAACCATGCCACCACCTTTCTTGAATTATTCAATATCTTTCGTTGGCTTCCAGGTTACAGAAAAATAACTTGTAACAAAGTTTAAAGGTCATTCATGGCTCCTCTCTACCCTATTTTATAACATTTCCCCTTGTGATCAGAATCTCAGGCACATCATCCATCTTTCTATATACAAATAAAGTCATATAGTTTGAACTCACCTCTGGTTACTTTTAATCAACCAAATGCTGTAAAATGCATTTGTATCGCTACGTGTTAAGCAGTAGTTGATTCTTTTCATTTCTGTGTAATATTCTATTCTTTGACTATACCGTAATTTATCAATTCTACTGTTGGTAAGCATTTAAGTGGCTACCGGTTTGAGGTTTTTATGATTATTGCTGTCATAAGCATTTCTATACATGTCTTTGGATACACACATGCATGTGTTTCTGAATATCTAAAAATGTAATTGCTAGGTAATAGACTTATCAAGCATCCAGCATTTGTGGATACTATTAAAGGTTTTCCAAAGGGGTTATACTATTGTACAGTGTCACCAACAGAGTTTGAGTTTCTATTGATCCATATCACCACCAAAATTTGAACTGTCAGTCTTATCTCTTCTCTTGTCTCTTTTTTCCTCTTTTTTTTCCTTCCCTTCCCCTCTCTTCGTTTCTTTTCTCTCCTCTTCTCTTCTTTCCTCTCTTCCCTTCCCTTTCTCTTTCTCTTCCCTATCCCTTCTCCTCTCCTCTCCCCTCCTTTTTTCTCCTCTCCTCTCCATTATTTATTTTTCCTTCTTCTCCTCCATCCCTTCCATCCTCTCTCTTCCCCTCTTCCTTCCTTCCTTTCTCCATTTCTTCCTCCTCTTTCCTTCAATCCTTCCTTTTGGATATGCTCATGGGTGTGTATTTGTCTGCCATTGTGGCATTATTTGAATTCAGAAAAGAGTGAAAAACTACTGGGATCTTCATTCCTGGGTCTAATTCCACATTTTTTTTTAAGAACACATCTGTAAAAATGTTCTGTACTAGCATATTCCCAGGAACTTCGTTAAATTTAATCTGGCTGAATATGGTAAATCTACTTTTCACTTTGCATTCTTTCTTTAGTCATACCATAATTTTAAACATTCAAAATATTTGTATATAATATTTGATTTTATCTGTCATTAAAATGTTAACCTTAAAATTCATGTTTCCAGAACCTATTTCAATAACTGGTAAATAAACACTATTCATTTTTTAAATATTCTTTTAATGGATATTTATTTCAATATAATAAAAAATTAGAGTTTTATTATAGGAAGAATTTACCAAAAGAAGGAGGAAGCAAGCAAGTTTAAACTGCAGCAATAGATTTGTCCATTCCAACCTCTCAAAATTCCCTTGGAGACAAAAATCTCTAGAGGCAAAGAAGAACTTTATATTGAGTCAACTTGTTAAAACATCTGCTTTTAGATAAGTTTTCTTAGTATAAAGTGACAGAAACAAATAAGTTAAACTCTAAGATACATTCCACTATATTAGCCTAAAACACTTCTGCAAAAATGAAACTAGGAGGATATTTTTAGAAACAACTGCTGAAAGAGATGCGGTGGGGAGATATGTAGAGGAGAACAGGGTTTCTGAGTCAAGACACACATGACAGAACAGCCAATCTCAGGGCAAGTTAAGGGAATAGTGGAATGAAGGTTCATTTTTCATTCTCACAAACTAATGAAACCCTGCTTATCTTAAACCAACCTGCTCACTGGAGCAGGGAGGACAGGACCAGCATAAAAGGCAGGGCAGAGTCGACTGTTGCTTACACTTTCTTCTGACATAACAGTGTTCACTAGCAACCTCAAACAGACACCATGGTGCATCTGACTCCTGAGGAGAAGACTGCTGTCAATGCCCTGTGGGGCAAAGTGAACGTGGATGCAGTTGGTGGTGAGGCCCTGGGCAGGTTGGTATCAAGGTTATAAGAGAGGCTCAAGGAGGCAAATGGAAACTGGGCATGTGTAGACAGAGAAGACTCTTGGGTTTCTGATAGGCACTGACTCTCTGTCCCTTGGGCTGTTTTCCTACCCTCAGATTACTGGTGGTCTACCCTTGGACCCAGAGGTTCTTTGAGTCCTTTGGGGATCTGTCCTCTCCTGATGCTGTTATGGGCAACCCTAAGGTGAAGGCTCATGGCAAGAAGGTGCTAGGTGCCTTTAGTGATGGCCTGGCTCACCTGGACAACCTCAAGGGCACTTTTTCTCAGCTGAGTGAGCTGCACTGTGACAAGCTGCACGTGGATCCTGAGAACTTCAGGGTGAGTCCAGGAGATGCTTCACTTTTCTCTTTTTACTTTCTAATCTTACATTTTGGTTCTTTTACCTACCTGCTCTTCTCCCACATTTTTGTCATTTTACTATATTTTATCATTTAATGCTTCTAAAATTTTGTTAATTTTTTATTTAAATATTCTGCATTTTTTCCTTCCTCACAATCTTGCTATTTTAAATTATTTAATATCCTGTCTTTCTCTCCCAACCCCCTCCCTTCATTTTTCCTTCTCTAACAACAACTCAAATTATGCATACCAGCTCTCACCTGCTAATTCTGCACTTAGAATAATCCTTTTGTCTCTCCACATGGGTATGGGAGAGGCTCCAACTCAAAGATGAGAGGCATAGAATACTGTTTTAGAGGCTATAAATCATTTTACAATAAGGAATAATTGGAATTTTATAAATTCTGTAGTAAATGGAATGGAAAGGAAAGTGAATATTTGATTATGAAAGACTAGGCAGTTACACTGGAGGTGGGGCAGAAGTCGTTGCTAGGAGACAGCCCATCATCACACTGATTAATCAATTAATTTGTATCTATTAATCTGTTTATAGTAATTAATTTGTATATGCTATATACACATACAAAATTAAAACTAATTTGGAATTAATTTGTATATAGTATTATACAGCATATATAGCATATATGTACATATATAGACTACATGCTAGTTAAGTACATAGAGGATGTGTGTGTATAGATATATGTTATATGTATGCATTCATATATGTACTTATTTATGCTGATGGGAATAACCTGGGGATCAGTTTTGTCTAAGATTTGGGCAGAAAAAAATGGGTGTTGGCTCAGTTTCTCAGAAGCCAGTCTTTATTTCTCTGTTAACCATATGCATGTATCTGCCTACCTCTTCTCCGCAGCTCTTGGGCAATGTGCTGGTGTGTGTGCTGGCCCGCAACTTTGGCAAGGAATTCACCCCACAAATGCAGGCTGCCTATCAGAAGGTGGTGGCTGGTGTGGCTAATGCCCTGGCTCACAAGTACCATTGAGATCCTGGACTGTTTCCTGATAACCATAAGAAGACCCTATTTCCCTAGATTCTATTTTCTGAACTTGGGAACACAATGCCTACTTCAAGGGTATGGCTTCTGCCTAATAAAGAATGTTCAGCTCAACTTCCTGATTAATTTCACTTATTTCATTTTTTTGTCCAGGTGTGTAAGAAGGTTCCTGAGGCTCTACAGATAGGGAGCACTTGTTTATTTTACAAAGAGTACATGGGAAAAGAGAAAAGCAAGGGAACCGTACAAGGCATTAATGGGTGACACTTCTACCTCCAAAGAGCAGAAATTATCAAGAACTCTTGATACAAAGATAATACTGGCACTGCAGAGGTTCTAGGGAAGACCTCAACCCTAAGACATAGCCTCAAGGGTAATGCTACGATTAAACTCCAACAATTACTGAGAAAATAATGTGCTCAATTAAAGGCATAATGATTACTCAAGACAATGTTATGTTGTCTTTCTTCCTCCTTCCTTTGCCTGCACATTGTAGCCCATAATACTATACCCCATCAAGTGTTCCTGCTCCAAGAAATAGCTTCCTCCTCTTACTTGCCCCAGAACATCTCTGTAAAGAATTTCCTCTTATCTTCCCATATTTCAGTCAAGATTCATTGCTCACGTATTACTTGTGACCTCTCTTGACCCCAGCCACAATAAACTTCTCTATACTACCCAAAAAATCTTTCCAAACCCTCCCCCACACCATTTTTTATATTTTTATATTTTTCTTATTTATTTCATGCACACACACACACTCCGTGCTTTATAAGCAATTCTGCCTATTCTCTACCTTCTTACATGCCTACTGTGCCTCATATTAAATTCATCAATGGGCAGAAAGAAAATATTTATTCAAGAAAACAGTGAATGAATGAACGAATGAGTAAATGAGTAAATGAAGGAATGATTATTCCTTGCTTTAGAACTTCTGGAATTAGAGGACAATATTAATAATACCATCGCACAGTGTTTCTTTGTTGTTAATGCTACAACATACAAAGAGGAAGCATGCAGTAAACAACCGAACAGTTATTTCCTTTCTGATCATAGGAGTAATATTTTTTTCCTTGAGCACCATTTTTGCCATAGGTAAAATTAGAAGGATTTTTAGAACTTTCTCAGTTGTATACATTTTTAAAAATCTGTATTATATGCATGTTGATTAATTTTAAACTTACTTGAATACCTAAACAGAATCTGTTGTTTCCTTGTGTTTGAAAGTGCTTTCACAGTAACTCTGTCTGTACTGCCAGAATATACTGACAATGTGTTATAGTTAACTGTTTTGATCACAACATTTTGAATTGACTGGCAGCAGAAGCTCTTTTATATCCATGTGTTTTCCTTAAGTCATTATACATAGTAGGCACTGAGAACTCTTTATATCTGAATAAGATATTTAGGAACCACTGGTTTACATATCAGAAGCAGAGCTACTCAGGGCATTTTGGGGAAGATCACTTTCACATTCCTGAGCATAGGGAAGTTCTCATAAGAGTAAGATATTAAAAGGAGATACTTGTGTGGTATTCGAAAGACAGTAAGAGAGATTGTAGACCTTATGATCTTGATAGGGAAAACAAACTACATTCCTTTCTCCAAAAGTCAAAAAAAAAGAGCAAATATAGCTTACTATACCTTCTATTCCTACACCATTAGAAGTAGTCAGTGAGTCTAGGCAAGATGTTGGCCCTAAAAATCCAAATACCAGAGAATTCATGAGAACATCACCTGGATGGGACATGTGCCGAGCACACACAATTACTATATGCTAGGCATTGCTATCTTCATATTGAAGATGAGGAGGTCAAGAGATGAAAAAAGACTTGGCACCTTGTTGTTATATTAAAATTATTTGTTAGAGTAGAGCTTTTGTAAGAGTCTAGGAGTGTGGGAGCTAAATGATGATACACATGGACACAAAAAATAGATCAACAGACACCCAGGCCTACTTGAGGGTTGAGGGTGGGAAGAGGGAGACGATGAAAAAGAACCTATTGGGTATTAAGTTCATCACTGAGTGATGAAATAATCTGTACATCAAGACCCAGTGATATGCAATTTACCTATATAACTTGTACATGTACCCCCAAATTTAAAATGAAAGTTAAAACAAAGTATAGGAATGGAATTAATTCCTCAAGATTTGGCTTTAATTTTATTTGATAATTTATCAAATGGTTGTTTTTCTTTTCTCACTATGGCGTTGCTTTATAAACTATGTTCAGTATGTCTGAATGAAAGGGTGTGTGTGTGTGTGAAAGAGAGGGAGAGAGGAAGGGAAGAGAGGACGTAATAATGTGAATTTGAGTTCATGAAAATTTTTCAATAAAATAATTTAATGTCAGGAGAATTAAGCCTAATAGTCTCCTAAATCATCCATCTCTTGAGCTTCAGAGCAGTCCTCTGAATTAATGCCTACATGTTTGTAAAGGGTGTTCAGACTGAAGCCAAGATTCTACCTCTAAAGAGATGCAATCTCAAATTTATCTGAAGACTGTACCTCTGCTCTCCATAAATTGACACCATGGCCCACTTAATGAGGTTAAAAAAAAGCTAATTCTGAATGAAAATCTGAGCCCAGTGGAGGAAATATTAATGAACAAGGTGCAGACTGAAATATAAATTTTTCTGTAATAATTATGCATATACTTTAGCAAAGTTCTGTCTATGTTGACTTTATTGCTTTTTGGTAAGAAATACAACTTTTTAAAGTGAACTAAACTATCCTATTTCCAAACTATTTTGTGTGTGTGCGGTTTGTTTCTATGGGTTCTGGTTTTCTTGGAGCATTTTTATTTCATTTTAATTAATTAATTCTGAGAGCTGCTGAGTTGTGTTTACTGAGAGATTGTGTATCTGCGAGAGAAGTCTGTAGCAAGTAGCTAGACTGTGCTTGACCTAGGAACATATACAGTAGATTGCTAAAATGTCTCACTTGGGGAATTTTAGACTAAACAGTAGAGCATGTATAAAAATACTCTAGTCAAGTGCTGCTTTTGAAACAAATGATAAAACCACACTCCCATAGATGAGTGTCATGATTTTCATGGAGGAAGTTAATATTCATCCTCTAAGTATACCCAGACTAGGGCCATTCTGATATAAAACATTAGGACTTAAGAAAGATTAATAGACTGGAGTAAAGGAAATGGACCTCTGTCTCTCTCGCTGTCTCTTTTTTGAGGACTTGTGTGTGTGTGTGTGTGTGTGTGTGTGTGTGTGTTGTGGTCAGTGGGGCTGGAATAAAAGTAGAATAGACCTGCACCTGCTGTGGCATCCATTCACAGAGTAGAAGCAAGCTCACAATAGTGAAGATGTCAGTAAGCTTGAATAGTTTTTCAGGAACTTTGAATGCTGATTTAGATTTGAAACTGAGGCTCTGACCATAACCAAATTTGCACTATTTATTGCTTCTTGAAACTTATTTGCCTGGTATGCCTGGGCTTTTGATGGTCTTAGTATAGCTTGCAGCCTTGTCCCTGCAGGGTATTATGGGTAATAGAAAGAAAAGTCTGCGTTACACTCTAGTCACACTAAGTAACTACCATTGGAAAAGCAACCCCTGCCTTGAAGCCAGGATGATGGTATCTGCAGCAGTTGCCAACACAAGAGAAGGATCCATAGTTCATCATTTAAAAAAGAAAACAAAATAGAAAAAGGAAAACTATTTCTGAGCATAAGAAGTTGTAGGGTAAGTCTTTAAGAAGGTGACAATTTCTGCCAATCAGGATTTCAAAGCTCTTGCTTTGACAATTTTGGTCTTTCAGAATACTATAAATATAACCTATATTATAATTTCATAAAGTCTGTGCATTTTCTTTGACCCAGGATATTTGCAAAAGACATATTCAAACTTCCGCAGAACACTTTATTTCACATATACATGCCTCTTATATCAGGGATGTGAAACAGGGTCTTGAAAACTGTCTAAATCTAAAACAATGCTAATGCAGGTTTAAATTTAATAAAATAAAATCCAAAATCTAACAGCCAAGTCAAATCTGCATGTTTTAACATTTAAAATATTTTAAAGACGTCTTTTCCCAGGATTCAACATGTGAAATCTTTTCTCAGGGATACACGTGTGCCTAGATCCTCATTGCTTTAGTTTTTTACAGAGGAATGAATATAAAAAGAAAATACTTAAATTTTATCCCTCTTACCTCTATAATCATACATAGGCATAATTTTTTAACCTAGGCTCCAGATAGCCATAGAAGAACCAAACACTTTCTGCGTGTGTGAGAATAATCAGAGTGAGATTTTTTCACAAGTACCTGATGAGGGTTGAGACAGGTAGAAAAAGTGAGAGATCTCTATTTATTTAGCAATAATAGAGAAAGCATTTAAGAGAATAAAGCAATGGAAATAAGAAATTTGTAAATTTCCTTCTGATAACTAGAAATAGAGGATCCAGTTTCTTTTGGTTAACCTAAATTTTATTTCATTTTATTGTTTTATTTTATTTTATTTTATTTTATTTTGTGTAATCGTAGTTTCAGAGTGTTAGAGCTGAAAGGAAGAAGTAGGAGAAACATGCAAAGTAAAAGTATAACACTTTCCTTACTAAACCGACATGGGTTTCCAGGTAGGGGCAGGATTCAGGATGACTGACAGGGCCCTTAGGGAACACTGAGACCCTACGCTGACCTCATAAATGCTTGCTACCTTTGCTGTTTTAATTACATCTTTTAATAGCAGGAAGCAGAACTCTGCACTTCAAAAGTTTTTCCTCACCTGAGGAGTTAATTTAGTACAAGGGGAAAAAGTACAGGGGGATGGGAGAAAGGCGATCACGTTGGGAAGCTATAGAGAAAGAAGAGTAAATTTTAGTAAAGGAGGTTTAAACAAACAAAATATAAAGAGAAATAGGAACTTGAATCAAGGAAATGATTTTAAAACGCAGTATTCTTAGTGGACTAGAGGAAAAAAATAATCTGAGCCAAGTAGAAGACCTTTTCCCCTCCTACCCCTACTTTCTAAGTCACAGAGGCTTTTTGTTCCCCCAGACACTCTTGCAGATTAGTCCAGGCAGAAACAGTTAGATGTCCCCAGTTAACCTCCTATTTGACACCACTGATTACCCCATTGATAGTCACACTTTGGGTTGTAAGTGACTTTTTATTTATTTGTATTTTTGACTGCATTAAGAGGTCTCTAGTTTTTTATCTCTTGTTTCCCAAAACCTAATAAGTAACTAATGCACAGAGCACATTGATTTGTATTTATTCTATTTTTAGACATAATTTATTAGCATGCATGAGCAAATTAAGAAAAACAACAACAAATGAATGCATATATATGTATATGTATGTGTGTATATATACACACATATATATATATATTTTTTCTTTTCTTACCAGAAGGTTTTAATCCAAATAAGGAGAAGATATGCTTAGAACCGAGGTAGAGTTTTCATCCATTCTGTCCTGTAAGTATTTTGCATATTCTGGAGACGCAGGAAGAGATCCATCTACATATCCCAAAGCTGAATTATGGTAGACAAAACTCTTCCACTTTTAGTGCATCAACTTCTTATTTGTGTAATAAGAAAATTGGGAAAACGATCTTCAATATGCTTACCAAGCTGTGATTCCAAATATTACGTAAATACACTTGCAAAGGAGGATGTTTTTAGTAGCAATTTGTACTGATGGTATGGGGCCAAGAGATATATCTTAGAGGGAGGGCTGAGGGTTTGAAGTCCAACTCCTAAGCCAGTGCCAGAAGAGCCAAGGACAGGTACGGCTGTCATCACTTAGACCTCACCCTGTGGAGCCACACCCTAGGGTTGGCCAATCTACTCCCAGGAGCAGGGAGGGCAGGAGCCAGGGCTGGGCATAAAAGTCAGGGCAGAGCCATCTATTGCTTACATTTGCTTCTGACACAACTGTGTTCACTAGCAACCTCAAACAGACACCATGGTGCATCTGACTCCTGAGGAGAAGTCTGCCGTTACTGCCCTGTGGGGCAAGGTGAACGTGGATGAAGTTGGTGGTGAGGCCCTGGGCAGGTTGGTATCAAGGTTACAAGACAGGTTTAAGGAGACCAATAGAAACTGGGCATGTGGAGACAGAGAAGACTCTTGGGTTTCTGATAGGCACTGACTCTCTCTGCCTATTGGTCTATTTTCCCACCCTTAGGCTGCTGGTGGTCTACCCTTGGACCCAGAGGTTCTTTGAGTCCTTTGGGGATCTGTCCACTCCTGATGCTGTTATGGGCAACCCTAAGGTGAAGGCTCATGGCAAGAAAGTGCTCGGTGCCTTTAGTGATGGCCTGGCTCACCTGGACAACCTCAAGGGCACCTTTGCCACACTGAGTGAGCTGCACTGTGACAAGCTGCACGTGGATCCTGAGAACTTCAGGGTGAGTCTATGGGACGCTTGATGTTTTCTTTCCCCTTCTTTTCTATGGTTAAGTTCATGTCATAGGAAGGGGATAAGTAACAGGGTACAGTTTAGAATGGGAAACAGACGAATGATTGCATCAGTGTGGAAGTCTCAGGATCGTTTTAGTTTCTTTTATTTGCTGTTCATAACAATTGTTTTCTTTTGTTTAATTCTTGCTTTCTTTTTTTTTCTTCTCCGCAATTTTTACTATTATACTTAATGCCTTAACATTGTGTATAACAAAAGGAAATATCTCTGAGATACATTAAGTAACTTAAAAAAAAACTTTACACAGTCTGCCTAGTACATTACTATTTGGAATATATGTGTGCTTATTTGCATATTCATAATCTCCCTACTTTATTTTCTTTTATTTTTAATTGATACATAATCATTATACATATTTATGGGTTAAAGTGTAATGTTTTAATATGTGTACACATATTGACCAAATCAGGGTAATTTTGCATTTGTAATTTTAAAAAATGCTTTCTTCTTTTAATATACTTTTTTGTTTATCTTATTTCTAATACTTTCCCTAATCTCTTTCTTTCAGGGCAATAATGATACAATGTATCATGCCTCTTTGCACCATTCTAAAGAATAACAGTGATAATTTCTGGGTTAAGGCAATAGCAATATCTCTGCATATAAATATTTCTGCATATAAATTGTAACTGATGTAAGAGGTTTCATATTGCTAATAGCAGCTACAATCCAGCTACCATTCTGCTTTTATTTTATGGTTGGGATAAGGCTGGATTATTCTGAGTCCAAGCTAGGCCCTTTTGCTAATCATGTTCATACCTCTTATCTTCCTCCCACAGCTCCTGGGCAACGTGCTGGTCTGTGTGCTGGCCCATCACTTTGGCAAAGAATTCACCCCACCAGTGCAGGCTGCCTATCAGAAAGTGGTGGCTGGTGTGGCTAATGCCCTGGCCCACAAGTATCACTAAGCTCGCTTTCTTGCTGTCCAATTTCTATTAAAGGTTCCTTTGTTCCCTAAGTCCAACTACTAAACTGGGGGATATTATGAAGGGCCTTGAGCATCTGGATTCTGCCTAATAAAAAACATTTATTTTCATTGCAATGATGTATTTAAATTATTTCTGAATATTTTACTAAAAAGGGAATGTGGGAGGTCAGTGCATTTAAAACATAAAGAAATGAAGAGCTAGTTCAAACCTTGGGAAAATACACTATATCTTAAACTCCATGAAAGAAGGTGAGGCTGCAAACAGCTAATGCACATTGGCAACAGCCCCTGATGCATATGCCTTATTCATCCCTCAGAAAAGGATTCAAGTAGAGGCTTGATTTGGAGGTTAAAGTTTTGCTATGCTGTATTTTACATTACTTATTGTTTTAGCTGTCCTCATGAATGTCTTTTCACTACCCATTTGCTTATCCTGCATCTCTCAGCCTTGACTCCACTCAGTTCTCTTGCTTAGAGATACCACCTTTCCCCTGAAGTGTTCCTTCCATGTTTTACGGCGAGATGGTTTCTCCTCGCCTGGCCACTCAGCCTTAGTTGTCTCTGTTGTCTTATAGAGGTCTACTTGAAGAAGGAAAAACAGGGGTCATGGTTTGACTGTCCTGTGAGCCCTTCTTCCCTGCCTCCCCCACTCACAGTGACCCGGAATCTGCAGTGCTAGTCTCCCGGAACTATCACTCTTTCACAGTCTGCTTTGGAAGGACTGGGCTTAGTATGAAAAGTTAGGACTGAGAAGAATTTGAAAGGCGGCTTTTTGTAGCTTGATATTCACTACTGTCTTATTACCCTGTCATAGGCCCACCCCAAATGGAAGTCCCATTCTTCCTCAGGATGTTTAAGATTAGCATTCAGGAAGAGATCAGAGGTCTGCTGGCTCCCTTATCATGTCCCTTATGGTGCTTCTGGCTCTGCAGTTATTAGCATAGTGTTACCATCAACCACCTTAACTTCATTTTTCTTATTCAATACCTAGGTAGGTAGATGCTAGATTCTGGAAATAAAATATGAGTCTCAAGTGGTCCTTGTCCTCTCTCCCAGTCAAATTCTGAATCTAGTTGGCAAGATTCTGAAATCAAGGCATATAATCAGTAATAAGTGATGATAGAAGGGTATATAGAAGAATTTTATTATATGAGAGGGTGAAACCCTCAAAATGAAATGAAATCAGACCCTTGTCTTACACCATAAACAAAAATAAATTTGAATGGGTTAAAGAATTAAACTAAGACCTAAAACCATAAAAATTTTTAAAGAAATCAAAAGAAGAAAATTCTAATATTCACGTTGCAGCCGTTTTTTGAATTTGATATGAGAAGCAAAGGCAACAAAAGGAAAAATAAAGAAGTGAGGCTACATCAAACTAAAAAATTTCCACACAAAAAACAAAACAATGAACAAATGAAAGGTGAACCATGAAATGGCATATTTGCAAACCAAATATTTCTTAAATATTTTGGTTAATATCCAAAATATATAAGAAACACAGATGATTCAATAACAAACAAAAAATTAAAAATAGGAAAATAAAAAAATTAAAAAGAAGAAAATCCTGCCATTTATGGCAGAATTGATGAACCTGGAGGATGTAAAACTAAGAAAAATAAGCCTGACACAAAAAGACAAATACTACACAACCTTGCTCATATGTGAAACATAAAAAAGTCACTCTCATGGAAACAGACAGTAGAGGTATGGTTTCCAGGGGTTGGGGGTGGGAGAATCAGGAAACTATTACTCAAAGGGTATAAAATTTCAGTTATGTGGGATGAATAAATTCTAGATATCTAATGTACAGCATCGTGACTGTAGTTAATTGTACTGTAAGTATATTTAAAATTTGCAAAGAGAGTAGATTTTTTTTTTTTTTTAGATGGAGTTTTGCTCTTGTTGTCCAGGCTGGAGTGCAATGGCAAGATCTTGGCTCACTGCAACCTCCGCCTCCTGGGTTCAAGCAAATCTCCTGCCTCAGCCTCCCGAGTAGCTGGGATTACAGGCATGCGACACCATGCCCAGCTAATTTTGTATTTTTAGTAGAGACGGGGTTTCTCCATGTTGGTCAGGCTGATCCGCCTGCCTCGGCCACCCAAAGGGCTGGGATTACAGGCGTGAGCCACCGGGCCTGGCCGAGAGTAGATCTTAAAAGCATTTACCACAAGAAAAAGGTAACTATGTGAGATAATGGGTATGTTAATTAGCTTGATTGTGGTAATCATTTCACAAGGTATACATATATTAAAACATCATGTTGTACACCTTAAATATATACAATTTTTATTTGTGAATGATACCTCAATAAAGTTGAAGAATAATAAAAAAGAATAGACATCACATGAATTAAAAAACTAAAAAATAAAAAAATGCATCTTGATGATTAGAATTGCATTCTTGATTTTTCAGATACAAATATCCATTTGACTGTTTACTCTTTTCCAAAACAATACAATAAATTTTAGCACTTTATCTTCATTTTCCCCTTCCCAATCTATAATTATATATATATATATTTTAGATATTTTGTATAGTTTTACTCCCTAGATTTTCTAGTGTTATTATTAAATAGTGAAGAAATGTTTACACTTATGTACAAAATGTTTTGCATGCTTTTCTTCATTTCTAACATTCTCTCTAAGTTTATTCTATTTTTTTCTGATTATCCTTAATATTATCTCTTTCTGCTGGAAATACATTGTTACTTTTGGTTTATCTAAAAATGGCTTCATTTTCTTCATTCTAAAATCATGTTAAATTAATACCACTCATGTGTAAGTAAGATAGTGGAATAAATAGAAATCCAAAAACTAAATCTCACTAAAATATAATAATGTGATATATAAAAATATAGCTTTTAAATTTAGCTTGGAAATAAAAAACAAACAGTAATTGAACAACTATACTTTTTGAAAAGAGTAAAGTGAAATGCTTAACTGCATATACCACAATCGATTACACAATTAGGTGTGAAGGTAAAATTCAGTCACGAAAAAACTAGAATAAAAATATGGGAAGACATGTATATAATCTTAGAGATAACACTGTTATTTAATTATCAACCCAAAGTAGAAACTATCAAGGGAGAAATAAATTCAGTCAACAATAAAAGCATTTAAGAAGTTATTCTAGGCTGGGAGCGGTGGCTCACACCTGCAATTGCAGCACTTTGGGAGGCCTAGACAGGCGGATCACGACGTCAGGAGTTCAAGATCAGCCTGGCCAACATAGTGAAACCTCATCGCTACTAAAAATATAAAAACTTAGCCTGGCGTGGTGGCAGGCATGTGTAATCCCAGCAATTTGGGAGGCTGAGGCAGGAGAATCGCTTGATCCTGGGAGGCAGAGGTTGCAGTGAGCCAAGATTGTGCCACTGCATTCCAGCCCAGGTGACAGCATGAGACTCCGTCACAAAAAAAAAAGAAAAAAAAAAGGGGGGGGGGAGCGGTGGAGCCAAGATGACCGAATAGGAACAGCTCCAGTCTATAGCTCCCATCGTGAGTGACGCAGAAGACGGGTGATTTCTGCATTTCCAACTGAGGTACCAGGTTCATCTCACAGGGAAGTGCCAGGCAGTGGGTGCAGGACAGTAGGTGCAGTGCACTGTGCATGAGCCAAAGCAGGGCGAGGCATCACCTCACCCGGGAAGCACAAGGGGTCAGGGAATTCCCTTTCCTAGTCAAAGAAAAGGGTGACAGATGGCACCTGGAAAATCGGGTCACTCCCGCCCTAATACTGCGCTCTTCCAACAAGCTTAACAAATGGCACACCAGGAGATTATATCCCATGCCTGGCTCAGAGGGTCCTACGCCCATGGAGCCTCGCTCATTGCTAGCACAGCAGTCTGAGGTCAAACTGCAAGGTGGCAGTGAGGCTGGGGGAGGGGTGCCCACCATTGTCCAGGCTTGAGCAGGTAAACAAAGCCGCCTGGAAGCTCGAACTGGGTGGAGCCCACCACAGCTCAAGGAGGCCTGCCTGCCTCTGTAGGCTCCACCTCTAGGGGCAGGGCACAGACAAACAAAAGACAACAAGAACCTCTGCAGACTTAAATGTCCCTGTCTGACAGCTTTGAAGAGAGTAGTGGTTCTCCCAGCACATAGCTTCAGATCTGAGAACAGGCAGACTGCCTCCTCAAGTGGGTCCCTGACCCCCGAGTAGCCTAACTGGGAGGCATCCCCCAGTAGGGGCAGACTGACACCTCACATGGCTGGTACTCCTCTAAGACAAAACTTCCAGAGGAATGATCAGGCAGCAGCATTTGCGGTTCACCAATATCCACTGTTCTGCAGCCACCGCTGTTGATACCCAGGAAAACAGCTTCTGGAGTGGACCTCCAGTAAACTCCAACAGACCTGCAGCTGAGGGTCCTGACTGTTAGAAGGAAAACTAACAAACAGAAAGGACATCCACACCAAAAACCCATCTGTACATCGCCATCATCAAAGACCAAAGGTAGATAAAACCATAAAGATGGGGAAAAAGCAGAGCAGAAAAACTGGACACTCTAAAAATGAGAGTGCCTCTCCTCCTCCAAAGTAACGCAGCTCCTCACCAGCAATGGAACAAAGCTGGGCAGAGAATGACTTTGACGAGTTGAGAGAGGAAGGCTTCAGAAGATCAAACTACTCCAAGCTAAAGGAGGAAGTTCGAACAAACGGCAAAGAAGTAAAAAACTTTGAAAAAAAATTAGATGAATGGATAACTAGAATAACCAATGCACAGAAGTCCTTAAAGGACCTGATGGAGCTGAAAACCAAGGCAGGAGAACTACGTGACAAATACACAAGCCTCAGTAACCGATGAGATCAACTGGAAGAAAGGGTATCAATGACGAAAGATGAAATGAATGAAATGAAGCATGAAGAGAAGTTTAGAGAAAAAAGAATAAAAAGAAACGAACAAAGCCTCCAAGAAATATGGGACTATGTGAAAAGACCAAATCTACATCTAATTGGTGTAGCTGAAAGTGATGGGGAGAATGGAACCAAGTTGGAAAACACTCTGCAGGATATTATCCAGGAGAACTTCCCCAATCTAGCAAGGCAAGCCCAAATTCACATTCAGGAAATACAGAGAACGCCACAAAGATACTCCTAGAGAAAAGCAACTCCAAGACACATAACTGTCAGATTCACCAAAGTTGAAATGAAGGAAAAAATGTTAAGGGCAGCCAGAGAGAAAGGTCGGGTTACCCACAAAGGGAAGCCCATCAGACTAACAGCTGATCTATCGGCAGAAACTCTACAAGCCAGAAGAAAGTGGGGGCCAATATTCAACATTGTTAAAGAAAAGAATTTTCAACCCAGAATTTCATATCCAGCCAAACTAAGCTTCATAAGTGAAGGAGAAATAAAATCCTTTACAGACAAGCAAATGCTGAGAGATTTTGTCACCACCAGGCCTGCCCTACAAGAGCTCCTGAAGGAAGCACTAAACATGGAAAGGAACAACTAGTATCAGCCACTGCAAAAACATGCCAAATTGTAAAGACCATCAAGGCTAGGAAGAAACTGCATCAACGAGCAAAATAACCAGCTAACATCATAATGACAGGATCAAATTCATACATAACAATACTCACCTTAAATGTAAATAGGCTAAATGCTCCAATTAAAAGACACAGACTGGCAAATTGGATAAGGAGTCAAGACCCATCTGTGTTCTGTATTCAGGAAACCCATCTCACGTGCAGAGACACACATAGGCTCGAAATAAAAGGATGGAGGAATATCTACCAAGCAAATGGAAAACAAAAAAAGGCAGGGGTTGCAATCCTAGTCTCTGATAAAACAGATTTTAAACCAACAAAGATCAAAAGAGACAAAGAAGGCCATTACATAATGGCAAAGGGATCTATTCAAGAAGAAGAACTAACTATACTAAATATATATGCACCCAATACAGGAGCACCCAGATTCATAAAACAAGTCCTGAGTGACCTACAAAGAGACTTAGATGCCCACACAATAATAATGGGAGACTTTAACACCCCACTGTCAACATTAGACAGATCAACGAGACAGAAAGTTAACAAGGATATCCAGGAATTGGACTCAGCTCTGCACCAAGCAGACCTAATAGACATCTACAGAACTCTCCACCCCAAATCAACAGAATATACATTCTTTTCAGCACCACACCACACCTATTCCAAAACTGACCACATAGTTGGAAGTAAAGCTCTCCTCAGCAAATGTAAAAGAACAGAAACTATAACAAACTGTCTCTCAGACCACAGTGCAATCAAACTAGAACTCAGGATTAAGAAACTCACTCAAAACCACTCAGCTACATGGAAACTGAACAGCCTGCTCCTGAATGACTACTGGGTACATAACAAAATGAAGGCAGAAATAAAGATGTTCTTTGAAACCAACGAGAACAAAGACACAACACACCAGAATCTCTGAGACACATTCAAAGCAGTGTGTAGAGGGAAATTTATAGCACTAAATGCCCACAAGGGAAAGCAGGAAAGATCTAAAATTGACACCCTAACATCACAATTAAAAAACTAGAGAAGCAGGAGCAAACACATTCAAAAGCTAACAGAAGACAAGAAATAACTAAGATCAGAGCAGAAGTGAAGGACATAGAGACACAAAAAAACCCTTCAAAAAAATCAATGAATCCAGAAGCTGTTTTTTTGAAAAGATCAACAAAATTGATAGACTGCTAGCAAGACTAATAAAGAAGAAAAGAGAGAAGAATCAAATAGACGCAATAAAAAATGACACGGGGTATCACCACTGATCCCACAGAAATACAAACTACCGTCAGAGAATACTATAAACACCTCTACGCAAATAAACTAGAAAATCTAGAAGAAATGGATAAATTCCTCGACACATACACTCTGCCAAGACTAAACCAGGAAGAAGTTGTATCTCTGAATAGACCAATAACAGGCTCTGAAATTGAGGCAATAATTAATAGCTTATCAACCAAAAAAAGTCCGGGACCAGTAGGATTCATAGCCGAATTCTACCAGAGGTACAAGGAGGAGCTGGTACCATTCCTTCTGAAACTATTCCAATCAATAGAAAAAGAGGGAATCCTCCCTAACTCATTTTATGAGGCCAGCATCATCCTGATACCAAAGCCTGACAGAGACACAACAAAAAAAGAGAATGTTACACCAATATCCTTGATGAACATTGATGCAAAAATCCTCAATAAAATACTGGCAAACTGATCCACCATGATCAAGTGGGCTTCATCCCTGCCATGCAAGGCTGGTTCAACATACGAAAATCAATAAACATAATCCAGCATATAAACAGAACCAAAGACACAAACCATATGATTATCTCAATAGATGCAGAAAAGGCCTTTGACAAAATTCAACAACGCTTCATGCTAAAAACTCTCAATAAATTAGGTATTGATGGGACATATCTCAAAATAATAAGAGCTATCTATGACAAACCCACAGCCAATATCATACTGAGTGGACAAAAACTGGAAGCATTCCCTTTGAAAACTGGCACAAGGCAGGGATGCCCTCTCTCACCACTCCTATTCAACATAGTGTTGTAAGTTCTGGCCAGGGCAATCAGGCAGGAGAAGGAAATAAAGGGCATTCAATTAGGAAAAGAGGAAGTGAAATTGTCCCTGTTTGCAGATGACATGATTGTATATCTAGAAAACCCCATTGTCTCAGCCCAAAATCTCCTTAAGCTGATAAGCAACTTCAGCAAAGTCTCAGGATATAAAATCAGTGTGCAAAAATCACAAGTATTCCTATGCACCAATAACAGACAAACAGAGAGCCAAATCATGAGTGAACTCCCATTCACAATTGCTTCAAAGAGAATAAAATACCTAGGAATCCAACTTACAAGGGATGTGAAGGACCTCTTCAAGGAGAACTACAAACCACTGCTCAATGAAATAAAAGAGGATACAAACAAATGGAAGAACATTCCATGCTCATGGGTAGGAAGAATCAATATCGTGAAAATGGTCATACTGCCCAAGGTAATTTATAGATTCAATGCCATCCCCATCAAGCTACCAATGACTTTCTTCACAGAACTGGAAAAAACTACTTTAAAGTTCATATGGAACCAAAAAAGAGCCCACATCACCAAGGCAATCCTAAGCCAAAAGAACAAAGCTGGAGGCATCACGCTACCTGACTTCAAACTATACTACAATGCTACGGTAACCAAAACAGCATGGTACTGGTACCAAAACAGAGATCTAGACCAATGGAACAGAACAGAGCCCTCAGAAATAATGCCGCATATCTACAACTATCTGATCTTTGACAAACCTGAGAGAAACAAGCAATGGGGAAAGGATTCCCTATTTAATAAATGGTGCTGGGAAAACTGGCTAGCCATATGTAGAAAGCTGAAACTGGATCCCTTCCTTACACCTTATACAAAAATTAATTCAAGATGGATTAAAGACTTACATGTTAGACCTAAAACCATAAAAACCCTAGAAAAAAACCTAGGCAATACCATTCAGGACATAGGCATGGGCAAGGACTTCATGTCTAAAACACCAAAAGCAATGGCAACAAAAGACAAAATGGACAAACGGGATCTAATTAAACTAAAGAGCTTCTGCACAGCTAAAGAAACTACCATCAGAGTGAACAGGCAACCTACAAAATGGGAGAAAATTTTTGCAATCTACTCATCTGACAAAGGGCTAATATCCAGAATCTACAATGAACTCAAACAAATTTACAAGAAAAAACAAACAACCCCATCAAAAAGTGGGCAAAGGATATGAACAGACACTTCGCAAAAGAAGACATTTATGTAATCAAAAAACACATGAAAAAATGCTCATCATCACTAGCCATCAGAGAAATGCAAATCAAAACCACAATGAGATACCATCTCACACCAGTTAGAATGGCGATCATTAAAAAGTCAGGAAACAACAGGTGCTGGAGAGGATGTGGAGAAACAGGAACAACTTTTACACTGTTGGTGGGACTGTAAACTAGTTCAACCATTGCGGAAGTCAGTGTGGCAATTCCTCAGGAATCTAGAACTAGAAATACCATTTGACCCAGCCATCCCATTACTGGGTACATACCCAAAGGATTATAAATCATGCTGCTATAAAGACACATGCACACGTATGTTTATTGCAGCACTATTCACAATAGCAAAGACTTGGAACCAACCCAAATGTCCAACAACGATAGACTGGATTAAGAAAATGTGGCACATATACACCATGGAATACTATGCAGCCATAAAAAATGATGAGTTCATGTCCTTTGTAGGGACATGGATGAAGCTGGAAACTATCATTCTCAGCAAACTATCACAAGGAGAATAAACCAAACACCGCATGTTCTCACTCATAGGTGGGAATTGAACAATGAGAACACATGGACACATGAAGAGGAACATCACACTCTGGGGACTGTTATGGGGTGGGGGGCAGGGGCAGGGATAGCACTAGGAGATATACCTAATGCTAAATGACGAGTTAATGGGTGCAGCACACCAACATGGCACATGTATACATATATAACAAACCTGCATGTTGTGCACATGTACCCTAAAACTTGAAGTATAATAATAAAAAAAAGTTATCCTATTAAAACTGATCTCACACATCCGTAGAGCCATTATCAAGTCTTTCTCTTTGAAATAGACAGAAATTTAGTGTTTTCTCAGTCAGTTAACATTCCTTCAACTAGATTAGTTGTGACAAAATTTCAGGCCTTGCTCAACTCTAACCTCAGTCTCTCCATATATTTCTGAGAGTCTTCCTTCTTATTTGTTTATAAGAATTTAGTAAATGGCAATATTGAGAAGTAGAAAATTTTGGAGACTTGTTTTTCATGAACCAGAACAATCTCAAAGCAGCAATACTAAACAGGAGCCAAGCCTAGAATAAAGTTGAATTTCTGGAATCAACAAGCTAGGGGAAAGTCTCCCATTAAGTCAAATATTTGACAACTGGGAGGTCAAGTCAGAGGTGAAAAATGATTAAAGATAACAAGAGGTCTGAAAACAAAGTGACCAATTAAAATAAAAAGAAAGAGCCAAGCTGGGCACAGTGGCTTGCATCTGTAGTCCCAGTAACCCAGGAGGCTGAAGTGATAGGATCACTTGAGCCCAGGATTTCAGGGTTGCAGTGAGCAATAATGACACCACTGCTCTCTAGCCTTGGTGACTGAGATCCTGTCTCTGAGGAAAAACAAACAAACAAGCAAAAAACAAACAAACAAACACACAGATATTAAGAACATAGAAGTTTTGTTACGGTGATGATATTCTCCAACACAGGTCTGAACCCCTTGCAGTGCCTCGGGGCTGTTTCTCCAGTGGATTCTTGGGTTCTTCACATCTTCTCAACTTTGTGAAAAGATATTCATCCAAAGGTCTCACCTGTCTTATTCAGAGCTTGGATTTTGGACTAGCTTTTTCTATTTCTTGGGATTCTCTAGAGCCATATATTCAGATATAACACAGATATAACCAAAAGAAGCAAAGGAGGCATCACAGAAGGGGCTTTGTATTCTGGGGAGGGGGACATAGAGTTGAGAGAAATACAGGAATTTATAGGACTCTACTCAAAGAGCCCTCAAATAAAGTACGGCTAGTCTTCTTTGCCTAAGACAATGAGCAGTCCAGGAAGTTATCCATTTCTTTTAGATTTTCTAGTTTATGTACATAGAGATGTTCATAGTAGTTTTTGATGATTATTTGTATTTCTGTGGGGTGAGTGATAATATTCCCTTTTTCATTTCTAACTGTGCTTATTTGGATCTTCTCTCTTGTCTTCTTTATTAGTCTAGCTAGTGATCTACCTTATTAATTTTTTCACAAAACCAGCTCTTGGACTCATTAATCTTTTGAATGGTATTTTGTGTTTTAATATCCTTCAGTTAGCTTTGATCTTGTTTATTTCTTGTCTTCTGCTAGATTTAGGGTTGGTTTGCTCTTGGTTCTCTGGTTCTTTTAGTTGTGACATTAGGTTGTTAATTTGAGGGCTTTAAGACTTTTTGATGTGGGCATTTAGTGTATAAATTTCTCTCTTAACACTGTCTAAGCTGTGTCCCAGAGATTCCGGTATATTGTATCTTTGTTCTCATTAGTTTCAAAGAACTATTTTATTTTTGCCTTAGTTTTCATTATTTACCCAAAATTCATTCAGGAGCAGGTTGTTTAATTTCCATGTAATTGCATAGTTTTCAGCTATTCATTAGTCTTGAAATCTATTTTTATTCCTCTGTGGTCTGAGAGTGATTGATATGATTTTTTTTTTGCATTTGCTGAGGATTGTTTTAGGTCCTCCCAAGGCTGAACCAGGAAGAAATCAATTTCCTGAAGAGATCCATGATGAGCTCTGAAAATGATTCAGTAATAAATAGCCTATCAAACAAAAAAAGCCCTGGACAATATGATTCACAACCAAATTCTATCAGATGCACAAAGAAGAGTTGGAAAAATTCCTACTGAAGCTACTCCAAAAAATTGAGGGGGAGGGATTCAACCTCAGCTCATTTTATGAGGCCAGCATCATCCTGATACCAAAACCTGATAGACACACAACAACAAAAAAAGAAAACTTCAGGCCAATATCCTTGAACATTGATGCAAAAATACTAGCAAGCCAAATCCAGCAACACATCACAAAGCTAATCCACCTCAATCAAGTAGGCTTTATCCCTGAGAAGCAAGATTGGTTCAGCATATACAAATTGATAAATGTGATTCATCATATATACAGCACTAAAAACAGAAACCACATGATCATTTCAATATGTGCAAAAAAAGATTTTGATAAAATTCAACTTCACTTCATGTTAAAACCTCTCAACAAACTAGCTATTTAAGGACATGACCTCAAAATAATATGAGCCATCTATGACAAACCCACAGCCAACATCATACAGAATGGGCAAAACCTGGAAGCATTCTTCTTGAAAACTGGCACAAGACAAGGATGCCCTCTCTCACCACTGCTATTCAGTATAGTACTGGCAGTCCTGGCCAGAGCAATCAGGCAAGAGAAGGGAATAAAGGGCATCCAAATAGGAAGAGAGAAAGTCAAAGTATCCCTGTTTTCTGTATCTAGAAAACACCATAGTCAAGGCCCAAAAGCTCCTTCAGCTGATAACTTCAGCAAAGTTTCAGGATATAAAATCAATGTACAAAAATCACTAGCATTCCCATACATCAACAATAGCCAAGCCTAGAGCCAAATCAGGAAGTCAATCCCATTTACCGTTGCCACAAAAAGAATAAAATACCTAAGGATATATCTAACCAAGCAGTTGAAAGATCTCTACAATGAGATTTACAAAACACTGCTCAAAGAAATCAGAGCTGATAGAAACAAATGGAAAAACTTTCCATGCTCATGGATAAAAAGAATCAATATTGTTAAAATGTCCATACTGCCTAGAGCAATTTACAGTTTCAAAGCTATTCCTATCAAACTACCAATGACATTCTTCACAGAACTAGAAAAATACACTTTAAAGTTCATATGGAACAACAACAAAAAAAGTCCAAATAGCCTAGGAAATCCTAATACTCACAGGTGGGAATTGAAAAATGAGAACACTTGGACACAGGGTGGGGAACATCACACACCGGGGCCTGTCGTGGGGTGGTAGGAGAGAGGAGGGATAACATTAGGAGATATATCTAATGTAAATGACGAGTTAACGGGTGCAGCACACCAATATGGCACACGTATACATATGTAACAAACTGCACAGGTACCGTAGAACTTAGAGTACAAAAAAAAAAAAAGAGAAAAAGAAAAAAGCTGGAGATAATACATTGCCTAACTTCAAACCATACCACAGGGCTACAGTAACCAAAACAGTGTGGTACTGTTACAGAAAAGACACACAGACAAATGGAACAGAATAGAGAGCCCAGAAATAAGACCACATGCCTACAACCATCTGATCTTTGACAAAGCTGATAAAAACAAGCAATGAGGAAAAGACACCCTATTCAACAAGTGGTGTTGGGATAACTGACTAACCGTATGTAGAAGATTGAAACCAGACCCCGTTCTATATCATATACACAAATAAACTCAAGATGGATTAGAGACTTAAATGCAAAACCCAAACTATAAAAATGCTTGAAAGCAACCTAGGCAATACCATTCCGGACATAAGCAGGGGCAAAGATTTCATGACAAAGATGCCAACAGTCATTGCAGCAAAAGCAAAAATTGACAAATAGGATCTAATTAAAATAAAGTTTCTGCACAGCAAAAGAAACTATCAACTGAGTAAACAACCTATAGAATGGGAGAAAATTTTTGCAAACTATGCATCCAACAAAGGCCTAATATTCAGAATCTATAAGGAACTTAAATGAATCTACAAGAACAAAACAAACAATGCCACAAAAAATGGGTAAAGGACATGAACAGACAGTATTCAAAAGAAGACATACATGTGGCCACCAAGCATATGAAAAAAGCTCAGTGTCACTGATCATTAGAGAAATGCCAATCAAACCCAAAATGAGATACTATCTCACATCACTTAAAATATCTATAATTAAATAGTCAAAAAATAACAGATGTGGGTAAGGTTGTGGAGAAAAGGGAATGTTTATACACCATTGGTGGCAATATAAATTAGTTCGACCATTGTAGACAGCAGTGTGGCAATTCCCTAAAGACCTAAAAACAGAAATACCATTTAACCCAACAATCCTATTATTGAGTATATACCTAAAGGAAAATAAACCATTCTATCACAAAGACACATGCACACCTGTGTCCATTGCAGCATAATCACAATAGCAAAGACATAGAATCAACCTGAAGGCCCATTAGTGGTATACCGATAAAGAACATGTACATATACACCATGGAATACTATGTGGCCATAAAAAAGAATGAGATCATGTCCTTTGCAGGAACATGGATGGAGCCGGACACCATTATCCTTAACAAACTAATGTAAGAACAGAAAACCAAATACTACATATTATCACTTACAAGTAGGAACTAAATGATGAGAAAACATGCACACATAACGGGAACAAAAGACACTGCAGCCTAATTGAGTTTGGAGGGTGGGAACGGGGAGAAG